>NC_000014.9:60520803-60823834 GCF_000001405.40 Homo sapiens
CTTTGCCCCAGTTTCTTCTCTAGGTATTTACTCCTTAAACTTGTGCAACCTGTCTTTTACTCACATCATTACATTAAGACAGTTGCCTCAAAGGTCACTTTACTTGGTCCTCAAACTACTCAACCTGTTGATCTTCAACTCTGTGAAGCATCCTGTCCTTCTAAACAGGGCCAGGATTAAATTGAGGCAAGCAAGGTGACTAAGGTACAAAATTTAAGGAGGCACTCACTCTCAAGGTTCTGCAAGTTCAGGGTTGGCATCTAAGAATTAGTACCCCCTTAAATTTTGCACCATAGATGGCTTGCTTGCCTCACCCTTGTCCCTGCCTTCTTCTGAACTTCTTACCATATTCAGAGCATGGAATGCATTTTGCTACCTTCATGACTTTCCTCATGATGCAGGTGTAAATCGACCTCCACACTTGGTGCCTGCATGCATCCCTTCCTGCCTTTTTCTGTAGCAGCACACTTGGAGAACTGCTCTTTCCCAATTCAGTGTGTTTTGGTTGAGGCTGTCAAACAGTACCTCCCACTCCCTCAACCCACAGCAAGGTATAACCACCAAGTTGGGCCAGTCCTTTCCAGAAATTTATGAATTAGAGGAGCAGTTTTCTCTGTACTCTTGGATTGAGAGCAGTAAGAATATGTTACAGCCATATCACCTATTACAGGAAGGAGGCTCAAGGAAAAAGAAACAGAATAGAGGAAGGAGAGACACAAAAGGCTAAGACTGGTAAAATATTTGTATGCTATTGACACCGAAGTTGGGTTCAGTTTTGTCTTGTGTTTTGGATGCAGGAGCTAACATACGTCCTCCTCCCTTTGCACTATTTTTTTTAAACTACTTTGAGTTTCTATTACTTGCAAACAAGGGTGCTAAGTTATAAAATAGAATGTTCTTTCTTTTCCCTTACCCCATCTACACAGGTACATAAACCCAACTATCAGGGCTCAGCTCTAAGGTCATTTTCATCCCAGAACCATGTTTGATCCATATCATTTAACTAATCTCTCCCTTCTCTGAACTGCTGTGATATTTTATGCATCTCTCATATTAGTTAGATTCATATTTTCTATCTTCCACTATACTATATTTTCTTCAAGGATAAGGTCTGTCATCTTTGTAATCTTCCAAGAACTGAGTACAGTATTTTTGCCACCACAGAAAATCAGTAGATCTTTGCTGAATAATTGAATTAAATGAATGAATGAACATAACTAAAGAATAGCCAGAATCCTTATGTTTTATTACAGGAAAGTTTAGTCTGAATGAGTTGAAGTTATTCACAAAAAAAAAAAAAGGATTTTCTTTTCCAAAGAAAAATAAAAGAAGGTATGGCCAACTGATTGCTAGACAAAGATAGTGAGTATAAAATTAAGACCTTACATTTATATTTATTCATATCTGAATAAATAAACTCTGGAAAGACACATATGAAGCTATAAACAGTGGTTTCAAGTTTGGGGGACCAACCGAGCAGGTGGGAGATAGGGGTGGCAGGGAGACTTTTCAGTGTATACCTTTGTATAGTTTACATTTTTAAAATCATGTGAATTGATGCCTATATTAAGTTTACTACTTAAGATGTTATAAGTCAAATGCTGAGCTGCTTCCTTTAGCTAATGGGAATGCTATTTTAGCTAATAGGCATTATAAAATGATAAATAAAGCAGGTTTTGTGGTAGAGAGTATTTGCCTACAAAATGAAAGGAAAAGTCTGGATGCCTAATGTAATATGCAGGCAGTGATAGCACCATGGTCAGGTTTTGAAAGTGCTGTGGCTCAAATAACTTAGAGATAAAGATGATGTGCCCTGAAAAATTCTGTTAGAGGTCTCAACAAAGGGCACAGTGATGATAATCATGACGATAAGGACACTAATATTGAAGCTAAACATGAAGAGTTCAAATAAAATTGCTTCCTATTAAAAACAGTATAATAAAGAATCCAAAATTTTTCATAGTCTTCATCTATTAACTAGTGTTTCTCTTTGCAGTGGAGGGGAAGGTATGTCCTTTTGTCAGAACTTTTTGAAATATACACTTTCAGATGGGTGAGTTTTGTTGTATATAAATTATACCAAAATAGAGCTGATTTTTAAAACATGTCAACTATTAGATTGAAGAGGACCTTAGATATTTTATCTAGTCATCCCCAATCTTTTCATCCAAGTATTCCTTTTATTTTGTTTCCAATTATAGACCACATATCTTTAAATATCTTGTCACCTAAATGAAATAATAAAAACCACTGTGATGAATAGTACCTATAAGCAATAAAATTAAGTGGGTTTACAGACAAGAAAATCTTAACCTCATTTTGCTAGTTTAAAAGTTGAGAGTCAGGTCTTTTCACATAATCTACTTAGATTCTAATTTATAATTAGCTAAAATAGCATTCCTATTAGCTAAAGGAAGCAGCTTGGTATTTGATTTATAACATCTTAAGTAGTAAACTTTTTTATTGTACTTCAAGTTCTAAGGTACATGTGCACAACATGCAGTTTTGTTACACAGGTATACATGTGCCATGTTGGTTTGCTGCACCCATCAACTCGTCATTTACATTAGGTATTTCTCCTAATGCTATCCCTCCCCGAGTCCCACACCCCCAAGTAGGCCCTGGTGTGTGATGTTCCCGCCCTGTGTCCATGTGTTCTCATTGTTCAACTCCCACCTATGAGTGGGAACATGTGATGTTTGGTTTTCTGTCCTTGTGATAGTTTGCTTAGAATGATGGTTTCCAGCTTCATCCAGGTCCCTGCAAAGGACATTAACTAATCCTCTTTATGGCTGCATAGTATTCCATGGTGTATGTGTGCCACATTTCCTTAATCCAGTCTATCATTGATAGACATTTGGGTTGGTCCCAAGTCTTTGCTATTGTGAATACTGCCACAATAAACATATGTGTGCATGTGTCTTTATAGTAGCATGATTTATAATCCTTTGGGTATATACCCAATAATGGGATTGGTGGGTCAAATGGTATTTCTAGTTCTAGATCCTTGAGGAATTGCCACACTGTCTTCCACAATGGTTGAACTAATTTACACCCTCACCAACAGTGTAAAAGCATTCCTATTTCTTCTCCACATCCTCTCTAGCATCTATTGTTTCCTGACTTTTTAATGATCACCATTCTAACTGGTGTGAGATGGTATCTCATCACGGATTTGATTTGCATTTCTCTGATGACCAGTGATGATGAGCATTTTTTTCACCGATCTGTTGGCTGCATAAATGTCTTCTTTTGAGAAGTGTCTATTCATTACCTTTGCCCACTTTTTGATGGGGTTGTTTTTTTCTTGTAAATTTGTTTAAGTTCTTTGTAGATTCTGGATATTAGCCCTTTGTCAGATGGGTAGATTGCAAAGATTTCCTCCCATTCTGTAGGTTGCCTGTTCACTCTGATGATCATTTCTTTTGCTGTGCAGAAGCCCTTTAGTTTAATTAGATCCCATTTGTCAATTTTGGCTTTTGTTGCCATTGCTTTTGGTGTTTTAGTCATGAAGTCTTTGCCCATGCCTATGTCCTAAATGGTATTGCCTAGGTTTTCTTCTATGGTTTTTATGGAGTTAGGTCTTACATTTAAGTCTTTAATCCATCTTGAGTTAATATTTGTATAAGGTGTACAGAAGAGATCCAGGTTCAGCTTTCTATATATGGCTAGCCAGTTTTCCCAGCACCATTTATTAAATAGGGAATCCTTTCCCCATTGCTTGTGTTTGTCAGGTTTGTCAAAGATCAGATGGTTGTAGATATGCGGCATTATTTCTGAGGCCTCTGTTCTGTTCCATTGGTCTATATCTCTGTTTTGGTACCAGTACCATGCTGTTTTGGTTACTGTAGCCTTGTAGTATAGTTTGAAGTCAGGTAGTGTGATGCCTCCAGCTTTGTTCTTTTGGCTTAGGATTGACTTGGCAATGTGGGCTCTTTTTTGGTTCCATATGAACTTTAAAGTAGTTTTTTCCAATCCTGTGAAGAAAGTCATTGGTAGCTTGATGGGGATAGCATTGACTCTGTGAATTACTTTGGGCAGTATGGCCATTTTCATGATATTGATTCTTCCTATCCATGAGCATGGAATGTTCTTCCATTTGTTTGTGTCCTCCTTTATTTCATTGAGCAGTGGTTTGTAGTTCTCCTTGAAGAGGTCCTTCACATCCTTTGTAAGTTGGATCCCTAGGTGTTTTATTTTCTTTGTAGTAATTGTGAATGGGAGTTCACTCATGATTTGGCTCTCTGTTTGTCTATTATTGGTGTATAGGATGCTTGTGATTTTTGCCATTGATTTTGTATCCTGAGACTTTGCTGAAGTTACTTATCAACCTAAGGAGATTTTGGGCTGAGACAATGGGGTTTTCTAAATATACAGTCATGCCATCTGCAAACAGAGACAATTTGACTTCCTGTTTTCCTAATTGAATACCCTTTATTTCTTTCTCTTGCCTGATTTCTCTAGGCAGAACTTCCAACACTATGTTGAATAGGAGTTGTGAGAGAGGGCATCCTTGTCTTGTGCTGATTTTCAAAGGGAATGCTTCCAGTTTTTGCCCATTCAGTATGATATTGGCTGTAGGTTTGTCAAAAATAGCTCTTATTATTTTGAGATCTGTTCCATCAATACCTGGTATATTGAGAGTTTTTAGTATGAAAGGCTGTCGAATTTTGTCGAAGGCTTTTTCTGCGTCTATGGAGATAATCATGTGGTTTTTGTCATTGGTTCTCTTTATGTGATGGATTACGTTTATTGATTTGTGTATGTTGAACCAACCTTGCATTCCAGGGATGAAGCCGACTTGATTGTGGTGGATAAGCTTTTTGATATGCTGCTGGATTTGGTTTGCCAGTGTTTTATTGAAGATTTTTGCGTTGATATTCATCAGGAATATTGGCCTAAAATTCTCTTTTTTTGTTGTGTCTCTGCCAAGCTTTGGTATCAGGATGAGGCTAGCCTCGTAAAATGAGTTAGGGAGGATTCCCTCCTTTTCTTTTGATTGAAATAGTTTCAGAAGGAATGGTATCAGCTCCTTTTTGTACCTCTGGTAGAATTCGGCTGTGAATCTGTCTGGTCCTGGATGTTTTTTGGTTGGTAGGGCATTAATTATTGCCTCCATTTCAGAACCTGTTATTGGTCTATTCAGAGATTCAACTTCTTCCTGGTTTAGTCTTAGGAGGGTGTATGTGTCCAAGAATTTATCCATTTCTTCTAGATTTTCTAGTTTATTTGCGTAGAGGTGTTTATAGTATTCTCTGATGGTAGTTTGTATTTCTGTGGGATTGGTGGTGATATCCTCTTTATCATTTTTTGTTGTGTCTATTTGATTCTTCTCTCTTTTCTTCTTTATTAGTCTTGCTAGGGGTCTATCTATTTTGTTGATCTTTTCAAAAAACCAGCTCCTGGATTCACTGATTTGTTGAAGGGTTTTTTGTGTTTCTAGCCCTTCAGTTCTGCTCTGATCTTAGTTATTTCTTGCTTTCTGCTAGCTTTTAAGTTTGTTTGCTCTTGCTTCTCTAGTTCTTTTAATTGTGATGTTAGGGTGTCGATTTTAGATCTTTCCTGCTTTCTCTTCTGGGCATTTAGTGCTATAAATTTCCCTCTACACATTGCTTTAAATGTGTCCCAGAGATTCTGGTATGTTGTGTCTTTGTTCTCATTGGTTTCAAATAACGTCTTTATTTCTGCCTTCATTTTGTTATGTACCCAGTAGTCATTCAGGAGCAGGTTATTCAGTTTCCGTGTAGTTGTGGGGGTTTGAGTGAGTTTCTTAATCCTGAGCTCTAATTTGATTGGACTGTGGCCTGAGAGACAGTTTGTTCTGATTTCTGTTCCTTTACATTTGCTGAGGAGTGTTTTACTACCAATTGTGTGGTCAATTTTAGAATAAGTGCGATGTGGTGATGAGAAGAATGTATATTCTCTTGATTTGGGGTGTAGACTTCTGTAGATGTCTATTAGGTCTGCTTGGTCTAGAGCTGAGTTTGAGTCCTAGATAACCTTGTTAACCTTCTGTCTCGTTTATCTGTCTAATAATGATGGTGGGGTGTTAAAGTCTCCCATTATTATTGTGTGGGAGTCTAAGTCTCTTTGTAAGTCTCTAAGGACCTGCTTCATGAATCTGGGTGCTCCTGTATTGGATGCATATATATTTAAGATAGTTAGCTCTTCTTGTTGAATTGATGCCTTTACCATTATGTAATGGCCTTCTTTGTCTCTTTTGATTTTTGTTGGTTTAAAGTCTGTTTTATCAGAGACTAGGATTGCAACCCTTGCTTTTTTTTTTCTTTCCATTTGCTTGGTAGATCTTCCTCCATCCCTTTATTTTGAGCCTATGTGCATCTTTGCACATGAGATGGGTCTCTGAATACAACACACCAATAGGTCTTAATTCTTTATCCAGTTTGCCAGTCTGTGTCTTTTAATTGGGGCATTTAGCCCATTTGTATTTAAGGTTAATATTGTTATGTTTGAATTTGATCGTGTCATTATGATGTTAGCTGGTTATTTTGCCCGTTAATTGATGCAGTTTCTTCATAGCGTTGATGGTCTTTACAATTCAGCATGTTTTTGCGGTGGCTGGTACCAGTTGTTCCTTTTCATGTTTAGTGCTTCCTTCAGGAGCTCTTGTAAGACAGGCCTGATGGTGACAAAATCTCTCAGCATTTGCTTGTCTGCAAAGGATTTTATTTCTCCTTCACTTATGAAGCTTAGTTTGGCTGGATATGAGATTCTGGGTTCAAAATTCTTTTCTTTAAGAATGTTGAATATTGGCCCCCACTCTCTTCTGGCTTGCAGGGTTTCTGCTGAGAGATCTGCTGTTAGTCTGATAGGCTTCCCTTTGTGGGTAACCCAAGCTTTCTCTCTGGCTGCCTGTAATATTTTTTCCTTCATTTCAACCTTGGTGAATCTGACAATTATGTGCCTTGAGGTTGCTCTTTTCGAGGAGTATCTTTGTGGTGTTCTCTGTATTTCCTGAATTTGAATGTTGGCCTGCCTTGCTAGGCTAGGGAAGTTCTCCTGGATAATATCCTGAAGGGTGTTTTCCAACTTGGTTCCATTCTCCCCATCACTTTCAGGTATACCAATCAAACGTAGATTTGGTCTTTTCACATAGTCCCATATTTCCTGGACACTTTATTCATTTCTTTTTACTCTTTTTTCTCTAACTTTGTCTTCTTGCTTTATTTCATTAATTTGATCTTCGATCACTGATATCCTTTCTTCCACTTGATTGAATCGGCTATTGAAGCTTGTGCATGCGTCACGAAGTTCTTTTGCCATGGTTTTCAGCTCCATCAGGTCATTTAAGGTCTTCTCTACACTGTTTATTCTAGTTAGCCATTCATCTATCCTTTTTTCAAGGTTTTTAGCTTCCTTGTGATGGGTTAGAACATGCTCCTTTAGCTAAGAGAAGTTTGTTATTAGCAACCTCCTGAAACCTACTTCTGTCAACTCGTCAAACTCATTCTCTGTCCAGTTTTGTTTCCTTGCTGGTGAGGAGCTGCAATCCTTTGGAGGAGAAGAGACACACTGTTTTTTGGAATTTTCAGCTTTTCTGCTCTGGTTTCTCCTCATCTTTGTGGTGTTATCTACCTTTGGTCATTGATGTAGGTGAACTGCAGATGGGGTTTTGGTGTGGACGTCCTTTTTGTTGATGTTGATGCCATTCCTTTCTGTTTGTTCGTTTTTCTTCTAACAGTCAGGCCCCTCAGCTGCAGATCTGTTGGAGGTTTCTGGAGGTCCACTCCAGACCCTGTTTGCCTGGGTATCACCAGCGGAGGCTGCAGAACAACAAATATTGCTGCCTGATCCTTCCTCTGGAAGCTTTGTCCCAGAGGGGCACCCACCTGTTTGCGGTGTCTGTCGGCCCCTACTGAGAGGTGTTTCCCAGTCAGGCTACATGGGGGTCAGGGACCCGCTTAAGGAGGCAGTGTGTCCGTTCTTAGAGCTCGAACGCCGTGCTGAAAGAACCACTGCTCTCTTCAGCACTGTCAGACAGGGATGTTTAAGTCTGCAGAAGCTGTCTGGTGCAGTCCGCAGAAGCTGTCTGCTGCCTTTTGTTCTACTATGCCCTGCCCCCAGAGGTGGAATCTATTGAGGCAGTAGGCCTTGCTGAGCTGTGGTGGGCTCTGCCAAGTTCATGCTTCCCAGACTCTGTTTACGCTGTGAGCTACTCAAGCCTCAGCAAGGTGGACACCCCTCCCCCCACCAATCTGCAGCATCACAGATTGAGCTCAGACTGCTGTGCTAGCAGTGAGCATGGCTCCGTGGGCATGGGATCTGCTGAGCCAGGCACGGGAGAGTATCTCCTGGTCTGCTGGTTGCTAAGACCATGGGAATAGCACAGTATTTGGTCAGGAGTGTACCATTTCTCCAGGTACTGTGTGTCATGGCTTCCCTTGGCTAGGAAAGGGAAATCCCCTGACCCCTTGCACTTCCCGAGTAAGGTGACGCCCCGCCCTGCTTCAGCTCGCCCTCTGTGGTCTGCATCCACTGTCCAACCAGTCCCAATGAGATGAACCAGGTACCTCAGTTGGAAATGCAGGAATCGCCTGTCTTCTGCATCAATCTCGCTGGGAGCTGTAGACCAGAGCTGTTCCTATTCGGCCATCTTGGAAGCATGATTTTAAGTTGTAAACTTATAATAACTTGCCTAAATCAGAAATCTCATTCCTCTAGTAAAGAAATACTTTCACCAACAATACCCTAGTTGTATCACCAACACTAGACAGGTACTCAAACTGGTCAGAAACTCATTGACTCATTCAATTATCCTATAATCATCCATCCATTCATTCACCATCTACTGGGCACATATTTTGTGCAAGGTGTTTTCAGCTTTCTATCCACACTAAAAAGTGTCTTAATCTTTTAACAGTTTACTTTTCAGTAAATGAATGTGCAACAGGTAAACATTAGAAAGGAACAATTAGCCATGTTAAACAAGTACAGATATCCAAACCCTGATGAATTACATTCTGAGACACAGAAGGAACTTTCCGAGATTGTTTCTGAGTCACTACCAGAAATGTCAGAGAATTTATAGACAATGGGAGGGGTGCCAGAATTCTGGAATAGGAAAATGATCTCTTTTGCTCAAAAAGAAGAAAAAGAGTAGACTTTAGAAACCATAGATTTAGCCATAATTCTCTAACTGCTGGGAAGACGACAGTGCAGTGCCACAAGTCACCATCCTAAATTAACATTTTTATTCTTGACTTAAAGGTTTTTTAAAATCATGTTTTTAAATGAACTGAATTATAACTGAAAAGAAAAATTAATATGATAGATGATCAGAACAAAATTAAACATGATCTTACTAGACTGGAATGTTAAACCAAAACAAGCAAGATAATTTTTAATAAGTCTATTGCAAATTTCCAGGCTTTAACAACCTGTAACTACAAAATAAGGTCACAGGTCACACTTCTCCTACCTATGAAAATTACAGTGAATCTTGTTAGATTGATCGAAGGAAACTACCTGACAGTTCCCTTCCCCAGATTGTGTTTCAGATATGCTTATGTTTTTCTGCTATGAGAACCTTGTTATGATACCACACTCCTACTGTGGCATGAGCCTGCTACATTGCCAAGTACAGCTGTCCCCACTTATAATTCTCCCACTGCAACTCCTCTCTAGCCTCAAAAATGGAGACACTGCTCTTCCCTTTGCATTTCCATCCATGTGAGACAGACCCTCCACTAAAACCCCTGAAGCACAGCTAATGTGAAGCCAAAACTTATGAATAAAATTTTACTCAAGGTTAAAGGATAACAGACAAGAAGTATAAAACAAGTAATACAGTTGCTAGTAGAAGCAACTATTTTCAGAGTTCACAAACAAGACCCTTGCTTTGGAGGATCCTTAGCCTGGATCTATCTCCTGGGATCAATCACTGTTCTGTCAGATGCTCTGACATCTCTACCCACAAGAGTTCAAGCCAAATTCTCCCCAAGGCTCAGAGAGAGAAACAAGTTTACCCCACCCTATCTGGATCTAATCAGCACTGTTAAAGTTAACAAGAAAGTATTCCTCCATAGTAATCAATTATGCCACCTAGTAAGATATGGGCTGGGCAGAGACTGAGCTTGGAGTTTTTAGGGTCAGTAAGTAGAGTAAAAGAGTAGGCTCCAATATTGGAATCCAAATGTCCCAGGCTAGATATGATAGTAGCAAAAAGGCACCAGCAGACACCAAGAGCCAAAGGGGAAAAATCTGTAGTTCAAAGGGAACTTCACAATGAAGGTACAAGGAAAGGATTATCAGCTATTGCTCAGGAAAGTTAGTGAGTGGAGATTGACCTTCCAAAGCCAAAGTCAGAGAAAGAAACAGTAGTATAGGAGGACATCACACTGAAAAGGCTGCCCGCCAGGCAGAGTTCAGTGCAGGACTTCAAGGCAAAGCCAAGGCTGAGACAAGATGAGCTGAATAAACTTGTGGTACCAGAAAACAAGGACATTCTCAAGAAAAGGATGGAGACAAATCAAAAGGATACAGGAGCCAACCCAAAGGAGTCCCACATGGCTCCTTTATTGGGACAATTTAGCAACTAAATTACATGATGCTAATATTGGATTGTAACTCATGAAGTAAAAGAAATATCTATGAGTCCACATTAACATAAATAAATAATTGAATAAATAAATGGTAAAGAAAGGGCAGTATTTCCTTATAGAAAAATTCTAATTAATAATATAAAATGTAAAGAGATATCTAATGTTAAATGACGAGTTAATGGGTGCAGCACACCAACATGGCCCATGTATACATATGTAACAAACCTGCACGTTGTGCACATGTACCCTAAAACTTAAAATATAATTTAAAAAATGTAAAGAGAATACAGAGGAAATAAGAATAAAGTCATCATTAGGCAAATACTGCAATAGTAATTGTTGCAGAAAAGATCCTACGGATGCAACAAATAATGGGCGAAAGTCTGAGGAAAACCAGGATATTAGCATACTCTCCAAGTACCCCAAAAGAGTTATCAGTTACAAAGGGGAAAAGAGAAGCTTTACAGTGTAGAAACCCAGCACGACCAACTTAACCAAGTGATCAAATTAACATCATGAGTAATAAGACATGTTGACATCATATATCTCTCTTATGATGTTCTTAGGATATGAGATGACTTCCATGGTATTCTTGACAAAAATGCATAACCCATCATGAGGAAATGCTAGTCAAACCCAAATTGAGGAACATTCTGCAAACTGATCAGTATTCTTCAGAAATGTCAAGGTTATGAAAGACAAGGAAAGACCAAAAAACATCTTTGGAGGATACTAAAGAAACACAACAACTAAATACAATGTGGGGTCTTGAAAAAGAAAAAAAGACATTGGGATAAACTAGTAAAATGTCAGTAAAGTTTATAATTTAGATACTAATAATGTACCAATGTTAATTTCCTGGTTTTCATAATGTACAATGGTTGTATAGTTAACATTAGGAGAAGCTGGGCAAAACATGTATATATGTATCTTTGTATGATTTTTGCAAATTTACAAATTTAAATTATGATAAAATACAAAGTAAAAAATATTATCACCTATTCTGAAATCAAATAACACATTCTTGACAGGAAGGCACCATAATATTTGTGCTTCCAGGTGGGAGCGATAGAGCTTCCATCAAATAAACATGTGCTTATTCATTTGTTAAACTGCAAAAACCAAGAAAGGTAATTTTACATAATTTTAATTCACCTAAATGGAAAACATTAAATTTATTTCCCCTGTCCCTCCTCCACCCTTCCCTCAGAAAAGACTGAGGAGGACAACAAAGAACATCCTGTCTTAGGCACCTTAGCTGAGTCACCATGAATCACTGGGCATATTGTTTCTTAATTTGTATCTACTTCTTAATGTGGCGTTCTTGATCAATATTTTTTAGAATCCTTTTAAATATACTGTTACTTAATCTTGAATCCCAGCTACAAAATATAACATGTTGTTGGCTCCGAATTACTTCTCAAACTTGTATGACCGCTATTGCCTTCTGCATAGATTCTTTGGCTCCCTTCCTTTCACAACAGGGATTTAGCAGTTATCCCAAGGAAATCAAAGACCCATGACTATTTTATATCTCAAGTAAAATATGGCAATTCAGACTATTCCTGATTCTTTTTCTTCATTTGCTCTGTAGAGTCAGAATTTGAGTGAGGCCCTAGGGATCCTCCCCATCTCAGAGCAAGTTCAAAAGTCTTCCAAAAGGAACTTACTTCTACGCTCAGTACTGACTGAAGAGAAGGCATGAATAAGGTGCAGAGTGAAAACAAGGGCAGATATTTTGAAGGTGGAATTAAAGAGATAGATATCCCTCTGGTGTTTAAAGTCCTCATGCTTTCCTATATGTTGTTAGAGAATTTCCTTGCTTTATAAATTTTTGGTATAGAAAATACTGAATTTTGATAACAAATCTATTACATTTCTGGTTATGTGCATTATACTCTGAGTAAATAAGAAATCAGATTTTTTCTTTTGAACCCAAATTTTATTATTTTAAGAGATATATTCAAAGAAGTAAAAACTAGCAGGACCTTTGGGCAATTATATGAACTTTGGTTACAAATCTGTTTATTTACCTACTGTTACTACCACTCTGGTAGAGAGAACACATTTCTTTCTCAACTGGTGAATTAATCAACAGTGACCAACTCAACTCAGTAATTGTAAAATCTCAGTAAAAACCTGCCCAAAAAAATCATGGAACTTTCTCCACCTGTTGATAACTTGCCTAATTTCCTATCCATACGTCCCTCCTTTATACTTGGAGCCTCTTGATCCAGATCCACATCCTCACTCCCTCCACTCTCTCAAGCTCTGAGATTTATACTCCCTCCATCATGGATCTGAACAGCTCTAGTTCAGCACTAGGGGAATGGACATCAAGCCAGCCTTAATATTAGGCCTGTTTGTTGTCTCCTACTCCATCTTGGGCACGTAAAGTTTGACTACTGCGCTTCTAAACCTAAGCCCTTGCCTTGTAGCCTAGTTCTAGCATGTACCTTAAATACTGACCTTCATAAACTGCTCAGTCTCCCAGGTTCCATACCTTTACCTTGCTCATGCCAGTTTCCACACTCATTCTCCATTCCCACTGACATCATTTGATTACTGACACAAAATCCCACTTGTGGAGCTAGAGCCACCTACTTTCTCTGGTGCTCTGCCCACCTGGACTTCTTTCCACTGCTCACAACAAGATGTACTCTTCAGCCTCAGCTCTGTTCTGTGGGTTCTCCAACCCATCACAGACCAGAGTCCCAGTTCTAGCCCTCCTTTTCTCACACTATATTCCGTCTTAAGGAGAATAACATATTCCAGTTATGCCTTACTTTAGTATTTCTCAAAACTATGTAACAGTAAGTGGGCTAATCATTGCTATTTTTCTAGTCAATAATACTTAACAGATCACAAAACATTATGGCCCAAAAGAACATCAAAATTTGTATAATAATGCCCCAGATGAAGAATAATTCAAATAATTGAATCTAAAAACCTTCAAAACTCAACCTCACATAGATAGCTGTCTTCAGTTTTCTGCTGGTGAGATGCTATAAAATTATTCCAAATGTACAAGTGTCTTCTAGAATATTGCTACTCAAGAGTGGTGCCTGGAGCTTGCTAAGAGTATAGACTCTTAGGCCCTGACTCCAGACCTACTGAATTGGAAACTGTAACAAAATTTTCAAATTTGAAAAGCATTTTTCTAGAACTCCTTGAACTCTTAACTACTTAGGTTTTCTCCAATAACTTTGGAAAACATGTAACTCTTTTCATCTTTATACTATTAATATTTCTATTTGAGGTGCCACCTCTCTACCATTCTATGTGGATCTGATTGAGCTGCTGAGTGTCCTCTCTCTCCTCCCAACTCCCACTAAGGGATAAGCCTGTGAGCTACACTGAGCTGATTACAAGATGACAGCCTGATATGGTTTGGCTGTGTCTCCACTCAAACTTCATCTTGAATTGCAGCTCCCACAATCCTTATGTGTCATGGGAGGGACCCGGTAGAAGCTAATTGAATAATGGGGCGGTCACCTCCATGCCGTTCTCATGATAGTGAGTGAGTTCTTACAAGATGTGATGGTTTTATAAGGAGCTTTTCTCCCACTTCACTCTGTACTTCTTGCTGCAACCATGTGAAGAAGGATGTGTTTGCTTCCCCTTCTGCCATGATTGTAAGTTTCCTGAGGCCTCTCCAGCCATGCTGAACTGTGAGTCCATTAAACCTCTTTCCTTTATAAATTACCCAGTCTCGGGTATGTCTTCATTAGCAGCATGAGAACAGACTAATACAGAGCCCCCTGGAAACAGTGTCTGGTTTGAGGAGCAAGTATGGCAAATAATCCAAGCCAGAACAATTAATAATTTATGACATTTTCCAAATTGGAGGCTAAGAGATAGCTTTCTCTTTCCTTTTGGAGCTGAAGTTTTAGGCTAATGATGCCTGTGTTACCAGAGGCCACATTTCTGCCATGGGAAGAAACGCCTCATGCAATACAAAAGAATGAAACTAAGCCGAAAGGAGCAGAGATGAGAGCCAGATAAGGAAAGAGAACCATAAAAGCGTTGTTTGAGACCCTGGATCCAGGCATGCCCAAGGCCATAAGTTCCTCAGATTTGCCAGTTACCTGAACAAATAAAAGTCTCTCTTTTTCACTTCAGCTAGTTTGAATTGGTTTTTTATCCTTGCAGCTAGGCTTCTTGACTAATACACAGTTCATACATTTGAAGATGGCTATACTTCCAGTTTTTTTTTTTTTTTTAATAATCAGCTTATTTTTTAAAATCCCTTTTCCCATAGATTTTCTAAACTGACAACCATTTGGGGGATATGGAGTGCTACTATGAAATCTCCAAACCCCTACCTGTTTTTCCTAATAGTCTATTTATTCCACCACCCCTTGGAACCCCCCTCCCCACCGAAGCTCCTAGGAATCCTGTTCAGAGCGTCTTTGTTATCAAAGCTGATGTATGTGGGGTTTTTTGCCTCCCTGATTGGTGATGTTTCTGAATATTTTTCAAGTCTTATATATGAACACTCACACTGTTGAGAGGACAATAGATTGGCATATTTATAAGTGGATCCTGAGAACACTTAATGGAGGCTCCATGCATTAATCCTACAAGGAGAGCCACTGTAAGCTAATAATGATGAAGGATCTAAATGGTTACAATGCTTTGCTTTTGAAAACATTGAGTGCATCGTGGCCATTTTAAAAGATTGCTTCAGTTCCGATTATTTGGTAAAGCTAAAGCAAAGGAGTAAAAACATTTGCTTTAGAAAGCCAATTCTAACTAACTATGGGGCAAATGCAAACCATCGCATTTATCCACTTATCCTTGGAATCTAGAGAAAACAAATGTGCATATAGTGATACAGACAGGAGTAACCTAAAATCATTTTTTTAATCTTGAAGGGACATGGCCATTATAACATGCCAAAGGTCTTTTTTACTTTGTTTAAAAATAACCACTTATCTATAACACTGGAGTTAGACTAATGTTAGAGAAAAACCCCTTCAGAAACGTTTCCAAACCATACCTGTATAGTAAGGTCAGGAGAGGGCAGACCATTCAACTATGTTCAACATAATGGATTTATGTAAACCAGTGAGCATCACTGTATTTCAGTCATAAAACTCCATTATTTATGTTTCATGATTGTGTCTTACTGTTTTAAAACAAACAAACAAACAATGCTAGCGTAGGTCAGACCAATGATCCATCTACTTCAGTAGCTCTTTTTTTTTCCTAACTATAACTTACTTAATTGGAGAAAAGGCCAGGCAATATTCCTCCCCTACATGTTCCCACTTTCTGGGGAAAAAATAACTTGATAATAAAATGGCAACCACACATAAAATCACAAGAAAAATAACAGCAATTCTAGTATTTTCATTAATACACCAGTAGGAACAATTTAAAACTACAGCCAACTGAAGATAGCACTAGTGATATACCATGATAATATAATATCCTACTGAAAAATTGGGAGGAATTCCAACTATATGTACATATGCAACGTAAGAGCTTTGTAGCATCTTGTGCAGGCTTGTTAGCAAGCTATATTCTCGTATATATATGTGCTGTCCAGTATAGTAGCCAGTAGCCACATGTGGCTATTGAGCACTTGAAATGTAATATAAATTTTGCTTGAGATGTGCAGTAAGTTTAAAGTGCACACTAGCTTTTGTAGACTTAGTATTAAAGAAAGAATTAAGCTGGGCATGGCGGCTCATGCCTGTAATCCCAGCACTTTGGGAGGCTGAGGTGGGTGGATCACCTGAGGTCAGGTGAAGCCCCGACTCTACTAAAAATACAAAAATTAGTCAGGCGTGGTGGCGGGCACCTGTAATCCCAGCTACTAGAGAGGCTGAGGCAGGAAAATTGCTTGAACCTGGGAGGCGGAGATCACAGTGAGCCAAGATCATGCCACTGCATTCCAGCCTGGGTGACAGAGCAAGACTCTGTCTCAAATAATAATAATAATAATATTTATATTGAACACACTTTGAAATAATAATACTTTTAAAATATTGAGTTAAGTGAAATATATTTTTTAAATTAATTTTTACCTGTTTCCCGTAACATTTTTAATGTGGCTGATAGAAAATTTTAAATTACATATGAGGTTTGTATTATATTTCTATTAAACAGCACTATTATATTATATTCACTATTATATTATGTTCACTATTATATTATGGTTAGGAGCATCGTCTAGAGTCAGGCTGTCTGAGTTTGAAACCCAGTTTCATCATATGTAAAGTGGAGTTAATAATAACATAATTATATATAATTGTGAAGATTACAGGGGTATTTATATATAAAGTACATAGAACAGTGCCTAACACATACTGAGCAGTCAATATATGTTCACTATATATATCTCCCTGGTAATATACTGATTCCCATTTATGGACTCCAAATTTTAGTATTTCACTAAATTTTAGTGATTCATTTAGTAAGTGTATTAGTCAACTCTGGTTGCCATAACAAAATAACATAGACTGATGGCTTAAACAACAAAAAGTGGTTTCCTTACCAGTCTGGAGGCTGAAAATGCAAGATCAGTGGGCCAACAGTGTTGGTTTCTGGTTAGGCATCTCTCCTTGGCTGGCAGATGGAAACTTCTTGCCTTGTCCTCACATGGCCTTTTCTCTTTTTTAATTATACTTTAAGTTCTAGGGTACATGTGCACAACATGCAGGTTTGTTACATATGTATACATGTGCCATGTTGGTGTGTTGCACCCATTAGCTCGTCATTTACATTAGGTATATCTCCTAATGCTATCCTTCCCCTCTCCCTCCACCCCACGACAGGCCCCGGTGTGTGATGTTCCCCTTCCTGTGTCCAAGTGTTCTCATTGTTCAATTCCCACCTATGAGTGAGAACATGCGGTGTTTGGTTTTTTGTCCTTGCAATAGTTTGCTGAGAATAATGGTTTCCAGCTTCATCCATGTCCGTAGAAAGGACGTGAACTCATCCTTTTTTATGGCTGCATAGTATTCCATGGTGTATATGTGCCACATTTTCTTTATCCAGTCTATCATTGATGGACATTTGGGTTGGTTCCAAGTCTTTGCTATTGTGAATAGTGCCACAGTAAACATATGTGTGCATGTGTCTTTATAGCAGCGTCACATGGCCTTTTCTTTGTGCAGAGCACAGAGAGAAAGAGCTCTGGTGTCTCTTCCTCTTCTTCTTTTAAGGTGTTATGGACTGAATGTCTGTGTTCTTCCAAAATTCATATGTTGAAGCCTTAACCCCAGTGTAATGATATTTGGAGGTGGGGCCTTAGGGAGTAATTAGATATGGATGAGGTCAAGATGGTGGGGCCCCCATCATGGGATTAATGTCCTTACAGGAAGAGGAAGAGAGACAAAAGCTCTCTTACTTGCGTGCTCTCTCTCTCTCTTTCTGCCATGTGAGAACACAATGAGAAGGCAACCAGCCAGGAAGAGGGCCCTCACCAGGAACTGAATCTGCTGGCACTTTGATCTCGGACTCCCAGCCTCCAGAAATAAATGCCTGTTATTCCAGCCACCCAGTCTATGGTACCTTGTTACAGCAGCTCAAGCAAACTAACACATGAGAACATCAGCCTTTTGAATCAGGGCCCTGACTTCATGACCTCATTTAATCTTAATTACCTTCTTAAGGACCTTATTTCCAAATAAAGTCACACTAGGGGTTAGGGTTTCAACATAGGTACTTGGGGTCAGGGGGTGACACAATTCAGCCCATATAGTCCCGTAGATATATATAAAACTGAAAGCCAATGGACTCAAAATTTTGGATCCATTCACAACCCGCCAAGAGGACCAGGTGGCTATAGATGACTGAGAAATATTCATCTTAATAAACAGTCTGTCCATGGCATAAAAGGTATTTGACAAATAGGCAGGATAGTTCCCCATGACATCAATCTCAAAACCTTTCTGTGTATTTCCAAACCAGTCCAAGTTTAATAACTTAGTATAAATTGAGTAGCCTTGATTTTTAAAAATTTTTATTTTTTTTTAACTTTTATTTTAGGTTCAGGGGTCCATGTGCAGGTTTGTTATATAGGTAAACTTGTCGCAAGGGTTTGTGGTACAGATTATTTCATCACCCAGGTACTAAGTCTAGCACCCAATAGTTACTTTTTCTGATCCTCTCACTCCTCCAGCCCTTTATTCTCAAGTAGGCCCAAGTGTCTGTTGTTCCCCTATTTGTATACATGAGTTCTCATCATTTAGCTGCCACTTATAAGTGAGAACATGTGGTACTGGGTTTTCTGTTCCTGCATTAGTTTGTTATGGATAATGGCCTCCAGCTCCATCCATGTTCCCTCAAAAGACATGATTTTGATCTTTTTCATGACTTCATAGTATTCCATGGTGTATATGTACCACATTTTCATTATCCAATTTGTCACTGATGGGCATTTAGGTTGATTCTATGTCTTGGTTATTGTGAATAGTGCTGCAGTGAAAATTCACATGTATGTATCTTTGTGGTAGAATGATTTATATCCCTTTGGGTATGCACCCAGTAATGGGATTGCTGGGTTGAATGGTAGTTCTATTTTTAGCTCTTTAAGGAATCACCACACTGCTTTCCACAGTGGTTGAACTAATTTACACTTTCACCAACAATGTATAAGCATTCACTTTTCTCTGCAACCTCTCCAGCATTTGTTATTTTTTGACTTTGTAATAACAGCCATTCTGACTGTGTGTGTGAGATGGTATCTCATTGAGGCTTTGATTTGCATTTCTCTAATTATCAGTTGTGTTGAGCTTCTTTCATATGCTTGTTGGCTGCATGTATGTCTTCTTTTGAAAAGTGTTCATGTTTCTTTCATATGTTTGTTGGCTGCATGTATGTCTTCTTTTGAAAAGTGTTCATGTCCTTTGCCCACTTTTTAATGGGGTTGGTTTTTTTCTTGTAAATGTGTTTAAGTTCCTTATAGATGCTGGATGTTAAACTTTTGTCAGATGCACAGTTTACAAATATTTTATCCCATTCTGTAGGTTGTCTGTTTACTCTATTGATGGTGTCTTTGGCTGTGCAGAAGCTCTTAAGTTTAATTAGGTCCCATTTATCAATTTTTGCTTGTTGCAATTTGCTTTTGGCAGGTTTGTCATGAAATCTTTGCCCATTCCTATGTCCAGAATGGTATCGCCTAGATTGTCTTCCTTTGGGTTTTATATTTAGGTCTTTAATCCATCTTTGATTTTTGTATATGGTGTAAGACAGGAGCCCTGTTTCAATCTTCAACATGTGGCTAGCCAGTTATCCCAGCACCATTTATTGAATAGAGAGTCCTTTCTCCACTGCTTTTTTTTGTCAGCTTTGTCAAAGATCAGATGATTATAGGTGTGCAGTCTTATTTCTGGGCTCTCTATTCTGTTCTATTGGTCTATGAGTCTGTTTTTATACCAGTGCCATGCTGTTTTGGTTACTATAGCCCTGTAGTATAGTTTGAAGTCAGGTAACATGATGCCTACAGCTTTGTTCTTTTTGCTTACAATTGCCTTGGCTATTCAGGCTCTTTTTTGGTTCTATATGAATTTTAAAATAGTTTTTTCTAGTTCTGTGAAGAATGTCATTGGTAGGACAATGATGGGAATAGCATTGAATCTGTAAATTGCTTTGGGCAATATAGCCATTTTAATGATATTGATTCTTTCTATCCATGAGCATGGAATATTTTTTCATTTGTTTGTGTCATCTCTGATTTCTTTGAGCAGTGTTTTATAATTCTCATTGTAGAGATCATTCACCTCTCTGATTAGCTGTATTCCTAGATATTATTCTTTTTGTAATAGGCTTGAATTAATTATAATTCTTAGCCTATATCACCTCTTGGAGTATTAAGTTTAACAGCTGCCTATTAAAGTAAGTTGTTTCTTCTTATTTATTTTAAAATTGATTTGTCAAATACTGAAGTGTGCGCCCAAATTTTTGTATTTTGGAATTAGATATAAATGGTCTTTTTTTTTTTTAACAAATGGTCCTTTTAAAATTTGATTATATTTTTTTCAGATTTTGCACTTCTATATCCATGATCTGTGGTGTCAATCTATCCTCACTCAGCAATTCTTTTATTTTCTTAATCATCTTACAGCTTTACAGCCTTTTCTAGATCTTTACTTGAGATTAAGCAGTCAAGATTCTAACAGATAGGAATTTGAACAAAGGTAGGATAACATTCTCTATTTTTTCCAGTTTTTAGTATGAGGATGTTACTATTTTTCACTTCTGTATTCATGGTTTTATCTCTTTCTGCTTTTATCTAGTTTTTTGGCTGAGGTAACATATTAGGTAAAAATCTTCTGGAAACAATCCAGATGGGCTCCTAAATCCTGTCCCTCTGTTGGAAATCACAGCTTGGAACTCATTAGCCATAACTATGATTCCCAAATTGCAAATCTTATACTTGATCCATCTGCCCACAGCCTCATTATATCTTCCTACAGCTTATCAACATCAGTGTGGTGTTGCACTATCCAGTAAGCCTAGATGCCATGTATGAATGGTACATTTTTTCTATGTACTTCCTTTACTGCATAATTTTGAAATGTCAGATTCTAGCACAGATTGTTTCCACTTCTCTATCCAAAGAAATGACAAGAAATTGAATTGGATAAATATTCACTATATACCAATAAATGCAAGCTATTAAATGGGGATAAAAATTAATGTAGTCTCTATTTTCCCCTCAAGTCAAGAGAGGAGACAGCCATGTAAACAATTAACCTTAACAAGTGAAATAAAATAGTACCAATTCGATTTAAGTTTGGGACATGGCTTCTAACTGGGTTGAGTGCATAAGCCTCAAATGTAAGAGACAGTTGAGCTGAGCCTGGAAGAGTGAGCAGGCTTTTGATAGATACAGTTGCCTGAAGACAAAGTCCACACACAGAGTTGGGGAGAACATACAGTCTCAGAGAAATGGAGCTAAAGCCCTGATCACACCATGCCTGGAAACCACCCTATCTATGTATTGCCTATTAAGTGAGATTATACATTTCCTTACCATTTAGACCACTTTGACTTGATTTTTATATTACTTGCACTCAAATTGATATAATGTCTCTAACACTCAGCCTCTATTTGTAACTGTCAGCTAGGCATCTCCAAATGGATGTCTCAATAACACTTTGTGTTAGTATGAGTTGTCTGAAAAGTAGACGGGATTAAACATACAAGAGATGAATTAGAGCTATCACTGGTGAGGGAAAATGAGGTGGAAGCCCATGAGGCAGGGATAGCTGTCAAACTGGTGGATATGTGAATTTGATAGAATCCACATAAGAAGGCCCATCAGGGTGGCTCACGCCTGTAATCCCAGCACATTGGGAGGCTGAGGCGGGCAGATCACTCGAAGTCAGGAGTTTGAGACCAGCCCGGCTAACATGGTGAAACCCCGTCTCTACTAAAAATACAAAACTTAGCCGGGCTTGGTGGCGTGCGCCTGTAGTCCCAGATACTCAAGAGGCTGAGGTGGGAGAATTGCTTGAACCCGGGAGGCAGAGGCTGCAGTGAGCCAAGATCGCGCCACTGCACTCCAGCCTGGGCTACAGAGTGAGACTCTGTCTCAAAAAAAAAAAAAAAAGAAAAGAAAGAAAAGAAAAATTCACATCAGAGAAGGAAGGATAGAGGGGTTGGGTGAAAGAGCCTTAGATTGCTATGCCGTTCTAAGAAGGTTCAGCTAAGTTGATGGAGAGTCTTCAAGCCAATGTTGCTGATTAAAGGAAGAAATTTGGAAATGTATCTGTACAGCTTGATCAGTACACCTGCCACACCCAGTCATTGGCTAGGAGCAGCCCATGGAAGGTGTGGCATGGGCCTGATTGACATACTGGATGTCAGAGAGCAACAGCACCTAGGGTTTTTGGTCAATCTAGCTACCGTAGTCAGCGAATTTTGAGAGCTGCATCTTCCTGACCTCCACACACCTCAACCTCAAAACAACCAAAGTGAATTCATTTTTCCTTGCTCCCAACGTTCCCTCTCTGCCTATTTTCCCTACCTTCCTAGTCATCCAAAACAGAAATTACATAGTCATCCTTGATCTCTTCCTCTTCTTTTCCCATCATACCCAACAATACTCCTATTTGAATGAATGTTCCTCCATCATGCCTCTTGCACCCACCCCTGCTTCGAGCCCACTGTCACCTGCCTCAGTCAGGCTTTCATCTCTTGCCTGTGCTGTTGCACTAGCCTAAGAAGAACTCACTTCTGACCCCCAATCCAGTATTCTTTTCATTACATCAAACTACCTTCAACACGTCTATAGTTGGAGAGACCATCTAATTCATTCCTCTTCAGCCTTTTTTCCACCCTAGCACACCTGAGAGATTCGGATATGCCAGTCTCCTCCCCAAATGACAATTGCTGACAATTTTCAAAAACCCTTGTAGAGAGTTAAAGGAACCATTCTTTGATCAGGGTACACCATAATAATTGTTCTATGCAAGGTCATTTCTGGTTTTAATTCTCTAGACCTTTTTATCCCCCATTTCCTTCTCCAATAGGTAATCAGTCTAATGTGTTGGATGTGTATCCTTTTATTCACATGTGAAGTTTTTTTTTCAAGAGTTGAAAAGAGGTCAGTTATTAAACATGAAGCATTAAAAAACTTAATTATATAAGTGATGAATGAAGGATAATAAATATATGCAAACTTATAAAATCAATTGCTAAAGCAAAATGTATTTTAAAAGTATTTCTTAGTGAAAACAAGTTTTTAAATCGGGAAGAGAGGATTTTAGCTGCCATAATAAAAGTAGCACAAACCTCATGTTTGCTTGCAGATTCTCTGGTTCTGAAAGTCCACATCAATCTCTGGAAAGTGGCTGAAAGGCCTCCAAGGATTTGATAATCTCATATCATCTCTTTATCCTGTAGTTGGAATCCTGAGGACTTTCTCACTCCTTTATCTTTATTTTATTTTTTAGAGACAGGGTCTTGCTGTGTTGCCCAGGCTGGCCTTGAACTCCTGGGTTCAAGCAATCCTCCCATCTCAGCCTCCCAAGTTGCTAGGATTACTGGCATGCATCACCACACCCAGCTATCTTTATATCTTTGTATTCTTCAGTGGATGCAAATTCAGGTCCACAGATTCGATTCTCAACCACCTGACTTTAGCGAACTCCTTGGCCCTCCTCTCTAAAGATGTCTCCCAGGCACTGGCAGTTTTCCCCTCAAAGGTTTTAAATACAAAATTATCTACCTTTATAGAGTGGGCAGAGGACTGTCTTTTGGCACCACCTCCCTCTTTAGTGTCTTCCAGGTTATCACTATCGACCCTAGGACCTCCAGGTGGAAAGAGCTTTAATAAAAGCTCCCAAGTACAATGACTTCTCCATTTCCCTACCATGTGCTGGATCTACATATGCATTTTTTGTCTGGGGTTTTTTTCTATTGAAAAAAATTAATAGTTTTATTTCTTAGAGCCATTTTAGGTTTATAGAAAAAATGGGACAGAAATTACAAAGAGTTGCCATATTCTCTTCCCCTGCACGCCTACACGTTCCCCACTTTCAGTTCCCCTATTAGTAAGATCTTGTACACAGGTAGTACATTTGTCACAGTTGTTGAATCTATATTGATATATTATTATTAACTAAAGTCCATATATTATATTTGGGTTTACTCTTTGTGTTGTACATTCTATGAGTTTTGACAAATGTATTATGACAAATATTACATGACATGTTACATGACATGACATATTATGACATATTATATGACATATATAATGTATATATTTAATGACATTATGA
This sequence comes from Homo sapiens, assembly GCF_000001405.40. NCBI lineage: Eukaryota > Metazoa > Chordata > Mammalia > Primates > Hominidae > Homo > Homo sapiens. The sequence continues at coordinate 60,545,108 of NC_000014.9, forward strand.
TAGATATATAACATATATCTATCATTCAGAATAGATTTACTACCCTAAACATCCCCTGTGCTCCATCTATTCATCCCTGTCTTCCCACCTTCAAATCCCTGGCAACCACTGCTCTTTTTACTGTCTCCATAGTTTTGCCTTTTTCAGAATGTCATAGTTGGTATCATACAGTTTCTTTCACTTAGCAATAAATACTTAAGGCTCCTCTATGTCTTTTCATAGTTTGAGAGCTCATTTCTTCTTATCATTCAATAATATTCCATTGTGTTTATGCACCACTGTTTGTTTATCCATTCACCTATGAAGGACATCTTGGATGCTTCCAAGTTTTGGCAATTATGAATAAAGCTACTATAAACATCCATGTACAGATTTTTGTATGGATATACACTTTTAAATTATTTGGATAAATATCTAGGAGCAGAATTGCTGGACTGTATGGCAAGATTATGTTTGGCTTTGTTAGGAAACTGCCTTCCAAAGGGGCTATACCATTTTCTATTACTACCAACAATGAATATTGCTCCACATTCTCATCACCATTTGATGTTGTCAGTGTTTTGCACTGAAGCCATTCTAATAGGTTTGTAGTGGTATTTCATTTTAATTTGCAATTCCCTAATGCAATTTAATGTTGACATTTTTCATATGTGTATTTGCCATCTGTATATCTTTGGTGAAGTGCCTGTTCAGATCTTTTGACAACTTTTTAATGGGAATTTTTAAATTGTTGACTTATAAGAGTTCTTTGCATATATTTTTATTTCAATTTTAGTTAACAAATAATAATTGTATATATTAATGGGATACATAGTGATATGATACCTAAAATGTCTGCTGATCAGATTGGAATAATTAGTATATCCATCACCTCAAACATCATTTCTTTGTGTTAGGAACATTTGATATCCTCCTTCTAGCTATTTGAAAATATAAAATATATTAACTCTATTCATCCTATAGTGGTATAGAACACTAGAACTTATTCCTTCTATCCAGCTGTAATTTTGTATCATTTAACAAATCTCTTCCAATCCCTTTCTTTCCCCTCCCCTTTCCATGCTCTAGTGTTCTCTGTTCTACTTTTTACTTGAACGAGATCAAGATTTTTTAGTTTTCACATATGCATGAGAACATGCAGTGTTTAATGTTTGGATCCTGGCTTACTTCATTTGACATAATGGTCCTCCAGTTCTATCAGTGTCGCCACACATTACAAGATTTTATTTTTATGACTTCAATATAATGATTTCTTTCCTTTGGACAAATTCTCAGTAGTAGGGTTACTGGATCATATGGTAGTTCTATTTGTAGATTTTCCTTGTTTTTTGGCTTGTTAAGTGAAGTGTTGTGAGTGGAGAAAGAACAAAGAAATCTGTAACTGGTTGTGATCAATTAGTTGTATCTATTTGTAGTGTTTTAGAGTCCTCCATACTATCCTCCATAGTGGCTGTACTAGCTTGCATGTCCACACACAGTGTATAAGAATTCCCTTTTCTCCTCATTCTCACCAGCATTTGTTATTTTTTGTCTTTTTTATAATAGCCATCCTTACTGGGGTGAGATGATACCTCATTGTGATTTTGGTTTGCATTTCCCTGATGATTAGTGATGTTGAGCATTTTTTCATATATTTGTTGGCCATTTGTTGTCTCCTAATAAATGTCTGTTCACATCATTTGCCCATTTTTTAATTGGATTGTTTGATGTTTTTGCTGTTGAGATGTTTCAGCTCCTTTTATATTCTAGATATTAATCCTCTGCCAGATGAGTAGTTCACAAATATTTTCTCCCCTTCAACAGGTTGCCTCTTCATTCTGCTGATTGTTTCTTTTGCTATGCAGAACATTTTAGTTTGACATAATCCCACTGGTTTATTTTTGCTTTTGTTCCTTGTACTTTTGAGGTCTTATTCATAAAGTCTTTTCCCAGGCCAATGTCCTAAAGCATTTCCCTTGTGTTCTTCTAGTAGTTTTGTCATTTGAGGTCTTACATTTAGGTCTGTGATTCATTTTGATTTTCATATAGAGTAAGAGGTGGGGGTCTATTTCATTCTTCTACATATGGATATCCAGTTTTCCCAGCACTATTTATTGAAGAGACTGTCCTTTCCCCCAGTGTTCTTCCCACATTTGTCACAAATCAGTTGACTATAGATAGATCAATTAATTTCTGGGTTCTGGGTTCTGTTTAGTTGGTCAATATGTCTGTTTTTATGCCACACCATGCTGTTTTGATTACTACAGCTTTATAGCATATTTTGAGGTCTGTTAGTGTGACACCACCAACTTTGTTCTTTTAGGACAGGATTGCTTTGGCTATTTGGAGTCTTTTGTGGCTCCATACAAATTTTAGGATTTTTTTCTTATTTCTGTGAAAAATGTCATTGATATTTTGCTAGAAACTGCATTGAATCACTTGATTTCTTTGGGGAATAAGGTCATTTTAATAATATTAATTCTTCTAATCCATGAGTGTGGACGTCTTTCCATTTGTTTATATCTTCTTCAATTTCTTCCATCAGTGTTTTGTAGTTTTCCTTGTAGAGGTCTTTTACCTTTTTTGGTTAAATTTACTCCTAAATATTTTATTATTTTCTGTAGCTATTGCAAATGGGATTGCCTTCTTGATTTCCTTTTCAACTAGTTTGTTGTTCTGTGTAGAAATGCTACTGAATTTTGTATCCTGGCACTTTACTAAATTCATTCATCAGTTCTAGGAATTTTTTGATATAGTCTTTAGGTTTTTGTATATATAAGATCATGTCATCTGCAAAAAGGGACAATTTGACATCCTCCTTTTCATTGTGGATGCCCTTTATTTCTTTTTCTTGCCTAATTGCTCTGGCTAGGACTTCTAGTGTTATGTTGAATGAGTGTAGTTAGAGTGGGCATCCTTGTCCTGTTCCAGTTGTTAGGAGAAAAGCTACCATCTTTTCTGTATTCAGTAAGATGTTAGCTATGGGTTTTTCATATATAGCATTGATTATGTTGAGGTACTTTCATCCTGTACCTAATTTATTAAGAGATTTTAGGAATGCTAAATTTTATCAAAAGCTTTTTCTGCATCCATTTAGATGGTTTTTGTCATTCTGTTGATGTGATGTACGACATTTATTGATTTGCAGATGTTGAACCATCCTTGCACTCCTGGGTTGTATCCCACTTCATCATGATGTACTATCTTTTTGATGTGTAGTTGGATTCAGTTTGCTAGTATTTTTTAAAAGATTTTTGCAGCTATGTTCCTCAGGTATATTGGCCTATAGTTTTCTTTGTGTGTGTGTATGTGTGTGTGTGTGTGTGTGTGTGTCCTTTTCTGGTTGTCAGTCTCATGGAATGAGGCAGAAAGAATTCCTTCTTTCCAGTTTTGGAAATAGTTTGAGAATAATTGGTATTAATTCTTATTTACAGGTTTGGTAAAATTCAGTGGAGAAGCCATCTGGTTCTCAACTTTTTTTTTGGAAAGACTTTTTATTACTGATTCAATCTCATTACTTGTCATTGGTCAGTTCAGGTTTTCTATTTCTTCTTGGTTCAAATTAAATGTGTCCAGGAATTTATCCATTTTCCCTAGGTTTTCAAATTTATTGACATATAGTTATTTATAGTATTCTCTAATGAGCCTTTGTATTTCTTTTGTATCTGTATGATGTATCCTGTTTTGTTTTTGGCATTATTTATTTAGGTCTTCTCTCTTTTCTTCATAGCCTAGTTAATGACTTAGTGGTTTAGTTTCTTTCCAAAGAACCAACTTTTTGTTTCATTGATCTTTTGTATTTTTTAGTCTCTCTCTTATTATTTCTATTCTGATCTTTATTATTTATTTTCTTCTATTAATTTGGGGTTTGTTTTGTTCTTGCTTTTCTACTTCTTTGTGGTGCGTTATTAGGTTGTTTATTTGGAATCTTTCTAGTTTTTTGATGTAGACATTTATTGCTATAAACTTGCCTCTTAAAACTGCTTTTTCTGTGCCCCATAGGTTTTGCTATTTTGTGCTTCTATTTTTATCTGTTTCAAGAAACTTTTAAATTTCATTTTTGAGGCCTGATACAGTGGCTCATGCCTGTAATCCAGCACTTTGGGAGATGGAAGCAGGCAAATTGCTTGAGCCCGGGAGTCTGAGACCAGCCTGGGCAACATGGCAAAACCCTGTCTCTACAAAATTACAAAAATTAGCCAGGCATGATGGTGCACACCTGTAGTTCCAGCTACTTGGGAAGTTGTGAGAGGACAGATTGAGCCCAGGAGATGGAGGCTACAGTGAGCCATGGTCACACCACTGTACTCTAGCCTGGGTGATAGAGTGAAACCCTGTCTCATAAATAAATAAATTCATTTTATTCTTTATTTCTTCTCTCACCCATTTGTCATTCAGGAGCAAATTGTTTAATTTCCTTGTATTTGTAGTTTCAAATGTTTCTCTTGTTATTGATACCTAGTTTTATTCCATTGAGATCATGTAAGATATTTGATATAATTTTGATGTCTTAAATTATGGGGGAGCTCTCACCTGTTATCCTAACACTTTGGGAGGCCAAGGTGGGAGGATTGCTTAAGGCTAGGGGTTTGAGACCAGCTTCAACAATAAAGCAAGAATGACAACAATGCCTATAATACAAACATTTCTTTACTTAATGGTGTTGCATAAATTCTGTAGTCTTCCTTCATTCTTTTTTGTTGTTGTTGTTATTTTTGTCTGCGTGTTATTTCAAAAGACCTGTCTTCAAGTCAGAATTTCTTTTTTCTGTTGGGTCTAGTCTATTGAAACTCTTGATTGTATTTTTAAATTTTATTCACTGAATTCTTCCACTGTAAGACTTGTTTTTCCTTAATGATATTTATCTCTTTTTAAATTCTTCCTTCAAATCATGAATTGTTTTCCTGGTTTTATTAAATTTCCTATCTATATTCTCTTATATTTCACTGAGTTTCTTTAACATTATTATTCTGAATTCTTTTTCTGGCATTTCATATATTTTCTTATGATTGGGGTCTCTCACTGGACAATTATTATTTTCATTTGGAGGTGACATATTTCCTTGCTTTTTTGTGGTTGATGTCCCTATGTTGATCTCTCTGCATCTGGTGGAAAATTTGCTCCTTCCCATTTTATGGAGTGAGTTTGCAGGGAAATATTTTTTGTATAATTGGGTCTTGGGATGTCAGTTTGATGGGGTGTTTCAGCCTTGGTTCTAGCTGAATACAGTAGTGTATTCTTAGTGTAATTTCTTCAGTTGTAATCCACACTAGTGGCATTTGCGACGTCTCAGTGGCCTAGGCTGAGATAGTTTGTGGCAACACTGGTGCAGATTTTCCAGGGGTAGGCTCATTGGGCTGTTTCTTAGGTCAGGGGCACATGCATGTGCACACAATAGGTTGGCCAAACTGGGGCCTGGCTCACTGGGATTGGGGCCACAGGGCTGTTACTCTGGCAGAGCACATGGGCATGTAGTTGCTTGGCTGGCCTGGAGGCATGTCCACAAGGGGCAGCCCACAGGGCTGTTTCTCAGGCCCAGGACATGGTCACAGGGCTTCTCAGCTGGCATGGGTGTGTGCCTGCTGGGGGTGGGCCACAGGGCTGCTTCTCTAGCTTGGGACATGGAGGTACAGCTGCTTGGTTGACCTGGGGGCATATTTGCCAGGGGTGTCCCATGGGGCATCCCATGGGGCTGTTTCTCAGGCTGGGATGTGGATACAAAGCTGCTCAGCGTGCCTGGATTCATGTCTGTTGGGGGTAGGACATGGGGCTATTTCTCAGGGCCAGAACACAGGCACACAGCTGCTTGGCCAGCCTGGAAGTTTGCCTTCCAGGGACAGCATGCATAGTTGTTTCTCGGGCTCTGATTGTAGGAGCTGGGCCACTGGTCAAGTCAGGTTCTTGTGTGTAGGGGGTGGGGCCCCTCAGGACTGTTTCTCAGGCCCTGGGCAGAGCCGTGTAGTCACTCTGCAGGCCTGGGAGCATGTCAAATGTTCAGAGACTTGAGGGCCTCCCCTGCTTGGGAGAGGGTGTGCAGTTTGGCCAGCTCAAGGGCGAGTTCACCCTGAGCAGGACTGTTCTTCTGGCTGGAAGTGAAGGTGGCAGGAGGAGGTTTCCCTGCTGTTCAGGACCAGCATCACAGCCTGTTCCATGCTGCTGGGGTTGTGGCATTCAGCCACTGGTGTGGGCTTTGTGAAACGAAGATGGAGCCCAGTGCTAGAGAGGTGCAGTAGCTACTGGCTCCCAAACAAGGGCACACTCCAGAGGTGGCTCTAGTCTCAAGATGGCATCATGCTGCAGCAGCTTGGGTAACAAGGAATGGGCTGGGGTGGGGAGTGCGTACCTTGCGCTCCTTATCCAGGGCAATTCAGTTGCATGAATTCCCAGCAGGTCTCCAAACTGGGAGACTGTGTGATTCTCTTGTAAGGACTGTAGGTGTTTGCTGTGGCAATGAGGGCTGGTGGGAATCTTCTGCTTACTTTTTCCCCAAAATAGGAAGTTCTTCCTGACTCCAGGCAGATCGGATCCAGGTGGAGAAGACAGGGCTACAGAGGCCAGATTCCTCCGCACTGTCCTCCTAGACTTCCAATCACCACAGGTGCAACTCCACTCCCCCACTGCACACCAGCACTCTACCTTTGACACTCCAGTGAAATCTTGGCTGCTTATTCAATTGCCTTGGTCCTCTCTTGTTGAAACAGGGGATGAATGCCAGGCATCTCTAGTCAGCCACCGTTCTCGGGAAAAGTAATTTATGTTCTTTCCTTTGTATATTTTGGATACAAGTCCTTTATCAAGTATGTGTTTTGCAAATATTTTCTCCCAGTCTATGGCTTATCTTTTCACTCTCTTAACAGTGTCTGTCACAGAGCAGCAGTTTTTAGTTTTCATGAAATCTAACATCGATTTTTTCTTTCATGGATCATGGTTTTTGGGTAATATCTAAAAGTCATTATCAAACTCAAAGTCACCTAGATTTTCTCTTATGTTATCTCCTAAGGGTTTTATAGTTCTGCATTTTATATTTAGGTCTATGATCTATTTTGAGTTAATTTTGTGACAAGTATAAGGTCTGTGGCTAGATTCATTATTTTACATGTGTATGTCAGTTGTTCTGGCATCATTTGTTGTAAAGACTATCATTGCCCCATTGAATTGCCTTTTCTCCTTTGTAAAAAATCAGTTGACTGAATGTATGTGGATTTATTTCTGGGCTCTCTATTCTGTTCCGCATCTCTTCACTTTTTATCAGTGTCTTTATTTTTAAAGTGGGTTTCTAATAGACAACATATATTTGGATCTCGTTTTTTATCTTCTCTGATGGTCCCTATCTTAATTTGTGTATTTAGATCATTCACATTTAAAATGATATTAATGCAATTGAGTTAATATCTATTATATTTGTAACTGTTTCCTATTTATTGCTCTTGTTCATTCTTTCTATCTGCCACTCTTTTTCTGCCTTCTCCGGTTTTACTTGAGCAATTTAAATTATTCCATTTTACCTCATCTTAGCATATCAATTATACCTCTTTCTAGAAAATTTATTTAGATATTGCCCTAGAGTTGCAAAATACATTTATAACTAATCTAAGTCTAAGGACAACAGGAGGCCATGGGAGGGTTTTCAATACAGGTATTCCTCTATTTAAGTTGTATTTGAGTGATAGATCAGATGTGTTTTAGTGATAGATCACTCTGAGTATAGTGTGGAGAATAGATTGGAGGGGAGTAAGAGTTGAAGTGAGAAGATTATTTAGGAGATAGTGGTAGTAGGCAAGAAATGATGGGACTCTGAAGGAGGATGGTGGTAACAGAGTGCCAGTATGGACAGAGACAGATGGATACTAGAGATACACAGTAGGTAGAAGCAACAGGACTTGGCAATTTGATTGGATATAAAAGATTCCTCAGTTTCCAACTTGAAAAACTCAGTGAATAATGTGACTTTTATTGAAACACCAAACACTGGAGAAGGAAAAGGCAGGGAAAAGATCCTGAGATCAGTTTTGGTCATGTGAAGTTTGAAGTGAAGTGCTTACGGCATCCCCACAGATAAACGGGTATAAGGTTTGAAGCTCGGGAGAAATTTCATGGCAGGAGATACAGAGTTAGGGGTCACCAGCCTATAGACAGGAATGGATGAGACTGCCCAAGGAAAGAATGTAAAGTAATAAGGGAAGAGGGTGTAGGTTAGAGCTCTAAGAATTCCAATATTTAAGAGACAAGCCGAAAAGGAACTATGGAAAGGAGAGAATAAATAGCTGGAGGAAAAGGAGAAAAATCTGAAAGGTATGGTATCACACAAGCCAAGTGGAGAGAATATTTCAGAATGAAGAGAATGTCTGAGGCTCACCTTCACAGGTAAAGAAACTGAGATTAAGAAAGCTTAAGTACATTACGCAAAAAGGCTCACACATAACTCAGGACTCAAACCCAGATTTCCAACTGTGTTCATAACAACTCCATCTTTATGGGCCTGTTTCCTCACCGGTAACACACCGAGAAAGCAGAGTAGGAAGACAGAGATTAGACTGGATAACTTCTATGATCCCCTTCAAGTTCTATAGGTGTACAACTACCTGAGAAAGTATGGGATAAAGTATATGAGTAATCATTGGTGTGCCCTTTAGTTTTTGTTTCTTTATTCCTAATAATAGGACAGACCAGACATGCAATAAATATTTGCTGACTTGAATATGGGTGCACACAATTATTGCCAAAGCAAATTCATAGGACACCATTAAATGTCCATTAATGCAGAAGGCATTAGAGGCACAGCTGAAATCTATTAGTAAATAATCATTAATTGCCCAACATCCACCCTGCCAAATGCTGTTTTTATTTTTTATTTTTCCCCACTGGTTCTTACTTGGCCTGGCCACACAGAGAAAGAAGCCCAGCAGCAGCTGTATCTATTAGCAATATCATGATATGAAAACATGACAACTGGTTTTAAAATGTGATTATGCAATATGTGTGGTTGCAGGATGATTCTGTATATCTGTAATTTGCACAATAAATTCATCAGAGATTAGGACTTGCTCTTTCCAGGGCCTGGAAGGAATGTTTGGATTTAGTTTTATTGAGAAAGATAACCGTACCAGTGCATGCTTTCAAAAAAACCTCCTTTTGTTCAATCACCCAGGGCAGGAACCAGACAGAAATGGATGGCCGCTTGTTGGTGAAGGACTCACAGTGAGGCAAGGAAGATCTCTTCTTCATCATGTTCCCCGTCACTGACTTCATCATGTTCACCGTCACTGATTTCCCTTAACTCTATGCCTGATCAGAACCCACAAACCAAGGAGACACACCTGGTCCTGTTGGTCCATTTGCTATTTCGTAGTTGAATTTCACCTCAGCATTCTATATAGAAGATTTGTATTTTTTTCAATCACATGCCCTAATGTAAATTTCATGCATTCAAGACAGTTGATTGGTTTCCAAAAAATTAAATACAGAATTGCCAAATACATAATATAACAATTCCACTTAAAGAAGAGAATTTAACAGATCTTTGAACACTAATGTTCACAGCAACATTCATGGCAGCTAAAAGGTAGAAACAACCCAAGTATCATCAATAGATGAATAGACAAATAAAACATGGTGTAGAGGATATGGAGAAAAGGGAACCCCTGTACACTGTTGGGGGGAATGTAAATTAGTACAACCACTATGAAAAACAGTTTGGAGGTTCCTCAAAAAACTAAAAATACAGCTATCATATGGTCCAGCAATCCCACTGCTGGGTATATACCCAAAAGAAAGGAAATCAGTATATCAAAGAGATATCTGCACTCCCATGTTTGTTGCAGCACTGCTTACAATAGCTAAGAATTGGAATCAACCTAAGTGTCTATCAGCAGATGAACGGTTAAAGAAAATGTGATATGTATACACAGTGGAATACTATTCAGCCATAAAAAAGAATTAGATCGTGTCATTTGCAACAACATGGATGGAACTGGAGGTCATTATGTTAAGTGAAATAAGCCAGGCACAGAAAGACAAACATTGTCTGTTCTCACTTATTTGTTGGAGCTAAAGATAAAAACAATTGAACTCATGGACATAGAGAGTAGAAGGATGGCTACCAGAGACTAGGAAGGGGAGTGGGGGGCTGGTGGCAAAAATGAGGATGGTTAATAGGTACAAAAAAAAAATAAAATGAATAAGACCTAATATTAATATTTTATAGCACAATAAGGTGACTATAGACAATAATAATTGTACATTATAAAATAACTAAAAAAGTGTAATTGAATTATTTGTAACACGAAGGATAAATGCCTGAGGGGATAGACATCCCATTCTCCATGATGTGATAACTTCACGTTGCATGCCTGTATCAAGACATCTCATGTACCCCATAAATATATATATGTACTATGTACCCACAAAAGTTTAAAAAATAATTTAAGTATGGTATATACATACAATGGAATACTATTCAGCCTTAGAAAGGGATGAAATTCTCATATGTGCTACAACATGGATGAACCTTGAAGACATTATGGTAAGTGAAATAAGCCAGACACAAAAGGACAAATACTGTATTATTTCACTTATATGAGGCATCTAGAAGAGTCAAATTCATGGAGACAAAAAGTAGGATAGAGGTACCAGAAACTGGGGAGAAAGGGAAATGTGGAGTTATTGTTTAACAGACACAAAGTTTCCACTTGGGACAAAGAAAACATTCTTGAGATGAATAATGGTAACGGCTGCACAATAATGTAAGTGCACTTAATACTTAAAATAGTAAGTTTTGTGTTATGTGTATTTTATCACATTAAAGAAATATTATGCCTACAACTTCTAGTATAATAGAAAGAGGCCGAGTTTGAAGATAAGAGGAAGTTAAGAGTCCTAGTTCTGGTACTTGCAGGCTGTGTAATTTGGGGAAAGTCATTTAGCCTCTCAAAGGATCAGTTTTCTCATGTCTAAAATGGGACCGAAGGGATGCAGAAAAAAGTTCTAAGAGGGAAGTTTATAGCAATAAACACCAAAATCAAAAAAGAAGAAAGATCTCAAATAACATAGTATTACACCTCACTAAATTAGAAAAAGAACAAACTAAACCCAAAGTTAGTAGAAAGAAGGAAATATTAAAGAGCAAAGCAGAAATAAATGGAATAGACACCAGAAAAATAGTAGGAAAAAAACAATAAAACTAAGAGTGGCTTTTTTAAAAGATAAACAAAATTCAAAAAAGAGAAGACTCAAATAAATTCAATCAGAAGAAATGAAATAGGAGACATTACAACTGATACCATGAAAATACAAAGGATCATAAAAGATGACTGTGAACAATTATACACCAACAAATTGGATAATCTAGAAGAAATGGATAAGTTCCTAGACACACAACCTACCAAGACTGAATCATGAAAAAATAGAAAATCTGAACAGACCAATAACAAGTAAGGGCTTTAAATCAGTAATAAAAATATCCTATCAAAGAAAAGCCCAGAATCTGATGGCTTCACTGCTGAATTCTACCCAGCAATTAAAGGATTAAAGCAATTCTCAAACTCTTCTAAAAAATTGAAGAAGAAAGAATAAAATGAAACAATAATCACTAGTTTGCGTGGTTGTTCTGAGATTTAGAGATAATACATGTAAACACCTAACATAATATCTGGTCTCCAGTGAGTGCCATTAAATGGTATTCTTATGCACATTTCAGCCTGGCATGGTGGCTCATGCCCATAATCCCAGCACTTTGGGAGGTCAAGGTGGGTGGATCACTTGAGCCCAGGAGTTCCAGACCTGCCTGGGCAATATGAAGAAACCTCATCTCTACAAAATTACAAAACTTAGCCAGGTCTGGTTGCACACACCTGTGGTCCTAGCTACTCGAGAGGCTGAGGTGGGAGGATCGCTTGAGCCCAGAAAGTTGAGGCTGCTGTGAGCTATGTTCAGGCTACTGCACTCTAGCCTGAACGACAGAATGAGACCCTGTCTCAAAAAAAAAAAAAAAAAAAAATACACATTTCAATTCAAAGAATAATACATGTAAAGAACAAATTCACTTTTCAAAATTTGAAATTATATACATAAATTATGTAGGTCACTCTTACCAATAACTGTTTGCTAAAGAGAAATTGTTTAATACCAAAATACTTTATTCTAAGCTTTGCTTTCACCATCAATTCTAACTTGGTCATAAATCACAGCAATAAAGGCTGCCTCCATGTGAGTCTGAATGTCTAAGCTCCAAGAGCCAAAAGATGATTTTGTTTTTCATCTACCTTTGGGTTCCAGCTTACAAATATTTTCATTAAACATCTAATGACTTTGCAATGAAGTTACTATTTCTCTGTTCAGTGCCCAATTTAAAGCTAAACAAGTGGAAAGATTTAATATAATTTAATATAATTATTGCCTCATAAAATATCTAGGGTTGGAATTAATCCCTAAATTACCTGTACGTATACATAACTTTAGGAAGACACACTAAGTAAAAAGCAATTCCTTTTGTGCTGTTTTGTAAGGTTGAAGGCAGAAAAACAGCTTCTGTTCAGAGGAGGCCCCCAGTGAATTAAGGTTAAAAGGATTTGCCCTTGCAGGACCCCAGGTCTCTAATTGGGGCCTTCAATTCCTGTAATCCAGAAGGATTGAGACCAGACGCTTCTAGATTATTGCCAAAGCCCACAGGTGACTCAAAAGGAAAAAACAATTAGTGCCCCAAAAACCCTTCAGATAGAAAAGAGGTATTTAATGAAACCTGAAGCAGGCCCAGCCAGGGCAAGCTTCTTAGTGAATATTCAGCCATTAGCAAAAGGGAAGAAAATCTATTTATTTCCCTGTTCAGTTTTAATTTCACTAAATATCTGAGGTTTTTCTTTCTAGGGTACATTAATTTGCTACTTTAAAGGGACTACAAGGGTGATTATATCCATATTTAAGATTCTTTGCAATGCCACAATCTTTAATAGTAATAAAAATAAAACATATCATATAAAGAATTCAAATTCTATACATTTTTATTCTTGTAACACATAAGCCTGTGTGAAGAATCTAAAATCTTACAAACCCATTAAACTGCAAGAATAATTCAAGCAGGAAAGATTAGTATGGAAGGAAGGTTCTAGAAGCTAGGCTCCAAATGTACAGTGGTTCTCAACCTGGGCTGCACACTGGAATCACATGAGGAATTTTTTAAAATACCAATGCCCTCTACCCACCCATGAAGATTGTGACATAATCGGTCTGGGGGCAGCCTGGACATTAAGGATTTTAAAATCTCACCAGGTGATTCTAAAGTGCATCTAAGGCTGAGAATGACCTCTTTAAAGAAAAGTCAACAGGAGTATCGAAGACAATCATCTATTCCATTCAGGACCAGCTGCATGATTTTCAGGGCCCAGTGCAAAATGAAAATATGGGTCCCCTTGTTTCAAAATTACTAAGAATTCAAGATGACGAGAGGCAAGCATTAAACCAAGCGTGGGGTTCCTCTAAGCACAGGGCCCTGTCTGAGTGTCCAAGTCACAGGCCCATGAAACTGGCCTTGATTCCATTCTTTACTAAACCAAACTTTTATTTTTTAGGAACTAGTTTCTTTGGAATGGTGAGGAAATATGTCATCTTCTCAATGTGGTATTCACTGTGTCTCTAGGATCCCACAAGTAACTAATCTCTGAGCAATATCATTGTCTATTTAAACAGCCTGATTTGCCTTGAAAGCTCCCTCACTCTGTCAAGATGAATAAAAGGCAGAACTATAGAACGATTTTATAGAGACAATTGGGAATTTCACTTCGTAACCTCATCTACAATAAAAAAAAACTTACCTATGAAATATTAACTCTGAACGAAGGCTTCTTGGTCTAGAAAATAAAACATCTGGACGCAGCTGCTCATGGCTATATTCCCAACACTGGGAGGCCAAGGTGGGTGAATCGCCCTGGGCAATAGAGTAAGATCCCGGTCTCTACAAAAAATGCAAAAATTAGCTAGATGTGGTGAAGCATGCCTATAGTCCTAGCTACTCAGGAGGCTGAGGTGGGAGGATCACACGATCCAACCACTGCACTCCAGCCTGGGCGACAGAGTAAAACCTTGTCTCAAAAATAAATAAATAAACACAACAAACAAAAATCTTTGAGTCTGGAATAGTCTCTTTTAAAAACTCACTAATTCTCACATCTCTGCCCCATGCATCTGGCAATTATCACACTACAAATTTTATTAGCCAACATCTACAGTAAAGATTCAAACTTCTAAGCCTCCATTTGTTTAACAAATTGTTCTTATCTATTTACCAAAAGATATAATATCTGTTTACCAGTATGTATAGTTCTTATCTATTTACCAATATTTGTAGTATATTAAATATTACTATAATTTCTGGGAAAACCTGATAATCAAATATGTAGGAACTCCCTAATTGCAAATTTTGTCACTCTAGTCTTTTCAGGTTAAAGGATCACTTTTTTCTCTCTTTCACATTATACAATGTTAGGAGAGCCCCCTGCTGTCCAAAGTAAAATTCTAATTTCAGAAAATTTAAATAAATGGAGCACAATGCCTGCCCTCTCCTCACCCAGTTTATCCTCTTAGTATCACTGCTCTTGGAACTAATAGGGGAAGATTTAAGATTAGAGAGAATTAGAAAAAAGCTGTGAAAAACAGGCTTTGACTTGGGAGGGAAAAAAAAGTCAGACTCCTAGTTAGATAGATCTCAGATGCCCAATCACCCCAACACACACACACACACACACACACACACACACACACACACACAGACACACACGCTTCAGCCTCTACCCAACATTTCTAACCCTTCACTTCTCATTTGCATTTTGCAATGCTCCACTGTCTGAGATCCGTTAGGTTGAAATGAACCAGAAACTCAGGGGATGAGAGCCCAGCAATCTGTGTTTTAATAAGCCCACCAGAGGATTCTGATGCATGCCAAAGTTTGAGAAACACTAATTTACAACATTACCTCTTCTGATGAAATGAGAGATTTCATTTCAGAGGCACACAATCTAAATGTTCATAAGTGACTCAAGGAGTTTGTTACAAATCCAGATAGATTTGCAGGCCCCACCTCACCCTCAGATATTTTGATTCAGTAAGTCTACAGTAGGATCCAGAAATCTGTATTGAACAAGCACCACCGGTGATTCCAATGCAAGTTAATGGAAGGACCATACTTCCTAAGTCACTAATATAGTGAGTGGGGTGGGTAATTCTAGAGCATGGAGCACATTAGGAATATGTTAGACTTGAGTGGGAAACCACAAGGTGGGAAGCATTAAAGATAGCATGGGAGTCCTGGTTCCTTGGGAGAAGGGTGCAGAAAAGGAAGCTGGCACTGGCCAAATATAAATTGTTCTTGTTTTAAAATATTTTGCCTGGGTTTTGTTCTGCTTCATAAAAACAAAAGACCCTACTTCCTTCTCATCTCTATTACTGCATGGCTCCTTTCTACAGGCCCCAGAAATCAGGCTACAGTTATTGTGAAAGTCATTATGGTTTAATTGAACTTTTGTTGACTAGTCAGAGAAACTAACCATCATATATGATCATTTTTATGGGAATGTGTTCCTATAGAACAAATATTTAAAAGAAACTTTTGGAACATAACCCTTTTATAAGTTGGGAATTGGCTGATTTTATTTAATTTTTCATAATTTTGTCTTGAACTTATGGATATGCCAAATAGTGAGTAGGGAAGAGTTTTACCGTGAGTGGCTGCCAAATTAAAGTTTAATTTGATTTAAACTTTAGAATATGTAATCACTGATATATATAACCCTAAGTCTTACTGAGTATATAGTAGTCTTTTTATTGCTTGCTGTCCCACAATATACAATAAATGGCAGCTGCATACATTAATGTACAGAGTATGCATTATATATCTATATCAATACTGAATACATCACACATGCACAATGTATTATATAACTGTCTCATATGCATATATTACAGGTACTTTATATAATATAGAATGCATATGTATAACCAATTTAGGAACAAGCAGTATCATGAGATGTTACGTGGCAGTACACTCTGTTTTTAAGAGTTTGGCCCTGAAGAGATTAGAAATATATGAACATTGAGTCCAATTATTCACACAACTATTCAAAACAGTATTTTGGGGAAAAACATATGTTCAAAACCTCTCCTCAAAGAATATCCCAAAACTTCAGTGCTAAATGAAACCACGATCAAATGCTAGATTCTGAACAGCAAATATGGTCTGTGGATTCCAAAGTGGATCAGATAAGAGTGGACCAAGCTAAAGCCACTCCCTCACCTGCCCTGCAAAAAACAATTTAAAGCAACTTTATCTCCAAAGGGGGAAAAAATCATATTATTCTAAAACAGCAACCCAAAATGATTAGCCTGAAATACTTCCTCTATGTGCCCCATGTAGAACTCTGATTTTTTACCTCCTCTTATAAACCTGCTTCCCACAATACTTCCAAGGAAGCAGATAAGAAAAGAGCCCTCCACTAACTAGGCTGAGCTTTCTCTGTTTAGGGAGAAGGTGGGTGTTGCTCAATAGGAAGAAACCCTATATTCCTGATTTACCTGGCCAACCCAACCCATCCTCCCCTGGGGATGTTTCTGGCAACCCCTTTCTTCTTGGACTGCATCCAGCTAATACCCCATGTGAGAAACAACTGCCACTTTACGCTGATCACACTCCTTAGCATTCCCAACTTAAGTTCTGTTATGAGTGTTAAGGGTCCCCAGGTGGATATTTTACCATGGAATCTGCATTTTTTTCCCTTGGTCTTTTGAAACATCCATAAACACCTAATAACTTTTCTTACCAGAAATACTGCAGCAATTGTTTAAAAAAAAAAAAAAGCCAGCAACCTCTAATGCAATTTAGCGCTTTGGGACATCCCTCTTCTGCCTCCATTGCACCCTTCCAAATACAGCCCTTCAACAGCTAAGGCTATGCCAAAAGTTTGTCGGGCCAACCAAACAAAACAAAAACTCAGGGCATTTAGGTAGTAAATACCATATTTCTCAAGAACACTCCCAGGAAAGCCTTGATAACTTTCAGCAAAAGCAAAAGCACTCCCTTGTAAGATGAAAATGAATAGTGATTCAGAGATGAAGTAGATCTTTTCATTCCAAAAGTAGATGTAACTGGGAATTAAAAGCCCTCTAAGGCCAAGGAGGGTAAAGCCCAAGAACTCAGCTTTTCAGCACAAGCAAAAGATGACCATCTCCACTGCCTCCAAGTGGCGGTTAGTTCTTGCTGCAGAGCACCAGCACCACCTCGTGTGCAAAAGCGTTTTCTTTTGTTTCCTCGAGAACCACTAGAAGCCTACAGTCTCTGCATTCTGAATCACAGTCTTTACCAGATTTTCAGAAGAGGCTGCAGGCAGAGAAAGCCCAAAAAGACTGTTCCTGCCTCTGGCCAGAAGGTGAAATCTTGGGAATTATCTGTAAGCACTATGTCCAGTATAGTCTTTAGCACGTTGTAACTATTTGTTTACTCACTTGACACCCCACTGACCCTGAACTCACAGAAAGAAGAGACTTTCTTCTATCTTTTTATTCCCAGAGTATCCCAGCCCTTGGCACAGAGTTGGCACATGGTAGAGATTTAACAAATACCTGATATATGAAAAGGATTCAGTAGAATTTTTAGGTGGGAAAACAAATTAGATCTAACATCAATACCAAACATCTTCCTCCAAATAGCTCTGCAGATTACATTGTAAAATTTACCTTTAGAATTTGATCAAATACAAGAAATGAAACCAACTTTGAGACACAAAAGTGCATTGATGTGTCTGGAAATTTCAATGAAAAATTAAGTGATTTCTAATTGACTTGCCTGAAGGATGAATTATGAAAGCGAGCATTTCTGAAAATAGGTAACAAAGCCCTAATACTCAAACTTGCCAGAATTATCCTACAAATTCTCATACACCTAAATACATGTCATATATTAGTACAGCTTTAGAAATAATTTGGGCAATCTTATGATAATAAAACAATCTAAGAGCACTTATAACTACTCAGCTTCTTTCTAGGAGTCCTATGTAATGCTCTAACATTCAGAAAGTAAGTAAAACTGAATTATTAAAAGCCACCCAATGTGGAGTTTTGCCTGATACAACAAAAAAATTACAGCCAATTCACGCACACCCTTCATCTGTCAAGAACCACAGCAGTGAATTCAGCAAGCCAAGAAAACTTTAATAAAATTACACAGGCCTCAGCATCCAAGAGCAGTCTCTCCATCCAAAACTTACAAATTCCAAGGCCAGAGAACAGTGTGACTAATCCTAACGAAAATAAAAACCAGCTGCCTGAAGCACTGTAATAAGTATATATAAAAATTTAAGAACAATGTGATTTAAGTAGGGATAGAACAAGGCACAGAACATAATAGTAAAGAGAGGTCAGTCTGAGAATAACTCCAACCTACTTCTGACTCTCAAAGTTCTGCTTTAACAACAGTTCAGAGAAAACGCTCTCTGATGTAGTGATTTCTGACCAAAAAATTTTCAAAGGTAACAATCATTCCTATTGGGATTCAATAATAAAAATCATGTAGGTGCCATCATTATAAAGCCCTGAATACTGAAACAGCTACACCAAAGTCCTGGGGGAAAAGTGAATATATTTCATCATGGATGAAAATCACAGTTTTCATCTGTTTAACACACTCTTTAGTCCATAAAGTATATGAGATTTTTATGGTGGCCCTCTGTGCTTCTAACATAATTATGATTTTCCTTTTTAAAGGTGCCAATTAAATCTTAGAAAATAGGTGTCATTTTAGAGTTTCAAGAGGAAGAAAATAAAAAGGAAATATTAAGTCTTAGAAAACAGTTGTGTCTGAAAACTTAATTTTTTTGTAATGGGCGTTTATACAGTTCACACTGAGACTTTTTATACATTCACAATGAGATATCACAGTGAAAAAAGGCAGTACTAAGATACCTGGTAATACCAGCAATGCCAACCTAAAATAAATACTCAGAGTTCCAACAACAACTGTGGGGAAACTTTGTGTCTATTTTCTTTTAATATTTGCAAATTGAGGGCACACTAGAAATGCTAAGGTGCTACGTGGACATTTGTGTTTGTTAATTGTCAGAGCAGCCCCAAGAATTACAGTGAAATAACTAACCCCCTCCTTTCTCAGATGAGGAGGGCAGGATACAGGGAATTCAGAATACCTTATTAGGATCACACCAGGCACGACTGAAACTGGCAGGTGGAGAGCCTGCGTTTCAGTCAAGTTGAGGGTCTTTCATGTAGCTGGCACTCTGCTAGGCACTGTGATATGAAAACAGAATGCCACAATCCCTGCCCACAAGCCTTGGAATCTAATCGGGAAGAAAAGATACGCTTATTAAACATGTATGAGCCAGGGGGCATGATACACACTTACAAAGCACTTCCAATCTCTTGTGTCTCTGAAGGTACAGCTGCACTTCGTCACCACCATCAGAATTAAATGGGACTGATTGTCCAGATGAAACAGCACAACTGAAAGTTGAGGCATTTACATGGTTCCTGATTAAACCCGCTGAAGAGCAAAGAAATTCCTTCAGCACTCAATGGGTTTCAGGGAATAAGGATATTCTCTAACTCCATGGTTCCTAAATGTGTGTACATAAGGAACCATAAGGGTTCTATTAATGTCTACTAAGAGATTGCTGTAGGCTAGGCCTGTGTTAAGCTCATTACATATATTACCTCATTTAATCCTCATTACAAACAAGAAACTGAGAGTTAACTTGCCCAAAGTCACTGCTAGGAAATGGTGGCAACAGGACTAGAAGACAAGCCTTAGACCCCAGACCCCATGTTCACAGTGCAGTGGGTCTCCACCCTGGCTGTACATTGTACATTTGTATCACCTAGGGAGCTTAAAAAAAAAAAAACTTGGCTGGGTATGGTGGCTCATGCCTGTAATCCCAACAGTTTAAGAGGCCAAGGTGGGAGAATCGCTTTAGCCAGGAGTTCGAGACCAGTCTAGGCAACAAAGTAAGACTGCCCCCAACCCCCATCTCTAAAAAAAATAGAAAAAATTAGCTGGGTGTGGTGGCATACACCTGTAGTCCCAGCTACTCAGGAGGCTGAGGTGGGAAGACTGCTTGAGCCCAGAAGGTTGAAGCTGCAGTGAGCCATGATCGTGCCACTGCAATCCAACCTGGGCGAGACAGCAAGACTCTGTCTCAAAAAAAAAAAAAAAAGTGCCAATTTCTACACCAAACCCAAAGAATCAGAATCTCTGGGAATAAAGCCAGAGTACTGGCTATTGTTTTTAAGTACTTCCCCGGGGACTTCCAATGTGCAGCCAGCTCTGAAACCACAGCTATTTCATGCACTCAGAGACTCTGAAATAGGGTCTGGCTAATTAAACAATCAGCCCAGGTGATTCTAATACACGGGGTCCATAGTCACAGTCTGAGAAAAACTCATCTAGGGCAGTGGCTCGCAAACTCTAGCATGCATCAAAATTACCCGGAAGGCTTACTGAACCAGTTTGCTGGGCCAACCTCCAGAATTCCTGATTCAGGATGTAAAGGGTAGGGCCTAAAATATGCATTTCTAATAAATCCCCAGGTGATCTTGATGATGCTGGTACCGGGAGACCACACTTTGAGAATCACTTTGATTTTCTGAAAAATCACAGAGGGAAAAGACAGGTAGATAAATGATTATTTGAGTATCTATGTAGGTATCTCTATTACACATTTATAGGAATTTGTTTATTCTTTCTCTTTTTTTTTTTTTTTTTTTTTGAGACAGAGTTTTGTTCTGGTCACCCAGGCTGAAGTACAATGGCTCAATCTTGGCTCACTGCGACCTCCACCTCCTGGGTTCAAGTGATTCTCCTGCCTTAGCCTCTGGAGTAGTGGAGATTACAGATGTGTGCCACCACGCCCAGCTAATTTTTGTATTCTTAGTAGAGATGGGGTTTCATCATGTTGGCCGGGCTGGTCTCGAACTCCTGATCTCAGGTGATCCACTCGCCTTGGCCTCCCAAAGTGTTGGGATTACAGGCGTGAGCCACCCCGCCCAGCCTATTCTCTTCTTTGATAAACATGTATAGGTTTCCCCAGTGTATCAACCACTATACTAAACTCCGGGATTTGAATATGTATCCTGCTCTCAAGGAGTTTATAGCCCAGAATCATAACTACATGTTGTGACTAAAGAAAATAAGAGTCCATGAGAACCCAAAGAAGGGAATGCCTGGCGGGGGGTGAATGACTCATCCGTGTAATCCCAGGACTTTGGGAGGCTGAGGTTGGGGGGAAATCACTTGAGGCCAGGAGTTCAAGACCAGCCTTGGAAACATAGTGAGACCCTGTCTCTATAAAAAATAAAAATAAAAATAAAATTAGCTGGGCATAGTGGTACCTGTAGTCCTAGCTACTCAGGATGCTGAGGCAGGAGAATCACTTCAGCCCAGGCGTTTGAGGCTACAGTGAGCTATGATTGCACTGCTGCTCTCCAGCCTGGGTGACAAAGTGAGACCCTGTCCCTAAAAAAAAGCAGGGGACAGTACTCAACTCTGCACAAAAATAGGGAGAGTTAAAGACTTACTTCATAGTGGCAGTAATGCTTGAGTTGAATGTTAAAAGTGAAGTAGATGTTGCCTGGGTTGACAGGATGAGGAAGGACATCTTAGGTTGCCTTGGAAATGTCAAGCCATAAAAAGGCAGGTACATGGGATCCAAGGTGGGGTGAAGTGAAATTTACAGCTGAGCAGAGAAGTGACCACGCAGGATGGTGAAAGAAGTTCAGGCTTTATCCTGCAGATAATGGAGAGTGCTTGCATGGTTTTAAGGTGGGGAGTAACACAATCAGATTTTCACTTTAGAATACCTACTCAAGTAGTAGTGTGGAAAAGAGAGAAATGAGGACAATATCTGAGTCAGGGTGACAAGTTAGGAGAGAGTTCAGGCAAGAGAAGATTAGGTGTGAGCTAAGGCAGTATTAGTGAATGTAAAGGAAAAAAAATGGACATGTTAGATTTTGTGGAGGTAAAATCAACAACAGAATGTAAAGTTTATAATGACTCCTGAGTTTCTAGCTTGGGTGACCAGTGGACCATGAAGCTTTCACAAAGATAGAAAAAACAGGAGGAAGAGTAAGTTTGAGGAGAAGTAACAATAGTTAACACTCATGGGGCAATTTGCATTAGGCACTACTATGCCAAAGTATGCCAAATGTCTTACATGCATGTTTTTTTAATTTTTATTTTATTTTATTTTATTTGAGACAGAGTCTCGCACTGTCGCCCGGGCTGGAGTACAGTGACGAGATGTCAGCTCACTGCAACCTCCGCCTCCCGGGTTCAAGCAATTTTCCTGCCTCAGCCTCTCAAGTACAACTAGCTGGGACTACAGGCACGTGCCACCACACTTGGCTAATTTTTTGTATTTTTAGTAGAGACAGGGTTTCACCGTGTTAGCCAGGATGGTCTTGATCTCCTGGCCTCGTGATCCACCCACCTCGGCATCCCAGAGTGCTGGGATTACAGGCGTGAGCCACCAAGCCCAGCTGATCTCTTTTAATCTACAAAAAACTTTGAGCGGTAAATATAATTATTCTCTCTCATTTTACAGATGAGGAAACCGAAATTGACAGGAGTAATTTGCGCAAGTTACATGGAGAATAAATGGCAGAGCCAAGATTTCAAGCTAGGTCCATTTGGCTACACCAGGGGTCAGCAAACTTTTTCTGTAAAGGACTGCATAGTAAATATTTTAGGCTTTGCAGACCATACAATCTCTGTTTCAACTACTCCCCTCTGCCATTGCAAGAAAGCTATAACCAAAGATAAACAATAACAAAAACAGAGTGGGACTGTGTTACAATGAAACTTTCCTAATAAATGATGAATTTAATTTTTATACAATTTTCATGTGTCATGAAATATTATCATTCTTTTGATTTTTCCAGCCATTTAAAAATGTGGAAACCATTTTTAGTTTGCAAGCCTTACAGAAAACAGGCAGAAGGCCAGATTTGACCTATGGGCCTCAGTTTGCTAACCTCTGAACTATACAACACTACTGAGAAAGATTACTTTCCGTTTTGGAATGTTGTGTTCAGAATGCCTATGGATTGTCCAGGTGGAAATGTCCTGTTGGCAACTGCATAAATGGATCAGGAGTTTGGAAGGGAGATTTGGGTTAGAGATCTGAACTTGGGAATCATTCATATAAAGGTGGCAAAGTACACTGCAAGGCAAAGACGGCAAGAAAAGAACAGAACAAAACTATGGAAGATGCCAAAATTAAGAGGATAGGAGAGATGTAAAAACCAGAAGGGAAGGCTAAGAAGGATCAGAGAGATGAGAGAAAAATTAGAAGACAATATTGTCATGGGAGCCAAAGAAAGAGTCACAAGCAGAGTAGGAGTGGTCAGCAAGGGTAAATTAAATGCACCTGAGAGATCAAGAAAGACCTGAGAAACATGAAGATTCCAGTGGATTTGGTGATTAGGAGGTCAATGGTTGCCTTTGTCAGAGCAGTTTCAGGAAAGTGGTAGAACTAATGTTTCATTGCGGTGGATTCTAAAGCAAACATGAGATGGGAAAGGGAGAAAACAGGTACAATTTATTTTTTGAGAAGCTTAGCAGTGAATGAAATAAATAAATGAGGTAACTAGACAAACGCTTATCTAATCTGGATCCCAGAAAAAGGCATCCTGAAGGCAGCTCCTTCTAGTTCATTCCCACAAGCTATCTGCCTCTCTTGAGTCATGGGGCTGCTAAGGACCTTCAGGCAACTGGTTATAGATGAGGCTGTAGCTATACAGGGTCACAGTAGAATGACCTGATGTGAGGTTTCCTTCCCTGTAAACTAAACTCAGAGGTGAGAACCAAAGGCAGTGAATACTGGAGACAGCTTGGCATTTGGCAAACTATGGCTCCTACTGATGATCCACCTTGACTCCATGTGTGAGTACGCTTGTCACCCTGTCCCACAAAAGCCAGGAGAGAGCAAATGGTAGGCCTATGTCTTCCCTGACTTCTAAGCTAGCAAGGTACAGGGATGGCAGAGAGCAGAAGGCCTCCTCCAGCATCTCTACTCTACAGGCCTCTACAGCATCAACTACCAGGTCAAAGACCCCATTGTCTTGCAATTCTGCAGGATTGTTGCCATTTAAGACACACCAGATCAGGTGCAGCAGCGCACGCTGGTAATCCCAACACTTTGGGAGGCCAAGTTAGGAGGATCACTTGAGTTCAGGAGTTTGAGACCAGCCTGGGCAGCATGGCAAAACCCTGTATCTACAAATACAAAAAAAATTAGCTGGGCATGGTGGCCCATGCCTGTAGTCCCAGCTACTTGGGAGGCTGAGGTGGGCAGATCGCTTGAGCCCAGGAGGTCAAGGCTGCAGTGAGCCGAGATCATGCCACTGCACTCCAGCCTAGGCAACAGAATGAGACCCTGTCTCAGGAAAAAACAAAACAAAACAAACAAAAAAAAAAAACAGCAGCAACATAGTCTGAGCTCTAAATAAGCCCAAGAGAAAAATAATACCTTACCTAAGGTTTCCAAGCAGCCAGAAAGTAGTGGAACAGGTAGAATGATTAGAATGCAAGCCCAGGTAGGTGCAGTGACTCACGTCTGTAATCCCAGAACTTTGGGAGGCCAAGGCGGGCAGATTGCTTGATCCCAGGAGTTCAAGACTATCCTGGGCAACATGGCAAAACCTCATCTTTACAAAAAATACAAAAATTAACTGGGCGTGGTGGCATGCACCTGTAGTCCCAGCTACTCGGGAGGCTGAAGTGAGAGGATCACCTGACCCTAGGGAGGTTGATATTGCAGTGAGCTGTGAGTCTGCCACTGCACTCCAGCCTGGGTGACAGAGTGAGACTCTGTCTCAGAAAAAAAAAAGAAAAAAGAAGGCAAGCCCAGTGAAACAGAGCTGCTCCTGGAGGAAACAGATGAACACCTGAATAAATAATAATAAGAGCACTTAAGACATCATAATGTAGCAC
The DNA here is from genome assembly GCF_000001405.40 of Homo sapiens. Lineage (NCBI taxonomy): Eukaryota > Metazoa > Chordata > Mammalia > Primates > Hominidae > Homo > Homo sapiens. Next base: position 60,570,063 of record NC_000014.9, read on the forward strand.
CTTCCTCTCTGAGAGATGAAAGGAGATGAGAGAGAATACAGATACTGATTGGGTCGCATATGTGAGGTGAACCATTAAAAGAACAGGTTCCCCAATGGCCTCAATTATGTGTGCAGGCTGATACATTAGCTGAGAGGGGATAATGATGGGATAGGACACATGAGGTGCTGCTAGACCAAATAACACTATTATGCAGATCAACTTCTACAAATATATTATCTCCAACCTCCACTGGGTCTTCATAAGTGTGTTATTTTTCACCAGCTGTACTCAGCAGCAAGGGTACACATACAGAGGAAGTGGATGTAGAGAGTGAGATTTGCAGTGAGAAAGGGTTGAGGGAGCTTATCTCATGCTTCTAGGCCAGTATTTTTCAAATCCTTTATCACAACTCATCATTGGGTCATTAAATCAATTTAGTGGGTCATGTCCAGTACTTTTTAAAAAATGAAGCTAAATAAAATGGAACAGAAAATAACTGTGAATCACATTTAGCAACTTTTGACTCAGTTAAATACATGCATATATTATATACATATATGCGCTATATATATATGTGCTATATATATACACACCATATATATGTGCTATATATATACACATCATATATATGTATATATGTATATATGGTGTGTGTATATATAGCACATATATATAACACACATATATGTATATATATACATATATAACATATATGGTGTGTATATATGGTGTGTATATATAGCACATATATATGGTGTGTGTATATATAGCACATATATATATGGTGTGTGTATATATATATGGTGTGTGTATATATAGCACATATATATATATACACATACACCCCATATATATATATATGGTAGAATTGTACTTCTTTGTTTTTCTTGAAGTAAGGCATGGCAAGGTAACCTGCTTTGACCAGTGAAAAGTGAGCAGAAGAGCTATGGGGCTTGCTTCAAGAGTCAGTGCACTGTTAGCCACATCTCTTATGCTTTGTCACTGCATTAGGCAATGATATCACTTCTCCATCAGCCTCAGTCCCAAAACAAAGAGACATGGAACACAGCCTTCAGCCAATCCACAATAGATATGTAATATAGGTAACAAATATGTTTATGTTACCATAAACCATTATGATTTGCGGTTTATTTATTACTGCTACATAACTTAGCCTATCCTGCCTGATAGAGAAGTCAAGTCTAGAAGGACATGATTCAAGACAAAAATGGAAGAAACAAAGAACATTTTTACACATAGGTACTCAATATGCCCTGATAGTCTATTAAAAAATAGATGGCAGGTAATTGAGTGCTAACTATATAATACAAGGAAAAGTAGACAGACGGGAAATAGAATTGTTAATAGAAGCCCTGAATTGGGATTCAAGGTGCTCCTTTGAAAGATAAATTGAAAAAAGTGCAGAGGAAAGAAGGCTCATTCAGTGATTGGAAAACAGGATGAGCCAAGGGTAGTAAGAATGGCATTCAGAGTGGAAGCTGAAGGTGAAGGTGGGCACAGAAATGAGACCCAGTCTCTCCAGAACAGATTGTTCATGTTAGAATAGAAGGAAATAAAACTTAAAAAGGAAGGTAAGATCCAATTTTATTTTTTTGTTTTTTAAACCAGAACATTTATTGAGTGACTAATCATTGAAATTCTTTTTTTTTTTTTTTTTTTTTTGAGATGGAGTCTTGCGCTGTTGCCTGGGCTAGAGTGTAGTGGCAAGATCTCAGCTCACTGCAACCTCCGCCTCCTGGGTTCAAGAGATTCTCCTGCCTCCACCTCCTGAGTAGCTGGGATTACAGGCATCCGCCACCACACCGAGCCAATTTTTTGTATTTTTAGTAGAGACAGAGTTTCACCATGTTGGCCAGGCTGGTCTCGAACTCCTGACCTCGTGATTTGCCTGCCTCGGCCTCCCAAAGTCCTGGGATTACAGGCATGAGCCACTGCAACCACCCAAATCATTGAAATTCTTAAGATGAACTGGATGCTGCAACAGCTGCCCTCTTTGGTTTATGTGTTGTTCCTTCATGGAATCAATGCTTGAATCTGAGATATACAATTTTTAGGTGCCTCATCCGACCAGTCCCAGTGCTATTTCGTCTTTTAGCCTTGGCACCCCAGTTACACTTCCTCTTGCGCTTGGCAGGGTAGCCACGTTTGCCACAGGTTGACATCTGAAGGTGGTAGGCCTTGGAGCTGCAGTGGTGGCACAACATGCGCATCTTCTTGTGACGCTTTCCCAACGACATTCCCTTCATCTTGTTGCTTCTGTGGTCGACACCAAAGAGATGGGAAGAGCAGATCCAATTTTAATGGAATCTTCAAAGTTATGCAGAAATGTTTATAATATGTAAAGCCCTTAGTGCAGTGTCTACTCATAATTGAAGGCTTGGCTAATATTAGTTGCTGTTGTGTTGCTGTTATTGTTGATATTGTTGTACAATGAAGAGCCATAGGAGACTTTTAGGAGATGTGCCACAGAAAGCAGTGCTTTATAAACTTATTTGGCTGTTATGCACAGGATGGACTGAAAAAGGAATAACTGAAAATGAGAAAACCAATGAGGCAGTGGTCTAGGAGTAAGGCAATGAAAGAAGAGAAATGAATAAATAAATTCTACTGCAACTAGTATTTTTTTGTCTGTCAGCCATTTCTCCACATGACACCAAGTGGACAGTCATAAAAGCAAAATCTTCCCGTATTAAGAACCAGTGATGCAGGGCCAGTGGCATGCAACTGTAGTCCCAGTTACTTAGGAGGCTGAAGTGGGAGGATTGCTTGAGCCCAGGAGTTCGAGGTCAGTCTAGACAACTTAGAGGAACACCATCTCTTAAAAAAGAAAGAAAGAAAAAAAGAACAACAGAAAGAACCTGTAAAAGTAGGGTTCAGTAATCCTATAAGGCATTTAGGGATTACTACAGCACTCTCCAGGGTGACGTCTATCTCTTGTGCTTTTGTGAAGAGTGAAATTAGGCAGCATAGTTACCATTTATCCAACCCTTAGCCTGCTCCCTTAGACCCTGGACCCTCCAGTGTATCCACAGTAATACCTTGGAGGGCATCTCCATTCTTCAGAAACACTGCCTTTACGAACTCCACCTAATGCCATAGAATCTACCCAGGTGCCAGGTGCCAGGTGGGAATGAAGCCTTCAGCTTCTGAAAAGAAGACAGAGCCAGTCAGTCTCATGGTAACTGTCCCTCCCTCACTTTGATGGGATTGCCTCCACTTCTGCATAGAAGACACGCATTTCGACATGTCTGAGAACTTTAGCCAATGGCACCAAGGCTGACTGGCCTTCTTTCAAAAATTCCTTAGTTGACTTCTACCAAGTGACTATATAGTGCTGCAGGTTAGAGCAAGTAACTTACAAACAGTCCATGTGGTTCTTAATGGCAGTGTTCAGGAAGGTAATCTTGGGAAGATTCTGAAGTGTTTTGTGTCTCAGTTTGTTGCTCTATGTGCCAGGAAAACAATCATAATCACTCACAGGGAGATTTAAGTCTTAACTAATGTTTGCAAAACACCTTGACATCCTCTAATGAAATTGCCACATCTAAATGACATATAATTAGAGGCAGGCTTGTACCTATGATCTTTGAGAAAAGAAACGCACAAAGAAGTAATAATTTGCACATCTATCATTGTTCATTCCATGATCAAATTCTTAACAAATACATATCACCATCCTAACTTTCTGGTTAAGAAAGCAAGTCTTTAATAGTTAAAGCACTTGAAATTACTACATCACCTTCTACTCCTATAGCCAAGGACACATCTGCTTTTACCAGTCCAGCAAATCTGAGATCCAGTCCAACTTATTTAAACACAGCAGGGAGAAAAAAAAATCCCAGACCCAAAAAGGTAAATGACTTGCCCAAGGTCGATCTAAATTTGGCCCCAGAAACTTATTCCAATTTGACAGCTTCAATTTTTAATTTTTCAAAATAGTCTGAATTGACAAGTTAAGTCACCAAAAAATAATTTAAAAAGCAGAAGAAAAAAATTTTTTTTGGTTGGGATATCAGGCTAATGTGAAATAGAAGTTATTCTCTATGCCAACCAGGGTAAGGACTCTTGAAACGTCCTAATTAAGTGGATATGAGCCAATGATTTCTCTTCCAAAATATTTTAGTTTTGCAAGTAATGTCCCTTCCATGTCTGAAAAAGAGCATTTCTAAATGCATAGCAGATTTCTCATATTTTCTCTGGAAGCCTTCCCCAAGCTGTTTCATAATAGGTGACTTGCTACTCAAAGCCATGATGGTCCCACAAAGCAAAACTTTCACAACACATTCCGCTTCTTGGCTCCAAACACTGCCGCATATGGATAGGCCTGGTACCAAGGAATCCTCTTGAAAACTCCCACATTCTTACATTTAAATGCTCAATTTATGCACTCTTCTATCAAAAGAGCTTTGTGAGAGGTGAAGTTATTTTCGTTAATCTCATTTGCTAATCAAAAAATGTGAAAGAACTGTGATTTTTCTCTAAAAATACCATGATTTATAGGCAGCAGCTACTTAGATACTGACGATCATTTTCCTCCAAGGTAAATGTCCTGGCCATCGGTACAATAGTACATTTTACAAGATTCTGGTAAGAATATTCCTAAGAAGGGAATTAAATTATAAGAATATTTACTTCATTTCAGCAGTTTTTAGTTACATTGCCATGTATGAAACTTAAAAACACTAAAGTTATTTATGTATGGTAATGCGGGTAATATCCTACTGTTTAATTATTTTGTTTTTATTTAGTTTTTAGTATAGAAATATATTGAATTAACTAATTCCCATTTTTTTCTAACAGAAAATTATAGTGATTTTTTTTCTTTCTGTTCGGGGAAGGGAGACTCTGGATGGAAAATTGCTCATTCCTAGAGAGGAAAAATTAAGATATTTCTCCCTCGATAATTCACACAATTTTTTTTACTTCATTGAAATAAAGGTAGCATTAATTATAAATACATTTACAGATTCCATTACTCTATACAATTTTTTAAAATCCTGATTAAATGGTATAATAACCCTGAAATATACAATTGGCTCTTTATTGTTTAATCCCTAGGTTGGCAGCACCAACCACCAAGCAGAGTCACAGGCCAGTCACCATAACTTCACGCTCACTGTGAGAAGCATACGTGGAAAGCAGATCTGGTAACAAAAACCAGGCTGGGAATGCATGTGGTTCCTGATGGTGCTTTTCCAGAAAGAGTTGTGTCATAATAGCAGCATTTCTAAGGAGAGAAAATGGAGGAGAAAAGGAATGAAGAAACACCTTTGTTGTTGAGCAACAGTACAAAGAAAAGCTGGGTGCAGTGGCTAATGCCTATAACCCCAGCACTTTGGGAGGCTGAGTAGTGTGGATCACCTGAGGTCAGGAGTTTCAGACCAGCCTGGCCAACATGGCCCATCTCTACTAAAAATACAAAAATTAGCCAGGCGTGATGGCACATGCCTATAATCCCAGCTACTCAGGAGGCTGAGGCAGGAGAATAACTTGAATCCAGGAGGGAGAGGTTCAGCAAGCCGAGATCACATCACTGCACTCCAGCCTGGATGACAGAGCAAGATCCATCTCAAAAAAAAAAAAAAAAAAGAATGCTATGCTATGTAGGGGTATGAGGAACCAAGACTCTGTATAATAGATGGCATAGGGCATAGATGTGCAGCTTTCCTCCCGGGAACTTCACAGACCTCTGCCTCTCCCCATTGACCATATGGGTATTACACACTTATGCCTGGGTACAAACTCCTGTTCCACACCTACATGCTTTGTGACCTTGCTAAGCTATGTTACTCCTCTCTACCTCAGTGTTCTCATGTGTACAGTGGGGTTATTATGACTTACTTCATAGTGTTAATGTGATGATTAAATAAAGTCATATATGCAAAACATTTATAGAGTACTACCCAACATGTTAATAAGGACTTTATGTTTTAGCCATGTGTATTATTACTAACATTTCTACTTAAAAACTAAACTAAGTCCAACTAAAGTGTCTTTATAGATGAAGAGAAACTAGTTGTTGGCCTACCAAATATAATTATTGATGTCATTTCTATGCATATATGACATTTATCCTTCTAACCACTTCGACCACATTCTCAACTGTTAGGAGATCACTCAGAGAACACAAACATGTCAGACACAGACACAGACATAAATAAAACACAAGGCATCTATGATCAGTACATGACTGAGAGTCACACAGAATGCTGGTGATGCAGAAAAGAGACAGCAATTCTGTCTAATGGGGAGGAGTCAAGGAACACTTCACAGAGGAAGTGACATTTCAGCTAAATCTTAAAGCCACACAGTGTTTGAAGGGGAGAGAAGTTGCAAGGCAAGAGTCTACTGCAGGACATGGGAACAGATAGCCTGCTGTGAAAGGAGCAAGAAAGGAGGGAAAGGAAATGAGAAGAAATGAGCCTAGAAAGCTGGCCCATATTATAAAGAACTGTGTGAGACAGGCAAATGTGATGAGGAATGATGGTTAATTTTACGTGTTAATTTGACTGGTCCACAGGGGGCCCAGACATTTGGTCAAACTGATTCTAGGTGTATGTCTGTGAGGGTGTTTCTGGATGAGATTAACATTTGTTTGTTTGTTTGTTTGTTTTTGTGAGATGGAGTCTCGCTCTGTCACCCAGGCTGCAGTGCGATGGCACGATCTCAGCTCACTGCAACTTCCGCCACCTGGGTTCAAGCAATTCTCCTGCCTCAGCCTCCCAAGTAGCTGGGATTACAGGCACCCACCAGGCCTGCTAATTTTTTTGTATTTTTAGTAGAGGCGGGGTTTCACCACATTGGCCAGGCTGGTTTTGAACTCCTGGCCTCAAGTGATCCGCCCGCCTCGGCCTTGCAAAGTGCTAGGATTATAGGTGTGAGCCACCGCGCCCAGCCGGAGATTAACATTTGAATCAGTAAACTGAGTAAAGCAGACCAGCCTTCCCAACAGGAGTGGGTCTCATCTAACCCACTGAAGGCCTGAATAGAACAAAAAGGCTGACCCTGAAGTGAATAAGGGGGAATTCTTCCTCCCTAACTGCCTGCAAGCTGGGACATCATTTTATTCCTGCCTTCAGACTCAAATTGAAACATCGACTCTTCTTGGATCTTGAGCATGCTGGTATTTGCACTGGAACTACAAAATCAGCTCTCCTGGGCCTCCAGTGTACTGGCCACAGATCTCAGTTTGTCTTAGCCTTCATAATCACTTGAGCTAATTCCTCATAATCAATCTCTTTATGTGAATATATATTATGTATATGTAAATATGTAAATATATATGCACACATAGGAGATATATATATATATAGATATATATATAGAGATATATATAGAGAGAGATATATATATAGATATATATAGAGAGAGATATATATATAGATATATATATATATCCTATTCAGTCTACTTCTCTACAGTACCCCAATACATGGGGGGAAATTTTCAAATGTCTCTATCCATGGTGTCTCCCTCAGTTGCCTTTTGAGGACAATTCTGTGACTGCACATGGATGATTTTATGTGTTGCCAGGGCTAATAGGTAAAGCTCCAAAATTAAGGAAGAGAAAAGGGAGCAGAATGATTTACCAAAGTGGCAGCATAAGCTTCTCTTGAAGAAAAGACTCAACTAAAAGGCAGCAGAAAGAGGATGAAAGAGAGGTGGGCAGTGTTTTGAGGAGCAGTTAAGTAAAAGAGATGAGGGGGAAAATGTAGCTTAGTGTGTGACTTGAGAGAGAAAGCTATGCAGAAGGATTTGGGGGATGTTTTGCTGGGAGCTATGGGGGAAGAATTTGCCAAGGAATTCACTCTGTGCCCAGAAGGCTCCAATAAACCCCAATACAGCTGTTTGAAGTTAGATTTATGTTTTTTGAGGTGAATTACCATGCTGAGGGAGCACTTAAGGGAGGAACTGAAAGACACAGTTTTATATGAGTTGTTCAAATAACACCTTTGAATTGTTCAAAATAAGCCCTTCAGAAAAGGTAAAAATATTATATTTAGAAAAGCCTACTCTTCACCAAAAAAACAACTAGAACTGATAAACAAATTCAGGAAAGTTACAGGATATAAAGTCAACGTACAAAAATTAGTAGCATTTCTATATGCCAACAGTGAACAATCTGAGAAAGAAACCAAGAAAGTAATCCCATTTACAATAGCTACAAATAAAATAAAATACCTAGGAATAAACTTAGCCAAAGAAGTGAAAGATCTCTACAATAAAAACTATAAAACATTGATGAAAGAAATTGAAGAGGACACAAAAAATGGAAAGATGTTCCGTATTCAAGGATTTGAGGACTCAATACTGTTAAAATGTCAATACTACTCAAAGCAATCTACAGATTCAATGCAATCCCTAGCAAAATACCAATGACATTCTTCACAGAAATAGAAGAAATAATCCTAAGAGTTATATGGAGCCACAAAGTATGGCTCCAGATCTGGAGTCAGAATAGCCAAAGCAATCCTGAGCGAAAAGAACAAAGCTGGAGGCATCATATTGCCTGATTTCAAATTATACTACAAACCTATAGTAACCAAAACAGCCTGGCACTGGCATAAAAACAGGTATATAGACCAATGGAACAGAGTAGAGAACCCAGAAATAAATCCATGCATTTACTATTGCAATGAATTTGTATTTATTTGCACTATTTTCTCTAATCCTGAGTGAAAATCAAAAGGCATGTTGATGACCACCAACTATATTCTGTGAATGATATTGTGCTATTTGAATTACAACCTCTTTTATTTGCCTAGGCGATGCTCCATCAATACTTACCCCAAAACAAATTTTCCTGTATTTGTGTTCTACTGCTATGTGACAAATTACCACAAATTTAGTGGCTTAAAAAACCACACACATTCACTAGTCCTATAAGACAGTTAAAAAAAAACCCCACTTATTATCTTGTAGTTTCCATGGGTCAGGAGTTTAGGCAGAGCTTGTGTGGATCCTCTGCTCAGGGACTCACAGGCTACATTCTCATCTGGAGGCTTGACTTGGGGAAGAATCCATTTCCCAGCTCTTCCAGTTGTTGGTAGACTTCATTTCCTTGTGACTGTATGACTGAGGGCACTGACTTTTTGCTGGCAATTGACTGGGGGTCCGTTTCAGGTCCTAGAGGCTGCCTAAAGGTCTTTGACACATGAGCTTTCTCAATGTGGCTGTTTATTCATCCAGCAAGGAGAATCTCTAGTTCCAGTCTACTAAGATGGAGTCTGATATAATGTAAGATAATTACAGGATGATGTCCCATCATCTTTACAACATAGCATAACCTAATCACTGGAATAACATTCCATCATCTTTTTACATTTTGTTGGAAGCAAGCCATAAGTCCTGCCTACCCTTAAGGGGAGGAGATTACACAAGAGTGTGAACACTAGGAGATGGGAATCTTTGGGGCTCACCTTGGCATCTATCTGACACTAACCTTATTATGCCATACAAATTGTCAACTAAATGAAAACTTTTCTATAGCAAGGGTTCATATAAAAGGCCTTAAACATTTCTCACTCATATAGATACATAGCTAGATAGACAGATACAGAAATACATAGGCACACACACACACATACCATACACATACTATCACAGAGCTTGAGAGAACCGTGTATGAAGTTAGACACCTGGTGTCTCCAATATCTGTAATAACTACTTCAAGACTTAGTGGCTTAAAACAATCACAATCTTATCTTGCTCATGAGTCTATGGGTCAGTATTTGGAGAGGGCACAGCAAAGTAGGCTAGCTTATCTCCTTTCTACCAGATGTCTGTGGGGCCAGGATGCCCAAGAAGGTATCTTTACTTGCAAGTCTGCAGCCTCAGCTAGGATAGCTGAAATGGCTGGGGACTTGCTGAAACAGCAAACCGGGGTCATCCTTGAGGGGCCTTGGTTCTTGTTGGCTGAAGTTCTCAGTTCCTACAATTTCAGTGCATTTCCCTGTCCATGTGGCCTCTCCACATAATCTCACTATAGGGTCTCTCCAGCAAGGGAGCTGGACATTTTACATGGCAGCTAGACTCCTAGAGGCAGAAAACAGAAGTAGACAGTTATCTTAAGGCCTAGGCTTGAAAGTCCCAGAAAGTCAGTTCTACCACATTCTGTTGGTCAAAGACAATCTTTATGTTTCCATTGTCTCTTTCACGTCTTCTTATACTGTCTTGGTAAGAAGACAACGCAATGTAGAATACAAGTGGTAGCAATGTGCATACTTGTCTCATTTCTGATTTTAAAGGAACTACAAATGTTTCCCCATTTAACATGACGTTTGCACTAGGTATTTAATAAATATTTTTATCAGGATAAAGAAGTTATCTTCCATTTCTATTTTCTAAGTGTTTATTTTTAATGATGAAGGCTTTTTCTTCAAGCTTTGATATGATCAAATGGATTTTTCTCTTTTAATGTATAATGGATTTTCTAATATTAAACCATCCTTGCATATCTAAAATAAATCCAACTTGATTACTATGTGCTATTTTTGATACAATGTTTGATTCAATTTGCTAATATTTAAGATTATTGTATTCATATTCACCAGCAAAATGAGCCTATAATTTTTCTTTCTCATAATGTATTCCTGGTTTTGTTTTGAAAGTTATGCTAGCTTTATAGAACAAATTGGGCAGTATCCTTTCTTCTTCTATTCTATAAAATAACAAATATTTTAACTGTTCTTTAAAAAACTCATAGAAATTTTCTGCAAAACTATCAATGTTTTCTCTGTGGAAAGATGTTTCTAATTGACAAAAATTGTATATATTTAGAGTGTAAAACATGATATTTTGATTATGTATACATGTGGAACGGCTAAATCAAGCTAATTAACATATCCATTACATTCCTCACATACTGCTATGATTTGAATGTATGTGGCCCTCCAAAAGTACATATGTAGGAACTTAAACTTTAAGGTGATGGTATTAAGAGATGGGGCCTCTGAAAAAGTGATTAAGTCGTAAGTACTCCACCCTCATGAATGGATAATAAAAGAAGTTTCAGAGCACTGCCTGGCCCTTCCATTTCTTCTGCTATGTGAGAACACAGCATTCATCCCTGGTGATTAGTGATGTTGAGCATTTTTTTTTTCTTGAGATGAAGTCTAGCTCTGTTGCCCAGGCTGGAATGCAATGGCGTGATCTCACTCACTGCAACCTCTGCCTCCTGGGTTCAAGCAATTATCCTGCCTTAGCCTCCCAAGTAGCTGGGATTACAGGCGCATACCACCATGCCCGGTTAATTTTTGTATTTTTAGTAGAGACGGGGTTTTACCATGTTGGCCAGGCTGGTCTCAAACTCCTGACCTTAGGTGATCCACCCACCACAGCCTCCAAAAGTGCTGGGATTACAGGTGCATTTTTTTCTCATATACCTGCTCAGCATTTCTATGTCTTCTTTGGAGAAATGTCTATGCAGATCCTTTGCCCATATTTTTAGTTGGGTTATTCATTTCTATGGGAAGATTTTAACTACTGTTTCAATTACTTCATTACTGCAATAGTTTAAGACTATTCAAGTCTTTCATTTCTTCTAGTAAATTATATTTTTTCTAGGGTTTTATCCTTTTAATCTAAATTTGTAAAACCATTGGCATAGAGTTGTTGATAGTATTCTGCTATGTTTAAATTTCTACTTTATCTTATTTATGTTCCTCTTTTTATTCATAAAATTGGTTATAGCTTCTTCCTTCTCTTGATAAATCTTGTCAGCAATTTATATTGTTAGTTGTTTTGAAAACTTAACTTTTGTCTTTGTTGGCCTCTATTTAATCTTTGCTTTATATTTCACTTTTATTGTATTTTCCTTCTGTATTCTGTAGGTGTATTTTCTTTTTCATTCACCAATATCTTAAAATGGGCATTAATCTCATTAATTTCAAGTCTTTATAAATTTCCTAGAAGCACAATTTTTCTTGCATCCCGCAGGCTTCTACATAGTAATTATTATTCACTTCTAGGGTTTTTAAATTTATGCTTTTTAAGAAAACTATGAGTTACTCAGCAAATTGTGTTTTATAGATTTTGAAATAGGCAGTATTAAGTTTTTTATGTTTTTGTAACTAATTTCTAACCTAGCTGCATTGTGGTCAGAGATTATCAGTGTATGTAATAGCTAACCTCTGAAATTTACTGAGGCTTTCTTAATGGTCTAGTGCATGAATAATTTTTGAAGATATTTCAAAAGTGCTTGATAATTGTTGGATACAGAACTCTGTATTCATGCATTAGATTAAGCTTATTAATTGTGCTGTCTAGTTTTTCTTTTTCTTTTTTTTTTTTTTGAGACCAAGTCTTGCTCTGTCACCCAGGCTGGAGTGCAGTGGTGCAATCTCAGCTCACTGCAACCTCCACCTCCCACGTTTAAGCAATTCCCATGTCTCAGCCTCCCAAGCAACTGGGACTACAGGTGCACGCCACCATACCTGGCTAATTTTTTGTATTTTTAGTAGTCATGAGGTTTCACCACGTTGGCGAGGCTGGTCTCGAGCTCCTAGCCTCAAGAGATCTGCCCACCTTGGCCTCCCAAAGTGCTGGGATTACAGGCATGAGCCATCGCACCTGGCCCAGTTTTTCTATATCTTTGCTGCTCTTTGTCTGCTTGGTCTAACCACAAGTAAGAGCAGTTACTTGAAATCTCCCATAGTAACAGAGTAACCATGGATTTACATATATCCATTTCTTTCTACAGAATGCTTAATATATTTTGAGGCTGTTTTATTCAGTGCATACATGCATTAAATCATTATATATTCAGTATATAATGACCCTCTGCAACCCTAATAATATTTTTTATCTTCAAGTACATTTTATTTTATAGTAATATAGGCCAATAGTTTTCTTTTTGCTTTGCCCAATTTGTCTTTATTCATCTTTTTGCTTCCAAATTTTGTGTCGTTATTTTAAGATGTGTCCCTTATATGTCTGGATTTGTTGAAATACAACCTGTCTTTGTCTTTTAAGTATAAACTTAGTCCATTTTTAGTTATTGTTATTATTATTGATATATTTTGACCTGTTTTTACCACTTGAATTTGTTACTTTAGACTGTTCCTTTATTTTTTATTTTTTCTTTTAAAAAAAATAAAAACTAGCCAGGTGTGGCGACTCACTCTTGTAATCCCAACAATTTGGGAGGCTGAGGTGGGCGGATCATTTGAGTTCAGGAGTTCAAGACCAGCCTGACCAACATGGTGAAACCCCATCTCTACCTAAAAAAAAAAAAAAAAAAAAAAATCCAAAAATTAGCCAGGCATGGTGGCGAGTATCTGTAGTCCCAGCTACCTGGGAGGATGAGGCATGAGAATTGCTTGAACCCAGGAGGAGGAGGAGGTTGCAGTGAGCCGAGATTGCGCCACTGTACTCCAGCCTGAATAACAGAGCAAGACTTCATCTCAAACAAACAAAAAAAAGAAAAAGAAAAAGAAAAAACTAAACTACCCATCTGTCCCCCTTCATAAGAAAAGAAATTTAGGCTGGGCATGATGGCTCATGCCTGTAATCTCAGTACTTTGAAAGGCCACAGTGGGCGGATCACTTGAACCCAGGAGTTCAAGACCAGCCTGGCCAACATGGTGAAACCTTGTCTCTAGTTAAAAACCAACCAACAAACAAACAAACAAACAAAAAATAGCCAGGCATGGTGGCCGGTGCTTGTAGTCTCAGCTACTTGGGAAGCTGAGGCATGAGAATTGCTTGAACCCAGGAAGAGGAGGTTTCAGTGAGCTGAGATCACGCCACTGCACTACAGCCTGCATCACAGAGGGAGCCTCTGCCTCAAAAAAAAAAAAGAAAGAAAGAAAAGAAAAACAAAAACTAAACTACCCACCTGTCCCCCTTCATAAAAAAAGAAATTTAGGCTGGGCATGGTGGCTCATGCCTGTAATCCCAGTACTTTGGGAGGCCAGGATGGGCATATCACTTGAGCCCAGGAGTTCAAGACTAGCCTGGGCAACATGGTGAAACCCCATCTCTACAAAAAATACAAAACTTAGCCTGGCCCAGTGGTAGTGTGTGCCTGTAGTCCCAGCTACTCAGGAGGCTGAGGTGGGAAGATTACCTGAGCCGGGGGGCGGAGGGTAGGGGGGGTGTCAAGAATTTCAGAATTAAGTCATCACATTCTCCATTCTCTTTCCACATTTCTCCCTGCCCCCACCAAAAATAAAGAAAGACTCTGTCAGGGTTTCAACTAAAATTGCTCTGAATTTTTACATTAATTTGGGGAGAATTATCAGCTTTGTATTCTGAGTCTTTCCGTTCAAGAACATGATATATGTTTCCATTTATTTAGATGCCTATTAATGCCCTTCAGTAATGCTTCACAGTCTTTTTTCTTTTCTTTTTCTTCTTTTCTTTTTTTTTTTCTGAGACGGAGTTTCGCTCCTTTTGCCCAGGCTGCAGTGCAATGGCATGATCTCAGCTCACTGCAACCTCCGCCTCCTGGGTTCAAGCGATTCTCCTGCCTCAGTCTCCCGAGTAGCTGGATTTACAAGCGCACACCACCAAGCCCGGCTAATTTTGTATTTTTAGTAGAGGCGGGGTTTCACCATGTTGGGCAGGCTGGTCTTGAACTCCTGATCTCAAGTGATCCGCCTGCCTCAGCCTCCCAAAGTGTTAGGATTACAGGCGTGAGCCACCGCTCCCAGCCTGCTTCATAGTCTTTTTCATACAAATCATACATATCTTTTGTTAGATTTATTCTTACATATCTTATGCTTGTGTTGCTGTTGTAAGTGGCATCATTTTTTAATTATACATTGTCTAGCCATTTGTTTAGGTTTAGAAATGCAATTGACATTTGTACATTAATCTTATATGTCATATCAGCAATCTTGCTGAACCATAAAATTGATTATAATTTTACGATTGTTTTTCTATAAATTTTCTTAGGCTATCTATTTAGACAATCATATTGTATGCAAATGTTGACAATATTTCTTTCCTTTCTAGTTCTTTCTCTTATCTAACCGCATTAGCTGGAATCTCCAGTATAATGTTAAATAGATGTAATAAGAGCAAGTATACTTGTTTCATTCTTACTTTAAAGTGAATGGTACTATTAGGTTGGTGCAAAAGTAAAAGTAATGGCAAAAACAGCAATTACTTTTGCAGCAACATAAATAATATTCACCATTAGGTATTATGTTTGCTGTAGGTTTTTGGTAGTCACCCTTTTTCCAGTTAAGAAAGTTTTCTTTTATTTCTAATTTATTCTAAGTTTTTATTATGAATGGGGATTGAGCATAATCGAGTATTTTTTCTATATCTATTGAAAAAATTATATTAATTTTCTCATTCAATATTTCTAAGAGGTCAATTATATTACCTTTTATGAACACCGATGTTCAACTATCTTTTTCTTTCTGAGATTAACCCAACTTATCATGATATCTATGATAATCTAAATCAATTGCCTATTATTGTCTTTTTTTCACAGTGTTTGTCTCACAATGTCCTGTGGTTAAACTCAATACTAGGTGGGGAATAGTTTTTTTTAAATGTTGTTTGAAGAGTCTCTGTAAGTTTGGAATTATCTGTTCCTTCAATGCTTGGTAAAATACTATGAAAAGTGACCTAGGTCTCATGTTGTTTCTGTGTGGGTAGAGGAAGGACAGAAAGAATAGATTGTTAATCACCGATTCAATTTCTTTAACACTACTTCTTCGATACGCTTCCATCTTTTTACTTCTTCTTGAATTTATACTGGCAAGTGATATGTTTCTAGGAAGTTGTCTATTTCATCTATATTTTCAAGTTCATTGGTAGAAAGTCCTTTGTAGTTTTCACTTATCTTTAATTTCTGCTGAATGTGCACTTTTTTTTATTTCTAACACTGTTTATTTATTTATTTTTCTCTTGTTTCTTATCAGTCTGCTGGAGGTTTGTCTATTTTATTAGTCTTTCCAAAGAACTTCATCTTTATTTTTTCTATTTCATTAATGTCTACTTTTATCTTTATTTCTCTTCTCATCTTTTCTTTGGATTTATCCTGTTGATCATTTGCTATCTTAGGTTGGATGCTTAGCTTACTAATTTTCAGCTTTCCTTTTTTTCTGATGTAAACATTCGAAAATAGAAATTTCCCTCTGTTTTGCTATATTTCATGAATTTCAATTTGGTATTTGTATGGGTAGTTCTAAGCATTTACAAATTTTAATTGTGCCTATATTTATATTCATAAATTATTTAGTAAAGTTCTTTTAAATTTCCAAATATATGAGTTTTACATGAGTTTAATTTTAACTTTTCATTGAAGAATAATATGCATATACAAAAAAACATAAACACACAGCTCAAAGAATTTTCACAAATGAAATAAAACTATGTCACCAACATCCAGATCAAGAAGGAGAACTTTGCCAGCACTCCAGAAGCCACTCATATGCTTTCTTCTAATCACTGTCCCTTCCCAAGAGTAAGCACTCCCCTGACTTCCAACAGCATAGATCTGCCTGCTTTTGTATTTCATATGAATGGAATCATACAATATGTAGGCTGTCTTGTCTGGCCTCTTTTGCTCAGCCTTAAATTTTGGGATTCATACATATTGCTGCATGTAACTATAATATGTTAATTGTCATTGCTGCAGAGTCATTCACTTTATTAATGCACCACAATTTCTTTATCCATTCTACTGTTAATGGACATCTGGTCAGTTTCCAGTTCAGGCTATTCTAAATAGTGCTGCTGTTAAAATTGTAGTACATATTTTTTGTTGAACATATGCATACCATTTCCACTAGTGTAAATGAATTATTGGGTCATAGGTTATATGTATATTCAGCTTTAGTTGATATGGTCAAACATTTTTTACAAAGTGATTGGACCAATTTATACTCCCACTAAGAAGGTTATTTTTGTAGTTGACTTCTAACTTAATTGCATTATACTCAGCAAATGTGATCAATATATTATCAGTTCTTTGAAATTTATTGAGACTTGCTTGATGTTAAATTTTCCACAATCTTCCATGTGTGCTTGAGGACTCCTTTCCCACCAACCTCTTTCATGTCTAGTTTATCCTTCCCATATTTCTTTTGCACAAATGAGCAGATTCACATATATTTTCTTATATCTCTTTTTCTTACATAAATGTCTACCACCATATGTTTCAAGAATTTTCAAGATGTTCTATTTTTATAAGCTGCTTTTTTCATTACTTTTACGTCTGATTTTGGATTAACTAGGGACTTTTCCCTCTCACTGTGATGAGAAAAGTATAACCTCTATATCTGTATTTTTAGTAATTATGCTTCTATTTTTAACTCTCATACTTGGTTCATGTCTAAAGGTAATTCACATGTCAACTTTTCTCTAAACAATTCCAGGAACTTCATAATCTCAAAAAAAATGTTTATTGATTGCCTGCTATTTGTTAAGGACTGTTCTATGCACTTTACTTATAACAAGTCACTTAAGGTCTCAGAAGTTAAGAAATTTGCCAGGGTTTCAAAGATATCAATTCACGAGACTGAGATTCAAGCCCAGGAAGTCTAGTTTCATATTCTGTTACCTTGAAAACTATAATTAACCTGAAATGTGAGTTAGGATCCTCTCTTCTCATGTTACACATTATTCTCGTCTAGTATTTTTATTCAGTTTTTTTCTTTGCTCACAATTTCTTATCACATCTCACACTTTTCTTTTGAGAACAGCTTTCTTGTTCCTGAAGTACATCCTTTTAGAAGTACCTTTAGTGAGGATCTGTTGAAGGTAAAAAATTCTCAGTATTTATCAGTCAGCAAGCATATTTATTTTACGATAGCTGAGCTGAGATTAACAGTTATGTTCTCTCACAATTTTGAATATATCATTCCATTGCCTTTTATTTTCTATGTCACTGATGAGAATTCTCTCACTGTAATTATCATACCCTTTGCAAGTAAATTGGCTTTTCATTTTTCTTGCTTTTGTAAACTTCTTTTAGTCTTCAGTGTTATACAGCTGCACCAAGATATAACCGATTGTGAATTGCTTTCTGGAAATGTTGCTTGGAATTCATTATATCTCCTAAATCTGAAGATTTATGTCTTCATCAATTCTGAAAAATCTTTACACAGAATCTCTTTGAATAATATCTCTCCCATTCTCTCTATTCTTCCCTTTTGGAACTCTAATTAAATGGATGTTAGACCTTCTTATCCTATTCTTATTAATGAATATTTGTGATGGTTAATTTTATGTGTCAACTGTACTGAGTTATGAGGTGACCAAATACTTGGTTAAACACTATTGATCTTCTCCTGTCCTTGGACTAGGACTTACACTCCTGGTTCTCAGGCCGTCAGAATTAGACTAGAACTCACATCATGGGTTCTCCTGATTCTCAGGCCTTTGGACTTGGACAGGAAGCACGTCACCAGCTTTCTGGGTCTCCAGCTTGCAGATGGCAGATTATAGGACTTCTCAGCCTCTATAATCATGTGAGCAATTCCTTGTAATAATCTCTTTACATATATATATATATGAATATATATGGTTTTGTTTCTCTGTGGTTCTTTTTCTCTACAGAATCCTGAACAATACAGATTAGGTACAAAATTAGGCTTTATTATTGTTTTAGTCAATGTTAGTTTCAGTGAAATAATGTTTCATTTATGCTTCATATTTTAAAAACTCATTTGTATCTACTTTCCTCTAATATGCATGCATACAGACATGGTCTATTGATTTGTTGATATTTTCTGTATTAATTTTAAGGACTTTTATATACTAAAAAAATTAGCCAGCTGAGTGCAGTAGCTCATGCCTGTAATCCCAGCACTTTGGGAGGCTGAGGCAGACAGATCGCTTGAGCCCAGGAGTTTGAGAGCAGCCTGGGCAACATGAGGAAACCCTGTCTCTACAAAAACATTAAAAATTAGACAGGAGTGGTAGCATGCACCTGTAGTCCCAGCTACTTGGGAGGCTGAGGTGGGAGGATCACTTGAACCCAGGGGGTTGATTCTGCAGTGAGCCATGATCATGCCACTGCACTCCAGCCTGGGTGGCAGGGCAAAACTCTGTCTCAAAAAATAAAAAATAAAATGCTGCATCAGTTAGATATCGTAGAGAAATGGCCACTCCAGGGCAACCAGATGACCTTGTATGTATTTACCTAGGCTCTGCAGGAAAAGAACTAAACCACAGCCAATCTGTGTCTTGGCTCAGCAAGGAAGAACACTTTGTGACCCTCCCAGAGAATAAGAGCATGGGAGGCTTGTGAAGGTCTGCTCCAATTCTATCTTCTAATTACTTCCCTATCTCCCCTGAGAAGCTGTTGTGAGACAGGTTCTCATTGCCTCCTGGATTCTGATGATGTTCAAGTCTTTCTGCTTCGCCCTTCCACCTCGGAATAGAGCTGCAGAATATAAATCCACTTGGCTGCAGTTTAGAATTGGCTTCTTTTTCAGTGGGATATCCCATAAATCTCTGGTCCCTTTTGTTTTGGTGTTGTCCATTTTTTTTTTTGGTGGGTGGGACAAGGACCATGGAGGAGCTTTCACCCTTTCCCTGTCTATGTAAGTAATAAACTGACTGAATATAGAAGTAGTACATTGTATCCTTATGACCAAATCATTCAGCTCTTGGCCTTGCCTTCTCTTGCATATGCTTCACAGATATCTACAAACAAAAAAAGCAAAAGTTGATCCCTGCTTCACACCATACATAGAGTCAATTTGTGATGAACTATAAACCTAAATGACAAAGATAAAATAATAGAATTTCTAATTTCTTAAGACTTCTTCTTTGACCTCTGCGTTATAAAGCATTGTTTAATATTTTGGAATTTTTTTGTTATTGATTTCTGGTTTAATTCCATCATGGTCTGATATACTTTGTATCATTTCTATTCTTTTACATATCATATACTTTGTATCATTTCTAATTACATACTTTATATCATTTCTATTCTTTTAAGTTTAATTTAAGTATATATTATATACTTTGTATATTATATACAAATATATAAATATTATTATATATATTATTATATTATGTATAATATATATAATATAATATTATATATAATATAATATAATATATAATATTATATGTAATATAATATAATATTATATATAATATATATAATATATTATATGTAATATATATATTATATATATTATATATAATATATAATATATAATATCATATAATATATATATATTACATATAATATATTATATATAATATAATATATAATATATATATTATATATAATATAATATAATATATGTAATATATAATATAACATAATATATAATATATAATATAATATATATTATATTATATATATAATATATTATATATATTACATAATATATATTATATTATATATAATATTATAATATATATATTATACATAATATATTTGTATATTATATATATAAATATATATACACAAAGTATATTATATATTATAATAATATAATATAATATATTATTATAATATATATAATATAATATTATAATAATATATTATATATAATATTATATTATAATATATAATATAATATTATATATAATATTATATATTATAATATATAATATTATATATAATATTATATATTATAATATATAATATTATATATAATATTATATATTATAATATATAATATAATATATATATTATATATAATATACTTTGTGTATATATATTTATATATATAATATACAAATAATATATAATACACTTTGTATCATTTCTATTATTTTAAGTTTATTCAAGTATGATTTAAGGTCCAGAATATGGTTTGTCTTGGCAAATATTCCATTAGCTTGAGAAGAATGTGTATTTTGCTGTTGTTAAATGAAGTACTATATAAATGTCAATATTAGATCAAATTGACTGATGACACTGTTCAGCTCAACTATATTCTTACTGATTTTTTTGCCTGTGTGAACAATCAGTTACTGAAGGAGAGGTATTGAGGTCTCCAACCAGAAGAGTGGAGAGGAAGTGCTCTATAGCCCTATGATTAAGTCTTTCAAGGAGCCTGTGTCCCCAGGCTGTAATCTCTTTTCTTCCCCTTAGGTGACACAGAAAGACTAGAGGAGGTTGGAGGTGGAGAATTTCCCTTCCCTCACGTCAGATAAGGCTCTGGTACCCTTTTCTGTTGCTGAGTAGGCCTCTGTTATGGGGAACACTCTGGGTGTATTTCAGCATGTTTGCTTTTCCCTTCTGCCTGCCAGAAACATGAAGAATTTGCTTGGCTTTTTACTGTAAGAATCTGGTGGAATTCCTGGAGGTAAAACTCCTAAAAGGAGACTTCCTAAGAGTGCAATTCTCAGAAGTTTCTCACTTCCAAGCTAGTTCAGACTCAGCCTACAACAATTAATCAAAGTTACTACTTATGCATTCTTACTGGTTGAATGACTCCAGCAGTTTTTAATTTCAGCAAGCTGATCCCAGCTATGATTTTCTGTATTAATCTGTCACTCCAGATTTTGGGGTGCTGGTTTGTCCTGTGACCTCAATTCTCTGACAGAAAAAATAAGAAAAGTAATTGATTTTCAGTTTGTTCAATTTTCATCCTTGTTGTAAGGACAGGAATAATAACTTCCAAGCTCCTTACATGTTGGAGCTGAAACAAGAAATTCTAACAATAGAGCTTCTAAGTCAAGAAGATAACATTGCAAAGAAATCTCATGTCCATGGATAGGCAAAGGTTTCTTTTTTTTTTTTTTTTTTTTTTTTTTGAGACGGAGTCCCGCTCTGTCGCCCAGGCTGGAGTGCAGTGGCGCTATCTCAGCTCACTGCAAGCTCTGCCTCCCAGGTTCATGCCATTCTCCTGCCTTAGCCTCCCGAGTGGCTGGGACTACAGGCGCCCACCACCACGTCCGGCTAATTTTTTGTATTTTTAGTAAAGATGGGGTTTCACCATGTTAGCCAGGATGGTCTCGATCTCCTGACCTCGTGATCCGCCTGCCTTGGCCTCCCAAAGTGCTGGGATTACAGGCGTGAGCCACCACGCCCTGCCCAAAGATTTCTTAAACTGGACAAAAAGCAGTTTAAGTTTAAGATGAGTCAGATTTTGTTAAAATTTGAAACTTCTGTTTATCAAAAGAACCATCAGAAGAGTGAAAAGTCACAAGCCACAGAATGGAAGCATACACAGTCATGCATCACATAATGACGTTTTGGTCAATAACAGGCCACGTATACAACTGTGGTTCCATTAGATAATAAGACCATATTTTCACTGTACTTTTTCTATGTTGCTATGTTTAGGTACATAAATACTTGCCACTGTGTTACAATTGCCTGAAGTATTCAGTAGTGTAACATGCTGTATAGGATTGTAGCCTAGGAGAATAGGCTATACTGTATAGCCTAGGTGTGTAGTAGGCTACACCATCCAGGTTGACGTACGTATATGCAGTCAGTGATGTTCACACAACGATGAAATTTCCTAAGAGAGACATTTCTCAGAATGTATCCCCATCGTTAGGCAACACAAGACTGTATTTATGATACATATATCTGACAAGGAACTCATAGCCACTCCCATAAATAAGAACAAGACAAAATCAAAAACATAGCCAAAAGATTTGTACAAGCGCTTCATAAAAGAGGCTATCCAAATGACCAATAAGCATATGAAGGCCAGGCATGGTGGTTCACGCCTATAATCCCAACACTTTGAGAAGCCAAGGAGAAAGGATAGTTTGAGGAGTTTTGAGACAAGCCTGGGCAACATAGAGAGACCCCCATCTATGTTTTTTTAAACGGAATCTCGCTCTGTCTCCCAGGCTGGAATGCAGTGGTGCAATCTCAGCTCACTGCAACCTCCATCTCCCGGGTTCAAGCAATTCTCTTGCCTCAGCCTCCCGAGTAGCTGGGATTACAGGCATGTGCCACCACACCCAGTTAATTTTTATATTTTTAGTAGAGACGGGGTTTCTTCATGTTCGCCAGGCTGGTCTCAAACTCCTGACCTCAGGTGATCTGCCTGCCTCAGCTTCCCAAAGTGCTGGGATTACAGGTGTGAGCCACCGTGCCAGCCAAAAAAAGTTGTTTTAATCAAGCAGTCATGGTGGTATGTGCCTGTAGTCCCAGTTACTCAGGGGGCTGAGGCTGGAGGATTCCTTGAGCCTGGAGGTTGAGGCTGCAGTAAGCTATGATCACACTACTGCACTCCAGCCTGGGTGACAGAGTGAGACTCTGTCTCTAAAAAATAAAATAAAATAAGCATATAAAAAGGTACTTAATATCATTACTCATCAGAGAAATGTGAAATAAAACCTCTATGAGATACCACTGCACACTCACTAAAATGGTTGGTTTTTAAAAAACTAACAATACCAAATACTGGAGAAGATATGGAACAACGCAAGAACTTTTACATATTGCTAGTAGGAGTGTAAATGGGTACAACCATTTTGGAAAACTGTTTGGCAGTATGTACTACAGCAGAGCATTCAAATACCCTATTTTCCATCAGTTTAACTCTTGCAATTCATTGATATGTGTGCGCCAAAAGACATGTACAAGGAAGTTAATAGCAGAATTACTCACAATAGCCAAAAACTGGAAACAACTTAGATGTTCTTTAATAGTAGAAAAGATAAATAAATTGCACTCTATTCAATGGACTAATAAAATATAGTAAAGAAGAAGGACAAACTACAGTTATACACGCAAAGAAACTTGATGAATTCCACAGACATAAGGATGATTACAATAGAGTGCCTACTGTATGATTGCATTTCTATAAAGAACAAAACCATCAAAAGTTAACCTACGGTGACAGAAGTCAAAATAGTGTCTGCCCTTTGTAAGGGTGAGTAATGACTGGAAGGGAACAAAAAGGTGGCTTGTAGGGTGCTGGTAATGTGTTAATTATATTTTGATCTAGGTAGTCATTAGTGGGATATGTTCACTTTGTAAAAATTCATTAAACTGTCTCACTATTGGTGCAATTCCCTGTATATATGTTATTCTTCAATAAAAAATGTTTACTCTACTCCCACCCCCACTGTCATCCCCAAAAGCATTTTTTAGGACTTCATAATTCAAAACTAGGTACTAAGTGTATTTGTAGAGCTAAATGTTCACAGAATCTGGTAATTTATGGTCTTTTATGAGGTCTCCTTTCACCCCCGCCCCTTGACTATGAAAGCCTTAACAAAGAGGCAAGTCTTACTAAAACAATTCCCATGTTCTTCATATTCCTAAGGCTCCTCTGACATGAGTCCAAAAATCCAAATCACAGCTGGAGGTTTTCTCATAAGCCCCATATGAGTACCTTTTGTCTTAAGTTTGCTTTTTCTGTATGTGCAGTCGAGCGTTTTCCTACAGGAGCCATTCTGGCTGCTCTTCCCCTGCTGATGTTTCATCTTTGTCATTTCAAACTGTTCCTATCACTTTTTAAAACTTGTTGTGAAATATCAAGAAAATGAATGTGATCTCAAAGCTGTGGAGAAACAGGCTCAGGATCACATTATCCTGAGGCAAATAGCAACTGCGAGGGTCAAGTGGTTTTTTGGTTTGGTTTCCCAACTCAAAAGGAAATGTTAAAATTCACCATTTTGTTTTTATTTTGCTAAACCCAGAGTCAGATGGCCCCAACAAACCAAGACTGACATTGTACAGAGCATATACCTTACTCCTGAGGTCCCCAGTGTCCTAGCTGCATGCCCTCTAGGGTAGTTCAGTCTACCTACCGTCTAGGCCTACTGTCATCTGATTTTCAGTTCAGCAAATGTCTTAGATTGGAGAGTTAAATTTTTAAGTTATGGCCAATCCACACTTTAAAGCAATCATACCCATAAATAATCCATGTAAGTGTTTATGCAGTCGTTCTCTTCCCACTTCCTTCTTTCTAAGTGTTTTGTATTTACAGGAGTACTTCCAACTCTGCATTTTTATTCATATGTATAATTTCAGACTTCTTTCAAACCTACTGCTATTATATAAGTGAGTTCTGCCTCCACTTACTGATTTATGGTCTTCATTTTAAGAATGTTTTATTTTCTTAAAATCCTATAAAACACAACATCTTGACAGGAAAAAAATGAAAAATGTTGTACAATGACTAAAAATACATACAGCAAAATCTAAGTAATCCAATGACATTCATTTTTATTTCTCAGCTTAATAAAGGTCTGCTTATTGTTCTTAAAACAAACAAAAAAACCACACCTTTATTAGTATCATGTAGAAAAATCCTCAAAGGAAAGTATTTGAATTGATTCCTCAAAAATTATATTTAGAATTGTTTAATAGAAACATTGTAAATGGGTCAAGATTCTATGAGGAAAGGACATTGAATACACTTATGTTCTCACCTTTTAAAAAATTGGATGACTTTTAAGTTACAAAATAATTTTTTAAAAATGTTTCTTTAAGATTCAATAATTTTTTTTTTTTTTTTTCTGAGATGGAGTCTCGCTCTGTCACCCAGGCTGGAGTGCAGTGGCATGATATTTGTTCACTGCAACCTCCGCCTCCCAGGTTCAAGTGATTCTCATGCCTCAGCCTCCCAAGCAGCTGTGATTACAGGCACCTGCCACCATGCCCAGCTAATTTTTGCATTTTTAGTAGAAACAAGGGTTCACCACGTTGGTCAGGCTGGTCTCAAACTCCTGACCTCAGGTGATCCACCCGCCTCAGCCTCCCAAAGTGCTGGAATTACAGGCTGGAGCCACCACGCCTGGCCTCTGAAAAGAGGCAACCACCATCTTGCTGTGTGCTCACATAACCTCTTCGTTGCGTGTATGTGGGTAGAGTAAGCTTTGATCTCTCTTCTTGTAAGGATACTAATCCCATGATGGGGGCTCTACCACCGTGAACTCATCTACACCTAACTACCTCTCAAAAGCCCCATCTTCAAATATCATCACATTGTGGGGACAGCACGCTGGGGGGACGGGCACAATTCAGTCCATAGCAATCTACTTCATTTGAAGATATTTGTACTAACATATTAAAATAAACCTTAATAAAAACAGTTTTTAAAATATAGATGCATTAAATGTAAGCCTGATAGAAACAAATTATCATTAGTAAAATATTTAATTCTTCAATCAAATATTTATGTTCGATAAGTACTTTATCATATTATTTAATTTGGAGCTGGAAAGGTCCTTAAACATTATTAAGTCCACTTTATCAAATAAGGACATATACTTCCAAGAATGCAAATGACTTGCTCAGGGTCACATAGATATCAAAGCTTTGGTAGAATCAAGATTAGACCTCAGATCACCTGTCCCTAAACCAGGGCTCTTTCCATGAAGCCATACTGCATAACACATGCTCTTTTGTTTTCAATTTTTTTTCAAAGTTAAATATGCATATGCATAATATGCATAAATAAGTCATGCAGTTTTACAAGGTTTATTTCAACTAACAGGAGCCCTCTTTCCCACTTCCATTTTCCATTCACTACAAATTTCTCTTAACACTTTTTTCCAATGTTTGTGGAATTTACCTCCTTATTACTAAATATCATGTTTATATTGCTATTGTGATTATTCTTTTGTAGGTATAATATAGAGGCTCTCCTTTTGCAGCGCTCTATTATACACACACACACACACACACACACACACACACACAGAGATTTCTTCTTCCACCATCTTTCTAATAAAAATACCTTGTAATTTTGCATAGATAAATATTCCATATCTTATGACTATGGAAAGACTATTGAGTACTAAGCCATGTGGTACACTGTTGCTTTTCCTTTCCTCCATAACTTTATGTTCTGCCTGGAGTTAATGTGTCTTGCTTTTCGTTTGCTTGGATTTTAAGGTATGTATCACGAATTCAACTATAAACTCCTCTCTTATGTAAACCTTTTCTCCATACATTCAAATGTGTAATCTATTTTACTAATATTTTTCTCCTTGAAGTAATCTTCCTGAGAGCCTCTGGACTGGGCTGATTACTTTCTGGGCCTGCTGTACATCTGTCACCTCAGGACCTCCCGTCACCATCATCTTGGGGTTCCCTTCCCTCTCACTCCCGTTGGATCCCCTGATTCCCAGATTCCATGTCTTCCTCTTTCTTGCTTTACTCCCCTCCCCTTTTGGGCACACAATCTACAGTAGATTCTTGAGAAAGGGAAATATATAGATTGTTTTGCTGAACCACTTCAGAATAAGTTTGTCACTTCTCTAAATATTTCAGCAAGTATCTTCTAAAACAAGGACAATCTTCACACAAAACCATAATATAAATATCAAACCCAAGAAATCAGTATTATTTAATGTACGCACCATAATCACATTTCCCCAGTTGCCCAAATAGTGCCCTTTCTAGCTGTTTCTTTTTTAATCCGGGACCCAGTCAAAGATCATGCATTGCATTTAGTTATTAGGCCTTGTTAATCTCATTTCCTTTCATCTAAACTGTTTCTCCACCTTTTTTTATTCACATGACAATGACACTTTTTAGGAGCTTAAGCCTGTGATGAATATGTTCTAAATTTGTCTGGTGTAGGTTGCACATATGAAGAACATACCAAAAACCAATTATACAATTTAAATGGGTGAATATGTGCAAAATGTCTCTAAATTTGTATTTGTCTGATTGTTTCCTTGTGGTTAGAATTAGGATCTGATTCTTAAACAAATTTGCAACCAGTCCCCCTGTTTTCAAGCCTCATCTTTACCTGCTCTCTCAGAGCAAATGATCTCCTTTCATCCTGGCGTTTTTGGGGAACTTTCAGGTACAAATTAAGGTATTTTTTGCTTTTTCTCACTGCTAGGTCAGAATCCTGCTTTCTACAGTTTGCCCAAGTCAGTCTCCATCCCAAGTTAGCCCATCTGATTTTGTTGCTTTTGGTACCTCTCTTGTCTGGAAGAGCTCATGTCTTTTATTAAAGCCTTTATTATTGTTTTACTGGAATTCCAGGAGGGAGCAAATGTAAAATGTATGTGTTCAATCAGCCATATTCAACTGGAAGTCCTATTCATTTACTTTTGAAATTAAAAGTTTATATAATCACTGTAAATTTAATACATGCTTTTTAGAGAACATTTAGAAAAAAATAATAAAGTTGGAAAGGGAAGAGCTCATTTATAGTCCCACTTCCTAATACAATCACTATTCATATTTTTTTTTACTACTTCTGCTTCTTTTTCTTTTGCTACAAGCTATTGCATTTTCCCATCAGTGTGGGGGTGTATATATATATATGTATACACACACTTATATATAATATATTTTATATTTTATATATAATAGATAGATGCTGGTAGATGATGTACATATTCTTTGGTGAGGTGTCTATTCAGGTCTTTTGTCATTTTTTTGTTTTGTTTTGTTTTGAGACTGGGTCTCACTCTGTGGCCCAGACTGGAATGCAGTGGTGTGAGCTCGACTCTCTGCAACTCTGCCTCCAGGGTCCAAGCGATTCTCCTGCCTCAGCCTCCCGCGTAGCTGGGATTACAGGCACCCACCACCACACCCGGCTAATTTTTGTATCTTTAGTAGAGTCAGGGTTTCACCATGTTGGCCAGGCTGGTCTCCAACTCCTGACCTCAGGTGATCCACCCGCCTCGATCTCCCAAAGTGTTGGGATTACAGGTGTGAACTACCGTGCCCGGCCACCTTTTGCCTATTTTCTAATCAGGTTGTTTCTTGTTCTTGAGTAGTAAAAGCTCTTTGTACATTTTAGATAACAGTCGTATCCAATAGTTTTTTGCATATATTTTTCCCAGTCTGTGACTTATCTTCTCATTCTCTTGACAGTGTCTTTCACAGAGCACGTATGCTGCTGCTTTTTAAAAATAAAATCATACAATATACAACAAACAGTACTCATGCTGTTACAAAGATCTTGCTTTTTTTTATTGTGATAAAATATATATAACATTCTAGCTTTTTTAAAGTGTGCAATTCAGTGACATTAGGTACATTCACTTTGTTGTGCAACCATCACTACTAACCATCTCCAGAACTTTTTCATCATCCCAAACTAAAACTCTCTACCAATTAAATAATAACTGACCATTACTGGCTCCCCCAGTGCCTGGCAACCATCATTCTATTTTCTTTCTCTGTACATTTCATTACTCTAGGTACCTCAGATAGATATTTGTCCTTCTGTGAATGCTTTTGCAATTTAACATTACAATATTACTCAATGATATACCAAATAGACCATAGTTTATTTACCCATTTCTCACTGTTGAACATGTTAATTGTGGTTCCAATTTTTTGCTATTATATTTGAACATATTTATGCATTATATGTTTTAAGTAACAATATGCCTTTATAACAGATTTCTAGAGGTGGAATTACTGAAAATAGGCTAAGAGTATTTTTAAGAATCTTGATACAGTTTTCCAACTTACCTTGCAAAAAAATCTTAAGAATTTATGCATCCACAAGTGACATAGAACAAGTGCCTATTTCACCATATTCTCAACAGTATTATAATCTCAAGTCTGTGCTAACTTGATCAGCAAAAAAACAAAAAAGTACCTGTTAGTTATGATATGCTTATGACACTTGTGAGACTGACCCATTTTCCAGTTTTATTAGTTGATCTCTCTCTTTTGTGAAATTTTGTGCATATCCTTACTCCATTTATCTAATGTATTCTTAATGGTTTTCTTATAACTTTATGTAAAGCTCTTTATATAACATAAGTAGCCATCTTTTGTCTATAATGTTTTCTGTAAATACTTTCTCAGCATGTTTGCTTTTAAATCTTTGCTTCTTTTTTAACATAGAGTTGTTTCCAGGAATTCTTAAAAATAGAATACACTTAGGAGAAAAAAGGATGGTCATGGTGAACTTTAGAATTCTCTTTCAGGCATGTGATTTCATAGGACATTAATTATTCATCTCCAGGAGGGTCAAATTTCCCAAGATGAAGTTTTCTACAGCTAAGCCAATACTTTTGCATAACATTTAAAAGCAAATTGACAATTAACCTTGGACAATAGAGCAATGATGTAAGATTACCCTTGCAATAAACACTGTTTAGAAGTCAGGTTGCCCCATTCAGCACCAGCTGGAACTACTCTGTAGGATAAAATGTGCATTACTCTCTGCTGTTTCCAATGCCAAGCACAACTAAGGTCTTTACTAATTTGTAGCAAAAATTTTAGAACAACTAACAGACCATAACCAAGGTGTACAATTCCTACATTGCAAACAAAGCCCAAAAAGGTTGAGTTGTCACTGATTTCCACATATGGAGCCTTACTTTTTCTGTACCTATATTTTGAAAATAAGCATCTTTCCTGGGCAGGCCACATAACAGGATTTAGGAGAAAAATAAAAGAGACTTTAAAATAAAAACTATAAAAATTATTACAACCTTGAGCAAGCTACAGAGAGTCCTAGGACATTTGCTTATACACCTGGGCATTTATGAAAACTAGAGGAAAAGAAAAGATGCATTTGTTATGACAGTAACACTCCACTTTGCTTTGCAAGAGGAGAGAGTCCTACCGTGGTTTCTCTGCCCACACCTGACATTCAAGGGCATTTTGCAAAGGAAATCAGTGAGGATGAAAATCCAAGTCACTTGATGGCTGCGTGATTCAAAAGGCAAAACTAGTCTCGTCTTCCTCTTATACCCAAATTGGAGAAAAGTTATAACTGTGAGTTTACAGAAGACAAGATGAATGGTACTGTCACAATCATAGTCCCCACAGTTTCTGAGATCTAAGACAGTGAACCAAGTCCAAGCCAGATTTAGTGCATTCTCACATGCCCGGGGCTTGTAAAGGGGCAAACTTGAAACGATTTCACTTCTATGCCAAACAAGCAATAGGAAAAGGTTTATGGATTTTATTTTTGTAACAATAGTAGAATTTTTGCTTGCACTTCATAATTTATAAAATGGCCTTCACATAAACACATTATCTTATTAATTCATTTAAATGGTGCCACCACTCTGGGAGCTGGGTACCTCTATATGTATGCCCCACGTATCAAAAGGTGCCTTAAATATTCTAAGTACTCAATAAATGCTTTTTGAATAGATGTGTATTAGGTGAACTTCCCTCTTCAAATGGACCACATGAATAGGTGAGCCATCATACCTCAAATGTAAGGAAGTAGCAGTGATTTGTTATTTGACAATTCACCCATGAACACACACACACACACACATGAAGTAGCATGATGCATTAGGTGGAGGGGATTAATTATATTTTATTAAATAAGTCACATTAGTTACTATGCCTTTTCCTCACTCAAATCCAACCAATTCTACTTTTTAACCCTATAACAAGGTCTTCCGAAATATATATTTTTTAACTAGGCAGGTGTAAGAGTATTTGGCCTGTTAGTTATTCCTTGATTGGCTAGGTTATAATGTGGAAAGCTGACAGTTTTGGAAGTCCATGAGTACAACATAGTGCTTCATCAAGGCTTGCCATAGTGATAGAGTCCAAGGGGTAGGGTTGGACAATCTCCTGTAGTCCTATCCTCCTCTACAACCCATAATTATAAGAGCATGAAATTGAAAACTTGGAAGTTTAAAATGTCTTCACTGGCAAAATGTGGCTAAGAGAGGATCTCAAAGATTCCTTAGAGAAAAATCAAGAAATCTTATACCAAAATGTGGGCAAAATAGTATTAAGAGACAGTGGTGCCTGAATACAAAATAGTAACATCAGATAATACATAGTATCCACTACAAGACAAACAAATGAGAAGATCTTAGATATTTGGAATTGAGAAAGTGAGACCATCAGTAAAAAATATTTTATGTAGGCCGGGCGCGGTGGCTCATGCCTGTAATCCCAGCACTTTGGGAGGCCGAGGTGGGCGGATCACCTAAGGTCAGAGTTCAAGACCAGCCTGGCCAACATGGTGAAACCCTGTCTCTACTAAAAATACAAAATTAGCCAGGCGTGGTGGCGCATGCCTGCAATCCCAGCTACTCAGGAGGCTGAGGCAGGAGAATCGCTTGAATTGGGGAAGTGGAGGTTGCAGTGAGCCCATTGCACTCCAACCTGGGCAACAAGAGCAAAAACTCTGTCTCAAAAAAAAAAAATTTAATGTTATAATTCATTTTGCTCACTATTTCTCCCATGGCACTTCTTTAATTCTTCCATTATACTGCAATTTTTTTTTGGTCCATTGAGGCATTTTTCCTATAAGCATGTATTACATCCCTAGAAAAAGAATCCCAGAATTTTCCCTCCCGTGTGTTTTTGTCTTGCTTCTTCAAGGTCTGTGATGCCAGCTGAGGTGGTCAGCACAATAAAACCAAACCGACGAGACAGGAGCATATTATTCTGCCATCTTTCTAGGTCTTTAGGTTGCACATCAAATCTGGGGCTGATCACTCCACACTTGTTTAACCAGACTGTGAGGTTCACAACAATTTTCCCAGCTCTGTGATCATCAATGATTTCAAATTTGCCAATGTAATCATGTTTCATCACAGTTAGAAACTGGATAATGACTCTGGAGCACAGCCTAATAAGAACCTGGGGTTTGTCTCTCTTTGACATTGTTGATGCTCTTGAGAGCATCAGCCAGGACATTCATGTGCACAATTATGGCAGCATGGAAAGAAAATGTGTATACTGGAATATTTATGGGAATGCCTCTCCCACTAGAGCTTTGGCTCCTGGCATGTAACCATTCATCATTCATCATGTAGTCTCAGGAATGGGAACACTGAAGATGATTTTTTTTAGTTTCTTGAAGGAATAAGTAAACAAACTCATTTTAGTTTTTCTTTGCTGGTCTTTCTTCTACACCCTTCCTTGTCCTTTGATCTGCCTTTCTTTCTTTTTCACATGTTCGGATAGAAATAAAAACACCTATATTCTAGCCCTGGTTCTGATATTTACTAACTCTGTGGGTCACTCTTGTTCCTAACAAAAAATGGGAATAGTAGCACCTGTCATTCCCTAACTCTTTGACAGAAATGTCACATAAATTCTGATGAAATTGTACATGTGAAATCATGCCAAAGGCTTCAGGAGAAACAATTAGATAAATCGGAGGTAGTGTTTTGATAATTTGTATTGTCTATCATATACTGCTCTGCAAAACTAAGAAAACATTAGGAAAAGCTAGAAGTGAACAGGTAGGTGTAGCAAGGGAACAGTGGTGAAATCTAAGTGTCATCAAAGGAGCAATTAATGCACCATCAAATCATTTTTTCCCAGTTAAAAATACAGTGTTATTAAAATGGTTCTCTGGGAGGCTAAGCAAAACTAAGCCAAAAATGGACAATTAACCACAGGATACATCTGAGTTTCTGAAAGACTCTGAAGCAGTTATACCCCTTTATGAGACCAAGTCATTTTCATAAGCAACATTTTACAGACTTTCTTAAAAATGGGATGAGAAGTTACATCCTCATTACCACCACTACTCTCTACCTCCCACTCTAGCTTACCTCATT
This sequence comes from Homo sapiens, assembly GCF_000001405.40. Lineage (NCBI taxonomy): Eukaryota > Metazoa > Chordata > Mammalia > Primates > Hominidae > Homo > Homo sapiens. The sequence goes on from NC_000014.9 coordinate 60,603,393, forward strand.
CTGCTTTATACCTAAAACAACTTGGGATCTGACTCTTAGATAATTGCAACAGTTCTCTTAGTGGCTTTCTCTAATGGGGCAGAGGGGGCATTCCTGGTTAGGTGTTGCTAGATTGCAATTCAGAGCAACCTCCTTCAACGGAAAGTCTATCTAACTAGTAACTGGCAGATTCACATCACGAAAAACAAACTGTAATAATAGGAAAAAATAAAGGCAGACTTGGCTCAAAAGGGTCTCAGCTACTGCCAGAAATCCCCCAGGTCTGCAGTAAAAGATAAAAAGCAGGAGAAAGGTAACTGCTTTCCTATAAAAATGAACTTGCTCATTTGTGAAACAAATAAAACACAGCTTTATATTGCTTTATATGAGTCCTTGCTTCTCATAGGTATTATATCTATGAAATGCTTGCATGTGCTGTAGCAGCAACACAATTACATGGAAACATCTAAAGGTAAACTGCCTTTTTCTATGAAACTAGTAGACTTACACTGTTCTCTCATCTGTGCTCCAGACTTTGACATGAACTGCATTGTTGACATCACTTCTTGTATGTCTCAAAGACCTTAAACTCAAACTCAACGTGGCTCAAAACAAATCACCATGTCTTTCACTCCTCAAAACTTAGTCCTCTCCCAGGAATCCTATTTATATATATTCACACACACACACACACACACACACACACACACGTGTTACAAACCAGCCATTCCTCTGCCCTTGCTGCCTTTGCTACAGGCATGCTCCCTCCCTCCTCAAGTCCTTGGAATGCAGCTAGGATTCAAACCACGTTCGTCTGACTCCCAAATCAAGGCACTTTCCACCATTTCACCTTGTCCAGGAAGTGTTTCTCCATTTAAATGTGGACATTATAATGTGCAAACATATTTAAGACTCAGCAGTTTAGAAAAAGCTGAAAATATGCTCTATTCTCTTCCCATTTTTATGAAAAATTTCAAACACACACAAAAGTCAAGAGAGTAGAAAATGAATCCCCATATACACCTCATTCATACCCCAAAATTATCAAGATTTTGCTATTGTATCATCTGTTCCTCTTTCTTTTTGTTTTCCTATGCTAAAGTACTTTATATCAAATCATAGACAACATATCGTTTTACTTCACCAGGCTTCATTATGTATAGTTCCCATAATCCGAATGTGTCATGGAAGGGACCTGGTGGGAGGTAATGTAATTGGTGCAGTTACTCTCATGCTGTTCTCACCGTAGTGAGTGAGTTCTCATGAGATCTGATGGTTTTATAAGGGGCTTTTCCCCCTTTTGCTCAGCACTTGTCCTTGCTGCCACCATGTGAAGGAGGACGTGTTTGCTTCCCCTTCTGCCATGATTATAAGTTTCTTGAGGCCTCCCCCAGTCATGCTGAACTGTGAGTCAATTAAGCCTCTTTTCTTTATAAATTTATAAATTATCCAGTCTTGGGATGTCTTTATTAGCAGCATGAGAACAGACTAATACAGTAAATTGGTACTGGGTACTGGGGTGCTGCTGTAAAGATACAAAAAAAAGTGGAAGCGACTTTGGAACTGGGTAACAGCAGAGGTTGGAGCAGTTTGGAGGGCTCAGAATAAGACAGAAAATGTGGAAATGTTTGGAACTTCCTAGAGAACTGGAGGGCTCAGAAGAAGGCAGGAAGATGTGGGAAAGTTTGGAACTTCCTAGAGACTTGTGAATGGCTTGACCAAAGTGCTGATAGTGATATGGACAATAAAGTCCAGACTGAGGTGGTCTCAGATGTAAATGAGGAACTTGTTGGGAACTGGAGTAAGGGTCACTCTTGCAATGCAAAGAGACTAGTGGCATTTTGCCCCTGCTCCAGAGATCTGTGGAACTTTGAACTTGAGAGAGATGATTTAAGGTATCTGGCAGAAGAAATTTCTAAGTGGCAAAGGGTTCAAGAGGAAGCAGAGCATAAAAGTTTGGAGAATCTGCAGCCTGATGATGTGATAAAAAAGAAAAACCCATTTCTGGAGAGAAATTTAAGCTGGCTTCAGAAATTTGCATAAGTAATGAGGAGCCAAATGTTAACACCAAGACAATGAGGAAAATGTCTCTCCAGAGCATGTCAGAGACCTTCACAGCAGCCCCTCCCATCACAGGCCTGGAGGCCTAGGAGGGAAAAATGGTTTTGTGAGCAGGCCAGGGCCTCCCTGCTCTGTGCAGCCTCAAGACATGGTGTCCTGTGACCCAGCTGCCTCAGCTCCAGCTGTGGCTATAAGGGGCCAATGTACAGCTCAGGCTGCACATACAGCTCAGGCCATTGCCTCAGAGGGTGCAAGACCCAAGCCTTGGTGGCTTACATGTGGTGTTGAACCTGTGGGTGCACAGAAGTCAAGAATTGAGGTTTGGGAACCTCTGTCTAGATTTCAGAGGATGTATGGAAATGCCTGGATGTCCAGGCAGAAGTTTGCTGCAGGGGTGGAGTCCTCATGGAAAACTTCTGCTGGGGTAGTGTGGAAAGTAAAGGTGAGGTTGGAGGCCCCAAACGGAGTCCCCACTGGGGCACTGGGTGGCAGAGCTGTGAGAAGAGGGCCACCACCCTTCAGACCCCAGAATGGTAGATCCACCAACAGCTTGCTCCATGTGCCTGGAAAAGCCACAGACACTCAACACCAGCCTGGGAAAGCAGCTGGGAGGGGTTGGGGGGAAGCTTTACCCTGAAAAGCCACATGGGCGGAGCTTCCCAATGCCATGGGAGCCTACCTCTTGCTTCGTTATGAATCTCTAAACAAAAAATGGACACTTACTTATATGGGCATGAGGCCATTATCATATTTAACAAAATTAGCAATAATTTTTAGTGGCATATAACAAGAGTTTATGAATAAATTTCCAAAATTGTTTCCAAAAACTCTTTTTATAGTGTGTTTGAATTTAGTTGTTATGTCTCCTAAATCTCTTTCTCGTTTTTAACCCCCATGCCACTGGCTTGTTGCAGAGACCAGGTCAATTATTCTGTAAAATGTCCCATATTCTGGATTTATCTGTTTGCTTCTTTGAAGTATCATTTAACTTGTATGTTTCTCCATTTTCTGTAAACTGGAGCTTAGTTCTAAAACCTTGATTAGATTCATGTTCAACTATTTTGGCAAGAATATTTTATAGGTAGTGCTGTATACTTCAAATTGCATCTTATCAGGAAGCTCACAGGTTCATTGCCCCACTTTTAATGATACTTAGTATTACTTTATTTTATCATAATTTATGAATATTCATAAAGTCCAAAAATAATAGCCAAACACCTACTATGAGCCAGGGACCCTTCCAGATTCTAGGCACATCCCAAGAAGTAAAGAAGAAGACAGTAAGGTCTTCACCTTCATGAAGCTTTCACATATTATCATTTTAATAATCATTCTACACATGCTTTTGAATTTCACATTTATATATATAATCTTTATTTATGTATGTAACGTGTGTGTGTGTATCAGTCATGTACTTCAAAACAGCATACTAGTAAATGACAGTTCGGTGGTGCTATAATATAATAATGAAGCTGAAAAATTCCTGTCACCTAGTGACTTCTTAATGGTCCTGACTCTATGCAGGCCTATGCTAGTGTGTGTGTGTGTGTGTGTGTGTGTGTGTGTTCTTAACCACAAACATTAAAAAGTACAAAATAAATTTTTTAATTTTAAAATAGAAAATGAAAATAGAGAAGACTATACTTTCAGGGATCATTTCTATAGCTCATTACTTGAAAACAGAAAAAATGTGTAAAATAAGGATAAGAAGAAAGAAAATATTTTTGTACATCTGTATAATGTGTTTGTGTTTTAGGCTAAGTGTTATGAAACAGTCAAAATGTTTTTAAAACTTAAAAATTTATAATATTTAAAAGTCACAGTAAGCTAAAGTTAATTTATTATTGAAGAAAACATTTTTCAAGAAATTGGCCATGCATGGTGGCTCACGCCTGTAATCCCAGAATTTTGGGAGGCGGAGGTGGGTGGATCACTTGAGGTCAGGAGTTCAAGACCAGCCTGACCAACATGGTGAAATCCTGTCTTTACTAAAAATACAAAAAATTAGCTGGGCGTGGTGGCAATCACCTGTAATCCCAGCTACTTGGGAGGCTGAGGCACAAGAATCACTTGAACCCAGGAGGTGGAGGTTGCAGTGAGCTGAGATTGTGCCATTGCACTCAAGCCAGGGCAAGAGAGCGAGACTCCCATCTCAAAAAAAAAAAAAAAAGAAAAAGAAAAGAAATTAAGTATAGCCTAAATCTACAGTGTTCATAGTCTACAGTGGTGTACAGTAACATCCTAGGCCTTCACATTCACTCACCATTCACTGACTCACCCAAAGCAACTTCCAGTCCTGCAAGCTCCATTTGTAAGTGCCCTCTACAGGTGTACCACTTCTTATCTTTTATACCACATTTCTACTGTACCTTTTCTATGTTTAGATAAACAAATACTTACCATTGCATTGTACTTGCCTTAATTATTCAATACAGTAACATGCTCTACAGATTTGCAGCCTAGGAGCAATAAGCTATACCACATAGCCTAAGTGTGTCGTAGGCTATTACCATTTAGGTTGGTGTAAGTATATATGTTCTATGATGTTCACACAATGACAAAATCACCTAACAATCCATTCTCAGATTGTATCCCTTGCATCCCTGTTCTTAAGTGATGTATGACAATATTCACATAAATTTCCATGTATTTGTGTAAACACACCCACCCAAATATCCTTCATCCATTCAGACACTTATCAGATATTGACTAGCTTTGGGGGTATCTGTACAGACCTTAACTCAAATTTCCTTCAGTAAGAACTGCCCTCCTGGTTGGGTGCAGCGGCTCAGCACTTTGGGAGGCCAAGGCAGGTGGATTATCTGAGGCTGTGAGTTCAAGACCAGCCTGGCCAACATGATGAAATCCCATCTCTACTAAAAATACAGAAAATTAGCTAGGCGTGGTGGCAGGCATCTGTAATCCCAGCTACTCAGGAGGCTGAGGCAGGAGAATAGCTTGAACCTGGGAAGGCAGAGGTTGCAGAGCTGAGATCGTGCCATTGCACTCCAGCCTGGGAAACAAGAGCAAAACTCCATCTCAAAAAAAAAAAAAAAAAAAAGAGCTGCCCTCCCCTCATATTTGTACCAAAACCTCTTGACCATAGCTGACTGGACTAGGAATGGACAGCTGATGCAAGACAGCCAATCACAGTCTGTCTCTCTCAAGACTGTGAACAGAGAGACACTTCAAGTGAGAACTGTGGCCTGGGTTCTAACAGCTTTCTAACTTCTGGTTCTTTCCTTTTGTGAAAACTACTGAATGTTCAGCTTCTCCTTGGATTTCATAATATATCTTTTTTCTTCCCTTTCCTTTTTGGTGAAGCTATTCCCAGTTATCTTCTGTTACTGGCAATGAAAAGATGTTCTTTAATTAAGATACTGACTATAACCCATTGCGTGAGAGAGTTCAGTTGTCATTGTCAAATAATTTTTTTCTTTCCAGGTGAACGAACTTCTTAATGCCTTTGGACTTGAGTCTTCTGGCCAGCCCCATATGTAAATGAAGTAAGCTGCAGCCCATCAGGTTGATGGGTGGTCACAACACTCAAAGCTACACCTACCAAAAAGCTGCCGCCATGGCTTGCCGAGGTGTTTCCCTCTTCCCTGATTATGAATTCCCATCCCTGCAGTTATTCTTTTGATGGGATAATAAAGATAGAAGCATTATCTTCAGATGCCAGCTATGCATTATCATACAAGGAAGAGAGATCCTAAAAGGAGGACACCAGACCTTTCTCCTTTCCTTTCATTTGACATACCAGAATAATTTATCACTGCAGCAAGTACCATCACATTTCAATAAAATGTGAGCAGTGGGGTCATGCCAGTAATGATTCCTTGAGAAGGCAGAGGGCAGAAAGGGAAAGGGATGATTTGCGATGATAGAGTAGGGTATGAAATGGTCATCCATATCCAGTTCAAACTCACCCTTCTCAGTCACTCCAAGGACAAACAAAAACTCATTTTTACAGAGTTAGAGTAAGATATTCAATGATTTGAACATGAAAACTAATGATTTTCTTTCTCTCTGGTCAGCTATTCTTCCTCTTTCTCAAGAGGTCAAGTTTGTTACCAGCAATCACAAGAGCCCTGAGTTCTTCCACACCAACAAACATGGTGCCACTGGGGAATCTGAGACATACAGAAAGGAGGAGGTGAAAAGAGGTGAGGAGGAAACAGAAATGAAAAATGAAAAGAATAAGGGAAAATGAGAAAAAGGAAAAATAGGGCTATTAAAGAACTTATATGACAATACCTGAACCTACCAATCAATATTAACATTACCAAAAGTGAGACATCCGGATATTTTATGCCTTGGAATATGATGCATTCACACTTTGCCACCTGAATCTACTTGAAGTCTCTGGCTACAACCACACCTTTACAGGAAACAAAGGGATAGAAAAACAAGTAACTGTAAAACCACACTACAAGGAAACATCAGCCAAATCCAGACATTCTATGGGATGAATGACCTAATGTCTTAGGTAGAGTTCTCTAACAAACAGACTCTGAGACAGAGAGCCATGTGTGGGAGATTTATTGTAAGTGATCTCAGGGAATATACCTATAAGAGAGAGAGGCAAACAGGATTGGGCAAAGGGAGAAGTTAAACTGCAACACAGTTGCAGTGGAGAACTGGGCCAATCCCATAGGGTGCTCTGGCCATTCCAAGATATCCTACACAGAGGCCAGAAGCCAGGCCATTTTACCCTCACAATGACCTTACTCATATACTCACTCACTATGTAAAAAAGTAGGGCCGGGCACAGAGTCTGGCCACCTGCTCTTGCAGCTCATCTGTGCCCCGTCGCTCATTCGTGTCCAATCCCATATGCACTACTTCCAGTTTACAATGGATTCCTTATGGGCCCACCAAATCTTATGACTTGGCGGTTCTGACAAAATCCAGCCTGACCAAAAGGTCATTATATATTCCAGCATTACCAGGGCACAGTAGCTTCAGGGAGCTGTATTTGTGATTGGCGTGTAATTCTCTACTGCAAAGGGCATGACTTTGTGCCAGACCCTGGGCATCTATATGTGATTTTTCTACTGGAGTTTGTGATACACACCTTTACCCACTGTAGATACTTCCAGTATCACAGTCTGCAGGTCACAGGACCCAAGTGGCAGGGCTGCTTTCGCCACAGCCTGCACCTGCAACAGACCCCTTTCCTTCTCTGGGCCCCTATCAAATCTGGAAATATTCCATGGTTGTTAGCAAATGATTAAAGCAGTATTCCTAAGTCTAGAATATACTGTCCCCAAGAACCCAAAGCTACCTACCAAGTGTTTTGCTTCCTTCTTAGTAGCAGGAGGTGGAAGATATTATAATTTGTCGTTTACTTTGGAGAAAATGTCCTGGCATGTCCCAGACTACTAGGATCCTTAAAACTTCACAGTTGTGGTGGACCCTTGAATGTCTGTAGGGATTATGTCCTACCTTCTGGAGCACAGAAGTCTTTAACAAGGTCTCTGTATTAGTCTGTTCTCATGCTGCTAATAAAGACATGCCTGAGACTGCATAATTTATAAAGGAAAGAGGTTTACTTGACTCACAGTTCAGTATGGCTGGGGAGGCCTCAGGAAACTTACAATCATGGCAGAAGGGGAAGCAAACACATCCTTCTTCACATGGTGGCAGCAAGGAGAAGTGCTGAGCAAAAGGGGGAAAAGCTGCTTATACAACCATCATATCTTGTGAGAACTCACTCACTATCACGAGAACAACTGGGGATAGCCACCCCCATGATTAAATTACCTCCCACTAGGTCCCTCCCATGACACATGAGGATTATGGGAACTATAATTCAAAATGAGATTTGGGTGGGGACACAACCAAACCATATCATTCTGCCCCTGGCTCCTCCCAAGTCTCATGTCCTCATATTTCAAAACACAATTATGCCCTTCCCAACAGTTCCCCAAAGTCTTAACTCATTGTGGCATTAACCCAAAAGTCCAAGTCCATAGTCTTATCTGAGACAAGGCTAGTCCCTCCCACCTATAAGCCTGTAAAATCAAAAGCAAGTTAGTTACTTCCTAGATACAATGGAGGTACAGGCATTGGGTAAATACATCCATTCTAAATGGGAGAAATTGGTCACAACAAAGGGGCTACAGGCCCCATGCAAGTCTGAAATCCAACAGGGCAGTCATTAAACCTTAAAGTTCCAAGATGATCTCCTTTGACTCCATGTCTCACATCCAGGGCATGCTGATGCAAGATGTAGGCTCCCATGGCATTGGGAAGCTCCGCCCATGTGGCTTTTCAGGGTAAAGCTTCCCCCCAACCCCTCCCAGCTGCTTTCCCAGGCTGGTGTTGAGTGTCTGTGGCTTTTCCAGGCACATGGAGCAAGCTGTTGGTGGATCTACCATTCTGGGGTCTGAAGGGTGGTGGCCCTCTTCTCACAGCTCTGCCACCCAGTGCCCCAGTGGGGACTCCGTTTGGGGCCTCCAACCTCACCTTTACTTTCCACACTACCCCAGCAGAAGTTTTCCATGAGGACTCCACCCCTGCAGCAAACTTCTGCCTGGACATCCAGGCATTTCCATACATCCTCTGAAATCTAGACAGAGGTTCCCAAACCTCAATTCTTGACTTCTGTGCACCCACAGGTTCAACACCACATGTAAGCCACCAAGGCTTGGGTCTTGCACCCTCTGAGGCAATGGCCTGAGCTGTATGTGCAGCCTGAGCTGTACATTGGCCCCTTATAGCCACAGCTGGAGCTGAGGCAGCTGGGTCACAGGACACCATGTCTTGAGGCTGCACAGAGCAGGGAGGCCCTGGCCTGCTCACAAAACCATTTTTCCCTCCTAGGCCTCCAGGCCTGTGATGGGAGGGGCTGCTGTGAAGGTCTCTGACATGCTCTGGAGAGACATTTTCCTCATTGTCTTGGTGTTAACATTTGGCTCCTCATTACTTATGCAAATTTCTGAAGCCAGCTTAAATTTCTCTCCAGAAATGGGTTTTTCTTTTTTATCACATCATCAGGCTGCAGATTCTCCAAACTTTTATGCTCTGCTTCCTCTTGAACCCTTTGCCACTTAGAAATTTCTTCTGCCAGATACCTTAAATCATCTCTCTCAAGTTCAAAGTTCCACAGATCTCTGGAGCAGGGGCAAAATGCCACTAGTCTCTTTGCATTGCAAGAGTGACCCTTACTCCAGTTCCCAACAAGTTCCTCATTTACATCTGAGACCACCTCAGTCTGGACTTTATTGTCCATATCACTATCAGCACTTTGGTCAAGCCATTCACAAGTCTCTAGGAAGTTCCAAACTTTCCCACATCTTCCTGCCTTCTTCTGAGCCCTCCAGTTCTCTAGGAAGTTCCAAACATTTCCACATTTTCTGTCTTATTCTGAGCCCTCCAAACTGCTCCAACCTCTGCTGTTACCCAGTTCCAAAGTCGCTTCCACTTTTTTTTGTATCTTTACAGCAGCACCCCAGTACCCAGTACCAATTTACTGTATTAGTCTGTTCTCATGCTGCTAATAAAGACATCCCAAGACTGGATAATTTATAAATTTATAAAGAAAAGAGGCTTAATTGACTCACAGTTCAGCATGACTGGGGGAGGCCTCAAGAAACTTATAATCATGGCAGAAGGGGAAGCAAACACGTCCTCCTTCACATGGTGGCAGCAAGGACAAGTGCTGAGCAAAAGGGGGAAAAGCCCCTTATAAAACCATCAGATCTCATGAGAACTCACTCACTACGGTGAGAACAGCATGAGAGTAACTGCACCAATTACATTACCTCCCACCAGGTCCCTTCCATGACACATTCGGATTATGGGAACTATAATTCAAGATGAGATTTGGATAGGGACACAGCCAACCCATATCAGTCTCTAAGGACTTACTGTTCATTGTCATTAAATAGTGTGTCATTAAATAGTGTCATTAAATAGTATGATGTTCTGAAGAATTCCTAGTTGATTCAAGTCCCTTCATACTATACTATGTGTTGTGTTATAAGACAGAGACCTTTGCATCTTTTTCAAGCAAGAGGAGAGTTTGCTTTACAGAGAAGAGTTAATCATTTCTGTGGGCCCAGAGGGTCCAGGGAAATCTGGTGATTCAATATTTTCAAATGCATTGATCCAGATGTCCCCACCCCAGTCCCAGTACGTTACTTCTTTCCAACTGGGGCCTGACCTTGGCATAGCACATTTGCCAGACTTAAAAATTCAATCTCCTCTAGAGCTATGTTACCCTTATAAAGTCCCAGATCTGATCATCTGCTTCTTCTGCCCTCTGGCTACAAGAAAAACAAATTCCCTTATAGGCTGCTGAGGAAGCCCTCTGGTGATTAATCACCCTCAGGCTTTCACCATCTTTGTCCAATGTATCAATAGTCCCTAGCAACAGACATCCAAGCTCTCAGTCTTTATGCTTGCTACTTCCCTCCAACCTATCAAATGTCTGTGATACGGCCCTTGGCAGTTCTTTCCCTTCCATGGTATCCCATCCTAGCTCACCACCAGTGATTTTTTTTTAAATTGCACCTCTCACCACACCAGAGCTATGGGTACTCCACCAACTACCACTAATGGTGTTTGTATTGCCAGCTGGCAGGCAGGTGATTCAGCTCCAACATCCCATGTTAGATTCTGCTTGCTAGAATCACTCCTGGTGTCAACTGTCCAGGTCAGGTTTCCTAGAAAATAGACTTTGACAAGGAGACTGTGTTCAGAAATTTTAATGGGAGTAGCCTCAGGAACACACCTAAAAGAAAGTGAGGAAAACAGGGTTGGGAAGAGGAAGAAATTGAACTGGTGCAGTCACAGCAGAGTTCTCAGGCAATCTCACAGTGAGCACTGGAGTTGGGATGGTCCTTCAGAGTTGTCCCAAACTGGGGCAAAAAGGCCAGGCATTTTTACCCCAAAAACAACCAGATACATGCTGTGGGCCTTCAGCCACCCACACTCCTGACAGATACACCATGAATGCTCTGGTCATAAGGAAGGGATCTGGGTAGCATACCCACTATACCAAATTTCTACAGAAATCAATGGTGTGGGAGAAAAAAATGGAAAGGGGCTTATAATTACAAAACAGGAGATTAAAAGGGAGAATGACCAATAGTAATATGTGTGCTTTGATCCCAATCCACACAGACCAACTATAAGAACGCATCTTTGAGGCCAGATGAGGTGGCTGACACCTGTAATCCTACCACTTTCGGAGCCTAAGGCAGGTGGATTGCCTCAGCTCAGGAGTTCAAGACCAGCCTGGGCAACAAGGCACAACCCTATCTCTACTAAAAATACAAAAATCAGCCAGGCTAGGTGACATGCACCTGTAGTCCCAGCTACTCGGGAGGCTGAGCAGGAGAACTGCTTGAATCTGGGAGGCAGAGGTTGCAGTGAGCCAAGATCAGACCACTGCCCTCCAACCTGGGCAACAGAGTGAGACTCCGTCTCCAAAAGATAAAAAATAAAAATAAAAATACCGGCCGGGCATGGTAGCTCATGCCTGTAATCCCAGCACTTTGGGAGGCCGAGGTAGGCAGATCATCTGAGGTCAGGAGTTTGAGACCAGCCTGATGAACATGGAGAAACCCCGTCTCTAATAAAACTACAAAATTAGCCTGTCATGGTGGCACATGCCTGTAATCCCAGCTACTCAGGAGGCTTAGGCAGGAGAATCACTTGAACCTGGGAGGTGGAGGTTGTGGTGAGGTGAGATCGTGCCATTGCACTCCAGCCTGGGCAAAAGGGGTGAAACTCCATCTCAAAAAATAATAATAATAAAATAAAAATAAATAAAAATAAAAATAATTTTTTTTAAAAAAGGCATCTTTGAGATAACTGGGGAAATGTTCTTGTGGACTGAGTACTAGATGACATTATAAAATTACTATAGGCTGGGTGCGGTGTCTCACACCTGTAATTCCAGCACTTTGGGAGGCCAAGGTGGGTGGATCACCTGAGGCCAAGCGTTCGAGACCAGCCTGGCCAACATGGTGAAACACCGTTTCCACTAAAAATACAAAAATTAGCCGGGTGTGGTGGCACGTGCCTATAATCCCAGCTACTCAGGAGGCTGAGGCAGGAGAATCACTTGAACCCCTGAGGTGGAGGTTGCAGTGAGCCAAGATCACGCCACTGCACTCCAGCCTGGAATACAAGAGCAAGACTCCATCTAAAAAAACAAAACCAAAAAAAAAAACTACTATTGATTTCATTACAAGTAATAATGGTATGGTAGTTATGTTTAAAAAAAAAAAAAAAGTCCTTCCCTACTTGAGAAGCATATTGAAATAAAGAGGAAATGACATGGTGTCTGGAATTTTCATTAAAATATTCCAGGAAAGTACTGGAAGAGAGGAGAAATATAACAAGGTTGACAAAATATTAATTGTTGAAGCTGAGTGATGGATGATAAGCGCTTATTCTAGCATTATCACTATTTTTGCTTAAAATTTCCTTAATAAAAATATTAGGGACATGTGACAGGTAATTGCGATGTGCCACCAACCATTGCCCACAAGCACCACAAGATCTGTTGTTGCCACTCAAGTCCCAGATTTCTTTCCATGATGTCTCCCAAGATAGAAAAGTAGTCCCAAATTTAAAATCATAGATATGAATTGCAGGGAGATTCTGTTTAGAGCACAATTTGACCATTAAAAGTGATTAAAGGCAGAGCTTTTCTTATATTGTTCATCAAATTATATCCAGAGTCTAGCTCACTGATTGGCCCAGGATAGATGATAAGTAAATGTTTGTGGAAATTAAAATGCAAGATACACTCCGTGGCATCTCCATCCTGTCACCATCCACCACTTCCTTAGTTTGTTTCTGTCCTTTAGATTCTCTGGGCTACATTCAGAATCTGTTCCAATTAACCAGGGTTATGAGTTCCTGCTGTCTTGGTTTTGGTGTTGTGTGAGCACTGGTGCATCACAGGCAACTATTAACTCCTATTATCAGTAATGACCTCCCCCTCTTAAGAAACAACCCTCCTTCCAAGTGGGTGTTCCACATAAGTGAAACGGTAAAGAAGAGCAGTAATAGGTAAAACATGTTTCAGAGAAAGCAAAGCAACAGGAAGTTGGGGAGGGGAAAGCTGGGCTCCACTAAAACCCGGTAGAGAAACAGGGAGCGGGGAAGGAAAGCGAAATCGGGGCGGATTCAAAAACCCTGAGGACCTGTGGGAAAAAACCGTCAGACTTCTGGCCAGGAACTGAAATGTATGTCTGCAAAATATGTATAGCCAAGCAACTAACCACTTCAACCTCCCAATATCCTTTCTCTAGGCCCCTTAAGAGCTGTCTTCCCACACCTTCCACCCCCTTTCTCCAATAAAGTCCAAAATCAGCAATCAGTGTTGACATCAACGTGCAAACGGCTTAGAGCCCCAGGTAAAACAAAAGACGCCTGCAAAAAGGCAAACGAGAAAGGAACTCAAGGAAAGTTCATGATGGAAAAATAAACACAGGCAAAACAAACATCCACAGAGAGGAAAAAGAGGGAAACCAAAGAGACAAGATCGGCCAGAAAAAATAAGAACAAAAACAATGAGAAAAGCCAAGAACAAGGGGGAAAAAAAGGACAGACTAAAATAAAATACAGGCATAATTCTCCAAAGAAAAGTAGAGGAAAAGGCAGGGAGAGAATCAGCATTTGGGGCACAGGACTAAGAACTTTTACATAGATTGGCTCACTTAATCTTCACATCACTCTGAAAAGTGGATATCACTATCTCCATTTTGCAGAGGTGAAAATACAGGCCTACAGGCTTAAGTTATTGGTCTAAGTCTATATAGATAGAAAATGGTAGAGCAGAATTTCAACACGACTCTGCTAATTTCAAAACTTACACTCTCTTGCAGCCTACCCTGGGTTTAAAAATGTGACAAATGTGACTTTAAATTTGGTTGATTACATTCATTAATACTAGTAACCATATTTTTAATTATTCCTTTATTTTGGATAATTCCTTAAAATGAGTCGAATGCTTTTATTTCTTCCAAAACATTATACTTCTTACCCCACTCATCCTCCCACTTATAGACCTAAGAATCTCTCCCACATAGATGAAGCATCTAACCACACATAAGCAGCTAAGGCAAAAGAGTTGACACTACCCACCTGTTCAGGTGACTCTAAAGCTGTCACACACACACACACACAAGAAAAATACTCTTCTGGGACCAATCTGGGAAGGACTAAAATTACAGGAGGGAGAGTCAGGGTCAGTAGGTGACTGAGACTGACTCTAATATGAAAACATCTTTGAAGCTAATGATGAAACTGTGGGGACAATGAATGTGTGGATTTGGTGTGTTTTGGGGGACCTGAATGGTATATATCTTATTTCCTGTTAGGTCATAAGCTCCAACAGGGCACCTTTATCTTGTCCAAACACTACAATGCCTTAAACTTCAAAGGCACTCAAAGATTAGTCAATGAATGAATGAATACAGAGTCTTACATTACATCCTTGTGAATTTGAGGAGTATCAAGATACTCATTTTATTTTGAAAACGTAAAATTACTCTTAAATTTTTAAACATAGAATAAAGGAAGTCAGGATGGCATAACTAAGTTTCAGAACTGAACTAGTTCCTTTTTCAGCATAAGGAAAGTAGTCAACAGCTAGGACCTAGGGAGATGGCAGAAAGAAGTGCTAACCTGACTGCAGTCAGAGAGTATTGTTTTCCTTTAACCTTTAGGTTTTTCCCTACTAACTTTTCAGCATGTTCCCACCCATCGAAGTTCTTATATTCCACATTTAGTAGTATCGGATACACAAACAGGCTACAGAGTCTGTGCAAATAAAATGACTACCAAGCCTGATCTTCCATTGGGAACTCTAGAGCCCGTGGAAGTTTGAATCCTTCCACAAAGAACCCCTTCTCCAACATGACTTTACAGGCCCCTCGGATTTACTGGCTGGGCTCTGACTACTGTGTTGATTTTCCTGGTTCATAAAGCCAAGCAGAGTTCCTGCTGCCAGACAGGTGTATTTGTTTTTGAATGATAAGGACACTCACTTGCTCTCAGTTTAGACTAATAATAAACACTTCAGATATCCTTCTAGGTCTGAAAAGGAAAGAATAAAAAACTCTCCAGTAACAAAGTCTGTTAATGGAGTCCTATTCCTTAAAGAACATATGGCCTTGTACCAGAGCTGGGTGCTTGCTGCTGACCTTTCTGGTCAAGCAAACTCTCTGAATGTTGCCTTTGAAAGCCCTTTCCCATCAATAGAGGCCTCAGGTTAGGTTCATCTAATTATAAGGAAAGGGGGACTTCGAGAGTCAGGGGAAATCAAATAATTTCAAGAGTATATTGGCCCCAAAGAAATATCAGAGGGAGTCATTGCCAGTGAGGAAATCTATTTTTTTTTTTTTTTTGAGACGGAGTATCGCTCTGTTACCCAGGCTGGAGTGCAGTGGCGCTATCTCGGCTCACTGCAACCTCCGCTTCCCAGGTTCAAGCAATTCTCCTGCCTTAGCCTCCCCAGTAGTTGGGACTACAGGTGCATGCCACCACACCCGGCTAATTTTTTTGTATTTTTAGTAGAGACGGGGTTTCACCATATTGGTTAAGCTGGTCTCGAGCTCCTAACCTCAGGTGATTCACCCGCCTTGGCCTCCCAAAATGCTGGGATTGCAGGTGTGAGCCACCACGCCCAGGCAGAGGAAACCTTTTTCACTTCTTTAGCCTAGCAGCCTAAAAACATGCTGCCTGTGTGAGTGGACATTTGATGAATCAGTAACAAAAGCAGACACAGCAGGTCAGCCAGAAGAAAATAAAAGAGTGTGACAAAGGAAAATTCAAAGAGGAAGTAAACAGAACAAATTTGCATTCCTTTAAACCACCTAAAAACCTAATGTTGTAAATGGAGTGGTTTAGAAAGGAATGCATCCAAGGTCCATTCACAGCCCTCTGCCTTGGTTATCAAGGTGGTGGTGGATGACTTCTGGAATCAAGATGCCCAGAGACGTGAGGAGGGGTCAGGAAGACTGGCAGAGAAAGCTGGCTGCATCCTGGGCACCGATGCTGTAATCCTCTCCTGCCTCACGTTGACTGTTTGAGCTTCAGCCTCTAATCTTATCTTTCACTCTCGTTTCTTAATCAATCCTACTGTTGTTAACGTTGTTGATTTTTTGTTTTTTGGTTTTTTGGGTTTTTTTTTTAAATTCGTTTTTTGTTGTTGTTTGAGACAGGGTCTTACTCTGTCACCCAGGCTAGGAGTGCAGTGGCTTGATTTTGGCTCACTACAGCCTCAACCTCCTGGGCTCACACGATCCTCCCACCTCAGCCTCCTGAGTAGCTGGGACTACAGGTGCTCACCACCACACCCAGCTAATTTTTGTATATTTTGTAGAGATGGGGATCTTGCCATGTTGCTCAGGCTGGTCTCAAACCCCTGGGCTCAAGCAGTTGCCCACCTCAGCCTCCCAAAGTGCAGGGATTACAAGCATGAGCCACCATGCCAGGCCTGTTGTTGATTTTTTACCACCACAAATCACTTGAAAGCAGCTTGCCTTAGCGGGAATCTGACAGGTCTGAGCACTACCACTGCCGGTTGTCTCCCTCCCAGTTCTCGATGTTCCACTAATGCAAGAGGAAGGAACACCTCAGCCTGAGATAGGGTGATGATGAGGGCACGGCGCATCCATTGTCTCCAGGGCTGTTGGGGATGAGCACTGGCAGCACTGGCACTTCTTTGCTGAACCACGTTTCTGAAACTTTGAAACCAATGGCAGAAAAAAATGGCAACTCCTTCCATGAGATAAGCATGAAAGAGTGCTTGTGACAAATTTATCTTGCTTTGTCTTACTCTCTTCATGTGACTTCTTCCTGGGGATTTTAAGTCTCTACCAAACAAACTAACCCTTCTCTTTCTCCAGTTGTTTTACATTGTTTTGGTTCCCAAAACAACCTTTCTCTGGAATATTTTACTTACACCTTTGTTTCTTTCCCTCCAATGCTTTTGCAGTTGGTTGAAGAGATGTATTGTTCTCTTTCCATTTTTTTTTTTTTTTTTTGAGATGAAGTCTTGCTCTGTCACCCAGGCTGGAGTGCAGTGGCTGGATCTCAGCTCACTGCAGCCCCCACCTCCCCGGTTTAAGCAATTCTCCTGCCTCAGCCTCCCGAGTAGCTGGGATTACAGGCATGCGCCACACCATGCCCAGCTAATTTTTGTATTTTTAGTAGAGATGGGATTTCACCATGTTGCCCAGGCTGGTCTTGAACTCCTGACCTCAAGTGATCTGCCTGCCTCAGCTTCCCAAAGTGCTGGGATTACAGGCCTAAGCCACCACACCCGGCCTGTTGTTCTCTCTTGAAAATGCAAAATTACTCCTAAATTTTCAATTTAATTCTAGATGGCAAATACATGTGTATTTGTTATTTTAATAACCTTCCTCTAACTTGAAGATGTTTCATAACAAAAAAGGAAAGAAAGGGTAATAGAAGAACTTGCGCATTCTGGCTGTTTTCTCTTCCTTGAAGTTAGGATACAGTTAGAAAATTTACTATTTAGAAAATGAAATGTATGTGTTCTGAAACATCCCTTTCCCAGATGCAAGTTTGGTATACAGTGAGCATGACATGTTCCGGAGGATTGCTAAGGAAGAAACTGTGCAGTCACTCCCTGTTCTGTGCATATTTGCCTCATGGGTTCTTCTTGTCTCGCTTTTTTATAAATTATATTCCTTTTTTTCAATTGTTTTACCACAGAGTTATTCCAGTATAAATGTCTTCTTAAGAGAAATATACTCAAGTATGTAGGGATGACGAGTCTGCAATCTCCTTCATTAGTTCATAGATAGATAAACTGATGGATACATAGATGCCTAGATAAATATATGCATAGTTAAAAAATAATTTATTAAAATATAATGGAAAGTATGTGTGTATTATTCTTTCACTTTTTCTGTATGCTGACATTTTTTATGATTAAAACTTAAAAGAATGAATGAGAGGAAAGAAGAGATGGAAAGAATGAAAGAAAGAAAAAGAAACAGAAGAAGAAAGGAAGAAATAAATGATTTCTTAAGACAGACCCCCTGAAGATGTAGTGTTTAGCTGGTTTGTTCATTCTGAGAGCTTCCATGGTCAACAATAGCTTACAACATTACATTTTAATAACCTTATGTCCAATTATTATAAATTACACAATCACTTTGTGAAATTTGATACCAGCTCCACTAGACTTCTCAGTGAACCTTCACAGAGCAACTTCTCTGAGAATCCTCTAAAGTTTAGCTGTAATCTTCTTCTGGCCATTCTGTGGGTCTGATTTATAGGTGAGATCTGCTTCAGCATAAATACCTCACCCCTACTCTTTTCAGCAGTTCCAGGAATCTTTTTATTGTTGACCACCTGTCTTGAACTAGTCAAGGTAGGTATTGTTGACTGGATGACCCCACCAGTAGTCACAACTTAGCCACCTAGCCCCAGCCACCTCTACCTGAGATGGCATATGTCACAGTTCTAGCCTTATAACATATGTGAAAATCTGGTGGGTGAGTTCTGAATAAATTCTTGTTTTCCTCATTAAATGGGCCTTATCACCATTTTACCCTTAAGCCTTTGTCCTTTGGCCTTTAACTCCTTTTCCTTCTTCCTGCTACAATGTAAACATGAGTTCTGGAACTCTAGCAATCTTCTAGAGATTCTGAGGTGACCAAAGAAGAATGACAGTGGAGTGGCAAGAAGAAAAATGTCTAGGTTTCTGATATCACTGGTAAGCCACCTTGCCAGCCTTGGAATTCCTTTTGAGAAAAATAAATAATGGCCCCTAAGAGTGAAACCTTATAGAAGGGTTTTCTATAATTTGCAGCTGAAAGCAGGTCTCACTGACTTGACGAACTTTATCACCTTCTAGAAGATTTGGTCCTGGCATAACAAGAGTCACTCCCAGACTCATACTGTCCACTCATGATACCCTAATCAGAGCTTGGGCTGCCCACAAGTTACCAAGGGAGTGAGTCTTTCATGTGCCACATTTTTACACTCCACTGAGAGACTGATCTTAGGTTCTGAGCGTGACTGTTTCTTTTATTTTCTTCAAATCCTTCTTCCAAAAGAGCAACGTGATTTTTTTCAGACCTGTGGACTAGGTCCAATTCTCTCAGACAAGGCAATCTTGCTACTTTCACCCCTGGAGAGTTACCCAAGTATTGAGCCAAAGAAATTGAATATAGTCTATGAGTCAGTAATCATACCCATGAAATTTTTCAAGAAATAAATCTTCCTCTGGCCTATAGATATGTCTGGAGACTCTGGGAAAAGAATCCTGGACTTCCCATTGGGTAGAGAGACAGAAAGAAAAGATATTCTTTGTTCTCATAAACTTCCAAAGAACAATTTAAGTAAATAAGGTTCGACTAATAACTCTGGAGATAAAATCCTTTACCTTGGCATTGCTGAAATGCAAGCCAAGACAGAACGAATTTTCCCTGCCACTAGTCCTCAGGCCTTAGTTTTGTACTGGGTCCCAAAATGATTTCTGTTTTGGAAACCCCAAACCACGCAAAACTTGGTAGGTCTGGAGTTTGTACATAGGAATAAAACAAGCCAAGTTTCCTCCTGACCTTGGCTAACCTTAAAATCAATCGTTCTTCCAGTGCTGGTCTGGCCAACAGTGAAGCTTGTGGTTTCATCTTGGTTTTACCACAAAACTTTGTGATGAAACATTAAGAACCCACTGAGATTTGTACTTCCATTCTTGTCTTGTTTCAAGTTATTTTTGCAAAACCTGGTGAGTTCTGTAGCATATGACTATATCACCCTAATATTTCTCTTCTGTTGTGCATGGGCTTAGAACCAAATTTCTGCCCAGAAGCAGTTTTTGAGAACCCAGTGATGAAAAGGCAGAAAATATCACTAAAATCCAGTCAGTGTAACATCAAGAAGATTCTACAGATCTGATAGAAATCTATGTGATACCACACTATTACACCAACTAAAGCAACAATTCAAATAATTTGAAACACAGTAAAGAAAAAACTTGCTGGGGGCTGGGTATGATAGCATAAAGGAGTTGGAGGAAAGAAACCCAAGAATTGACAAATGCTGCCCCAGACTAAAAGTACAAGAAACACAGAACTGGCATAGCACTGTGAGAAACCCAAGAGACAAATAAGAGGCTGGGATTTACCCCCAATAAAGAGTAGCTCCATGGTTTCTAGCCCACAAATCTGGGTTAAATCAAGAAACACATGTAGAGAAAATTCAAAAATCTGAATGTGCAGTCATTAGCAAGGACAGAGTACTTTAGTCTCATGAGCTGATTGTGCCATTGTAGGTGTAAAAATTAACATCTTCATTCTGTATTCTAGCTTTGAATTGGTGTTGATAAAAATAAGCATGCCAAGTATTAAGTGGTCTTATCCAATATGGATTGTCATCACTAGAAATCTTTGGGAAAATATCACCAAGCACCCATCATTTTCTCATAAAAATAGTGAATTCTAACCCCCTTCGGTTATGAGGTACCTGACCTGAATATAACTAAAAGTAAAAACAGAAAGCTCTATATGCCTTAAGCCCCTTCGAAACCTGAATCCTATTTTGTAGGTTTAGAAATTTAGCCACAAAAACTAATTAACCAACCTTGGAACAGAGAATTTTTGCTTCATCCCAACAGACTCTTGTGAATTATGTATGATGTTTTTCGGTGATAGTAAAAGGGAAACCAGGGAAGGAGAGATACGCACCACCAACTACTATAAAATCATGAAAGCAGAAAACCAGTCTCATGTCAAGAATATACTAGGGACAATCCTTGGGTCAGTGATAATATACAGACCAATTCCTGGAACTTTAAAATTTCTGCAAAAGCGATCAGGAATGACCCAAGGAGAAGACTAGATAGATGACTGTCACTTCCCCAGGGCCCCTCTTTCTCCACCTCTCCCAGGTAGCTAGCATACAAAGTGTGCTATGCAATTTTCATGTCTTTCTCAAGGGCCAGACTGATAGAAACTTCATGAAGTTCTAATAGATCGAGGCTGGGCACAGTGGCTCATGCCTGTAATCCCAGCACTTTGGGAGGCCAAGGCAGGAGGATTGCTTGAAGCCAGGAGTTCACGACCAGCCTGGTAACACAGCGAAACACTGTCTACAAAAAAAAACAAAAACAAAAAACAAACAAAAAAAAACTCCAGGCATGGTGGCTCACGCCTGTAATCCCAGCATTTTAGGAGGCCAAGGCAGGCGGATCACTTGAGGTCAGTAGCTTGAGACTAGCCTGACCAACATGGTGGAACCCCGTCTCTACTAAAAATACAAAAATTAGCCGGATGTGGTGATGCACGCCTGTAATCCCAGCTATTCGGGAGGCTGAGGCACAAGAATCACTTGAACCTAGGAGGTGGAGGTTGCAGTGCGCTGAAATCACGCCACTGCACTCCAGCCTGGGTGACAGAGCCAGACTCTGTCTCAAACAAAAAAAAAAAAAGAAGAAGAAGTTCTAATAGATCAAGACGTGTATCTATTTATCCTAAAGAGTCATTTCTACCTTCTTGACCTCAATGAAAATCACAAGTTGCCCCAATGCTGCTATGAGTTCCAATCTACTGAATTGCCCCATAGGTCACAGGTCAAGTTACCTCCAAGGAACTGATTACAATAAAGTGATACAAAGAGGCACTTCTCCCCTAAATACCAACCCTGGGCTGTGGCTCCAAAGCCAAAATTCTAGGACAAGATCACATATTTGACATCAAAGCCATCACAGCCAACGGGCCCCAATTTCCTACCCTTCTGCAAGATATACATATAGCCTCCCTATGGTAAAAAGCCACCCACCAACTGCCTATGTCACCAATGTATAAAATTCAGTGAGCTCATAATATAAACAGAGGACTATTTACTATACTCTTGGCACTGGCAAACTTATAAACAATAGCTCAGTGGAATATTTTTGCATTGAGTTTGTTTCCTGAGTATGTTTTTCTTATAAATCTGCATGCTTATCCAAAGACCACATAACTCATTAGGCATTACAGCTGTCCTTGTGACCTAAAATCAAAGGGGTGTTACTTGGGCTCTTTCCCGTTGAAA
This sequence comes from Homo sapiens, assembly GCF_000001405.40. Lineage (NCBI taxonomy): Eukaryota > Metazoa > Chordata > Mammalia > Primates > Hominidae > Homo > Homo sapiens. The sequence goes on from NC_000014.9 coordinate 60,625,476, forward strand.
ACTGTAAATGATTTACCATTCTTGGTTTAAGGTTCAGGAAAGAGTTTCTGTACATTGGCCAGCAGGTGGCACTCACATCCAAGGCTATGAGGCGTTTTCCTGCTAGCCAAGGAAATCTTTGTTCACAAAATATTGGTTCATTACAGTTCAGTAAATACTAGGTAGATGACTTTTTAGTAAAAGACCGTGAATTTCACTCCTAGTGTCTTCTTAAATGTTGGCATTGGAGGCCGGGCACAGTGGCTCACGCCTGTAATCCCAGCACTTTGGGAGGCCGAGGCGGGCGGATCACAAGATCAGGAGATCCAGACTATCCTGGCTAATACGGTGAAACCCCGTCTCTACTAAAACTACACAAAATTAGCCGGGCGGGGTGGCGGGCGCCTGTAGTCCCAGCTACTCGGGAGGCTGAGGCAGGAGAATGGCGTGAATCCGGGAGGCAGAGCTTGCAGTGAGCCCAGATTGGGCCACTGCACTCCAGCCTGAGCGACAGTGTGAGACTCCATCTCAAAAAAAAAAAAAAAAAAAATGTTGACATTGGATATAAGCAGGCACTCTATTTGTGTCATTTTTTTTTTGCATGAAGTAATGCGAATGGAGAAATTTCATACTGAAAATATGTGTTTGTGAGCACCATTATTTGGCCCAAGGTACTTCTGTCGTCCCTTTCCTTGGCAATATTTGGAATAGGATTAAGGACTCACATACTAATTTGAATGTTTAAAAAGCAAGCCAAAACCATTTTTTTTTTTTTTTTTTTTTTGAGACGGAGTCTCGCTCTGTCGCCCAGGCTGGAGTGCAGTGGCGGGATCTCGGCTCACTGCAAGCTCCGCCTCCCGGGTTCACGCCATTCTCCTGCCTCAGCCTCCCAAGTAGCTGGGACTACAGGCGCCCGCCACTACGCCCGGCTAATTTTTTGTATTTTTAGTAGAGACGGGGTTTCACCGTTATAGCCGGGATGGTCTCGATCTCCTGACCTCGTGATCCGCCCGCCTCGGCCTCCCAAAGTGCTGGGATTACAGGCGTGAGCCACCGCGCCCGGCCCAAAACCAATTTTGAATAAGAATGAATTAAGCAGAAATAAATAAAGACAGTCCTTGCTAAAGAGTCTCTTAATATAACAATAGTGGCTACATTTGCCAAGTCATAGTTCATGAAGGTCTAGAAATTGTTTTGTAAAAAGGGTTGAAATTTAATTATCCATAGACTATGCTTAGAATATATTTACCACTGAGTCACATGTACAAATTTTTTTTTTCTTTTGAGATGGGGTCTTGCTTTATCTCCCAGGCCAGAGTACAGTGGCACAATCATGACTCACTGTAACCTTAGGCTCCTGGGCTCAAGCGATCCTCCTGCCTCAGCCCCCTGAGTTGCTAGGGCTACAGGTGTGCATCACCATGACAGCTAATTTTTTGTAGAGACAGGGGTCTTGCTACATTGCCCAAGCTTGTCTTGAACTCCCCTCAAGCCATGCTCCTGCCTTGGCCTCTCAAAGTGCTGGGAATACGGGTGTGAGCCACCTCTCCTGGCCATACTAATTATTATTAATAATCCATATATCTCCACCTTGAAGAAGCAAAATCAATCACCCTATTATTTTAGTAAATAGAGATACAATAAAGTCTTATTGGCTGTATAAGACCAGGTATACTACTAGCTAGCACTACCACTTGCTGAGCACTTATTACATGTCATACGCTGTCAAAAACCTGCAACATACAGCAATTTAATCTTTACGGCAACCTTATGAGGAAGGTAGCACAATTATCTTCACTTTGCAGAAAAGGAAAATAAAGGTCAGAGGCAAGTTACATAATCTATGTAAGCCTCATCTCATTTTTAAACTGTGAATAACAGCATAGACATGTCTTATAGTTGAGTCCCGGTCAGGCACAGTGGCTCACGCCTGTCATCCCAGCACTTTGGGATGCTGAGGCAGGTGGATCACACGAGGTCAGGAGTTCGAGAGTAGCCTGGCCAACATGGTGAAACCCCGTCTCTACTAAAAATATAAAAATTAGCCAAGCTTGGTGGCATGCACCTGTAGTCCCAGCTACTTGGGAGGCTGAGGCAGGAGAATCGCTTGAACCCAGGAGCTGAAGGTTGCAGTGAGCCGAGATCACACCACTGCACTCCAGCCTGGGCAACAGAGAGAGACTCTGTCCCATTAAAAAAAAAAAAAAAAAGTCCTTACAAAGCACTTAGCATGATAAGTGTAACTCTTGAATGTGTGATTACTATTACAACTACCCAAGGATTACTGCTACTATTTATTTATTTATTTTGAGACAGAGTCTCACTCCATCACCCAGGTTGGAGTGCAATAGCACGATCTCCGTTCACTGCAATCTCCGCCTCCCAGGATCAAGCGATTCTCATGCCTCAGCCTCCCAAGTAGCTAGAATTACAGGTGCACGCCACCACACCCGGTTAATTTTTGTATTTTTAGTAGAGACCAGGTTTCATCATGATGGCCAGGCTGGTCTTGAACTTCTGACCTCATGTGATCTGCCTGCCTTGGCCTCCCAAAGTGCTGGGATTACAGGTGTGAGCCACCACGCCCAGCCAACTGCTACTATTTATTATTAGTAGTAGTATAGAGGTTATTTGCTCAGGGTCACACAGACAGTATGTGACAAAGTTGGAATTTGAACTCAGGTCTATCTGACACCAAAACTTGGGTGCTTAGCCAGTAGGAGATGATGCCTCTAAATGACAAATCCAGGGTAATTCTGAGAATAAAATAACACTTCTAGAAATATGAAAGTGTTATTTCATATTAACACTTTTATGGAGAGAACATACAAGAATGGTCATCCAGCAATAGAAGCCCATCTCTTTAAAATTTCTCCTTCCAGACCCAAACACACATACGAAGCAAATGTCTCCTCCCACTCATCTTGCAGGTCAAGATGACCTTTTATCTATCTGACCAAAATATGATATCTTGATGGTCATAAAACTATATCCTTCTCAAGGGAGGAGGGTAAGGAACTAGAAGTTAATGAAGAAACATGACTGGTGCAAGCCAGAAACACCCAATATTGAGCCAAGATGACCACACCATAGAATGCAGAACCAAGTCTTTATCCTGGCTGATACAGTACCAGCAATATGACTTTGAGTGAACTATGTAGTTCAGGCATATAAATCACAGTGAATGGTGATGCTGAACCATGGCATTAAGGGACAAGTTCTCTGAATAGTGGCCTTAGTAAGATTGGTGTGATTTTTGAAATATTTCTTGATATGGTTCTAGTTCACCCACCAAGTTAATTTCACGCATTTGCCATTCTTCTAGCTGCCTTGGAATTCATATGTGAAATTGTTTTGGATCAGTATATTAAAATAGTTCAATGAAACCCCATTCCTTATTTATCAGGATAAAGTAAATTGATTTAAATTACATTGTTTTAGGTTTCTGACCCCCAAGATTTCTCTGTGTGTCTGTGTTTTAAGCTATCATTTCTCAAACACCTACTATTTGCTAGGCATTAGGCCTACCCTTTAAATACATTAATAGGAGAAATGTTCCTATCACTCACTGTCCCTTATACTCCTGAACATCATTCTTTCATCTATTCAAAAAGCATCCATGAAGCACCATCTAGGTATTTGGCACTGAGCTGGGCACTGGTCATACAAAGATAAATAAAGTGCACCCTCTCATATGATAGATACCCATCTTCTTCCTCTATTTATCTTCCCTCAGATGCCATCTATGCCTTAAAACTTAGACAGAATTATGGACGAGAAAATAAAGAACACAAAGGGAAATTAGGTTCAGTAATAAACAGGAGTAGGGGAATGTCCAAGAACAAAAGTTTGGAAAAATATAAAACCGATCAGACTCTCCTCAGGTGCTCCATATGGATCAGGTCTTACTAGAAATCTCTTACCTGGGAACTTTAAACAAAGGACAGTCAGCCTCTAATATCAGGATGACATCTGGCAACCTGAGAACACTCCAGAGACATTTATTCAATATTCAGAAAAGAAAACTACATGTCTAGGTTCTTTATAAATCATCAGAGTCAAGGTTTTCTTGTTGAGGGGAGGAAGAAAGAAAAAGGAATGATAATGCTACCTTCTGAAGTTGACCAAGACAAAGTCTCTAAATCATCACAAGCTGATCCTATCTAAAGTATGGACAATTTGAAAATCCATGAGATATTTTCCAGATTTTAGCCCAAGTCCTAGACCCCTTGAGGTTTAACTAATGTGCTAAACTCGAAATGATACTTGCCCCTCTAAACCCTTTCTGAACAAGACTAGAAGGGGTTTATTGAGAGCATAATTACTGCTTCTGGAAATAACACCAGAAAATGTTTTTTAAAGGATAAATACTGAGGTGTTTTGAGTGGGCATCAAAGGTGGCAGTGAACTTCTGCCAAGAACCTTAAAAGGCAACCACAATGCAGTAAACTCAGCCTGTTCTGATGGGTTATCTAGAACCTTAAATGTTTTTTTTTCTAGCCACCCTGAACTCTTAACAAGAAGATGACAAACCACAGGTTAGACAACTGCAATAAAGGATGTTATTTATTATGTACAAGTTACACTCTTAATAAATTATCTTTGCCAACATGCTGAATACAGTAAGGCATTCAGGCAGCTGGTGTACTCTTTAGCAGATCTCTAAGATATGATTCTACTAAAAATATAGAAAGAAATTTTAAAACATAAAAAGATAGAAATAGAACCCTGATGGCCTGAAAGCTTTTGTGTACCTTAACAGACCTGTAATTTACTAAGGGGTGAGGGAAAAGGTTGACTGAAGCTGCCTGCCTAATCTAGATTTACAAACTGTTTATAAAATTGGAGCAGTCAGTCCAATAAACATTATGCTTTCTGTACTGCAAATGGCCAGTTTCACTGCATTTGAAGTAGTTGTTGTTTTATGGGAATGTGATGCCAGTTTTCTATAGGCACAGCCTTAGGCATTTGGAAGAATCTAGTTTAAAAAGTGTAACCATAGTTTATACACATGCTTATACTTGTTAACCAATACAACTACAATTATTCCAAAAAGACACTGTTTATATTAGATTTGTTTTTCTGGGTTTAATACAGAGTTAAACACCAATAAATTCACTGAATGTAGTTAGATAAAAATCTTGCTCTCATTACCTTATGAACATTTACTATGGTTAACACCTTCCTGGGGTAATCTGGCAGTATTTTTGTTTGGATTTTTTTTTAATTAAAAAAAATGCTAGCAAAGGTAAAGAGTCACAGTTTAAAGACAAAGATCATTTTTCTAAATTTTTTATAATAAAAATACTTATCTCCCCCAAACATGAATGACGTATATATTAGATACAACTTAATGAAACCAGCCTACACCTTTGTTATAAAATATGTGATGTTACCATGATGCTTTTCTAGGTAATTGTACTTCCCATTTCTCAGGGACAATTTGTCTCCAAGGCTACCTGGACGGTTTTTAGTTTCCACAATCTTATCAAGAGAGATCAGGCAGGGTGATAAGGCTATCCCATATACAGTTGTATCTGGAGGCCATGGCCAAATCCTCACTGTTAGCGCTACACTTGACCCAAGAACCATTTTGTGGATTGCTCGTGAATAATATTTTTAACCATAATTCTCTACTCATTGTTAGAAAGGAGAGCTTTCTTTATATTTAACTGGTCAACTCTTTAAAATAAATGTGACCTCAACTCTATGAATTAACCAGTGGCCATGAGCAGATTCTTTCTGAGACAGCCACATTAAATCATTCTACCAGGAGGGCAGAGGCCTTTCACGATGGTGGTTTTCTAACTATTGCCAAATTCTCAAGGTAGAAAAGTGTTCCTATAAGAGTTAGAGGTACACTCCACTACCTCTTTTCCTTGCATTCACAAACAAAGACAGTACTAAGTTGGAATTCTCATGAGATGCTTACTGTTTTCAACCTTACTTTTATTATCATTGCTTGTACATACATGGCCAGCAATTTCACTTTGCCAGAGATTTCATTCTAGGCAAAATTTCTAATTTAACTGTAACACTCAGAGCATATCTAAATATTTGGATTCATTTCTGATGAAAACAAAGGGGCCAGAAGTTTAGAAGAGATCTCTGTGCTGACATGTCTGCTTTCTAGATGCAAAGCATTTGGCTCAACCAGGCAGCACAAGTTCACTCAATTATCTAATCCCTTCTAGCATTACATTTTTACTTTTTCAAATCTTTAGCTAATTATAAGCACAACTTTATCAGCAAAAGAGAGAAAACGTTTTTTCTTACCCCTTTTGATTCAACTTCATTACCAACTCCAATGTCTCCCCCCTACAAGCCTTAATTAATTACCCACTGTTGATGAATGAGTCAATGATTCAATAGTGTTTATTTCCATTAGTAAAGACAATTGCATAGAATCTACCTGGCATGGTTATGAGAATGTGTGAAAGAGGAAGATATAGGGAAAAGAAAGAGCCAAGCTTTTGAGAGATTACTAGATAGGTCAAATTGCTGAGAAAATAAGTAAGTTACAGTAATCTCTCACTTCACATACATTACCAAAAACTATGGTCCTTAGGAATTCACTGCTGGTTCTGTTTACTGTCTCCAAATAGCTGATCCAAGATAAGAAATTTTTTTCTGACATTAAGCTGATTCGTGAATGCACATTGTCTAAGATGGTACTTCATCTTAATAACCCATTGATTTCTATAAAACTCAATAATCGATTTTTTTCTTACTGAAAAAATTTACCAATCTGGTAGTCATAAAGAGATACAGTATACATATAATAGCCATCAGTATTATAGTCTCAGTAATTCACCTACACTAAGCAAGCTTATATTTTTCTTCCATAAAAAGTATTTATAAACATTATAACTTTTTGTTCAATCTTAAGAGGTTAAATCAATTAAAATATGAATAAATAGAAAGTCTTCAAAGCTTCCTCAGCCATCAGCTTAACAGCCATCCACATACACACAAAAGATACCACACTAAAATCTAGAACAGGAAGTAAAGAATAAATACCACTTCCAGTTATGACTGGAACATAAAGGCGCATACGCCAGGTCTTACATCTGAATTCCAGCCAGGATGCCAGCATCGTTGATACTACTTCCAAGAGAACTAAAAAATATTAAGGTGAATTGTGTGGTCAGGACTTGATGTTTTATTTCTCAGCTCTTAAGAAATGTGGCATCTTAGAATTCTCTTCTCTTAATGGATAAAATACTGTAACTTCAACTTTCGACCAGTTGATGTACTGGGTCAGAAAGGGCTAATGGTGGACTTAAAAATAATAGTTGGCATCAAATTAGCCTTCACAATACAAACTGGCTTGTGGACAAAGAAGGAGCTACAGATCAGGCTCTGGACCTGCTGCCTCTTACCCACTCTACCCAGGGAGGCATGAAATCACCAAAAGCATTTCCCGTAGGAAACCACAAACCCCAATACCTCTGGTCCCACCTGCATGTCCTCTGTACAAGGGTTGGCCCACCCCAATTCTGTTTAACTCTCAGAGCCAGCGGGTATACAACTGCAGCAAACCACTGAATTTCACAATGTAACTTGAGACAAACTGAATCTGAAAGGCTATTTTATGGGTATTTTGCCTCCACTCCTGCAGGTAACACAATCCACAGTTCACCCACTGGCTAGCAGTATTTGACTCTCCTAATCCTCATTACCATACTTCCTTTGGTATACTTCTCAAGGGAAGTATGGCTGAGAACACCAGCAAAGAAAATAGGTCTTTCTTAATCGCTCGTGTTGTTCATAAAAAATATAATGGAAGATTAAAATCAATCTTAAGTCTTGTTTGTGAGTTTTGTTTATATCTCCACAAAGATTTTGTACTTTTGTTTTACTATGTTTATTATCTATTTAAGGTAGTTATCCATATCAAAATCTTCATTGTCCTAAAGTTATACATGATCTAATAATAAAAAGGGGAAGAGATCACAAATTACAATATTTTTCATGAGCATGTTTTTACAGCAAGTTTGCCACCATAAAATGCTGAAAAGTTGAACTTTGAGAAATGAAGCTGATATTTCATTACATTCTCTGTTTAGCTCAGTTAACTAATGTTGAAATTTTTACTTTTTTTTTTTTTTTTGTGACGGAGTTTCACTCTGGTCACCCAGGCTGGAGTGCAATGGCAAAATCTCAACTCACTGCAACCTCCACCTCCCAGGTTCAAGTGATTCTCCTGCCTTAGCCTCCCAAGTAACTGGGATTACAGGCGCCTGCCACCATGCCCAGCTAATTTTTGTATTTTAGTAGAGATGGGGTTTCACCACGTTCACCAGGCTGGTCTCGAACTCCCAACCTCAGGTGACCCACCTGCCTCAGCTTCCCAAAGTGCTGGGATTACAGGCATGAGCCGCTGCGCCCAGCTGAAATTTTTACATTTTATTTGAAGTTGACTTAATTTTCCATTGTTTTGGGCTTTAATCAAAAGGAAAAAATATTTTTAACAGTTGACAGACCAGTCAGCTATCTGAGATTGACCTATAATTAAAATCATAAAATGTTATGCATCATGAAATATGCTGAAAACGTCTAGTATGTTATCTTCTAAGCACTCCATGAGGGCTAATTCATTTTACCTATAACTAATTTCCAGTAGAAAGAGAGTTACCATACTTCTGAGCATACTGACAAGTCTTTCAGTTTCATGAAGGCTAAGTGATTGAACAGGAACTACTATCTCGGCAGTTATATATATAAATTCTTTGAAGAAATTCTACAATTGAAGGGCCTAGATTTCCACAGTTATTTTATTTCACCATGATAGATCTGCTGAGTAGAAATAAGACTCCCCTCTTTATCCAGCCTTCAAGTTCAGTCATATATTTTTTTATTTGAAATGAACTAAAGCTGATTTAGAGCGGACATGCCTTTTGGAATGCCCTGAGGCCTTTCATTTCTTGAATGATATGCTAAGGTTTGGAATCTACCCAAACCTCCTCGAAGAACCCTCTGCAAAGTTTAATCTAATTTAAATTTACTTATTCCTCAGCATAAAGTGCTCTTTCTTATTTCTCTTTGTTTTTTCGAGTGAGCACATGGACATATTTTTGTGTTTCTAAACATTTGGATGCTGGAACAATATAAAAAGAAAAAATACTACATATTTTATTCTAGTCATGTTAAAAGTTGTGGCAGAAAAATATAATTCTTAGAACTCCTGGCCCTGGTATTATGCAAATCATTTCACAATATGCAAATAATTAAGCTGCAGTGTAATCACAGTTCCTACCAAATGTTTCTCCGATTATTAGACACATTCTTAAAAGTGATGGACCTGAAGTTTCACTTTATCTTCTATCCATTTCTGTGTACTGATTACATTTAAATCTTTGCTTTGCAAATAAAAGTAGTATTAGAACATGTATTTGCCAAAAATATGTGTGTAAACAAGTATAATTTTGCAGGCATAAAGCAGAGTATAAATATATAACAAGTCTTTAGGTAAATTATTAAACATGCATCTGCTGTTTCCAGCTCTACTTCCAGGAATTTGTGAGTGTAATACATAATTTTTTTTTTTTTTTGAGATGGAGTTTTGCTTTTGTTGCCCAGGCTGGAGTGCAATGGCATGATCTCAGGTGACTGCAACTTCCGCCTCCCAGGTTCAAGCGATTCTCCTGCCTCAGCCTCCCAAGTAGCTGGAATTACAGGCTGAGATGGGTGGATTACCTGAGGTCAGGAGTTCAAGACCAGAATTTTTTTATTATTACTATACTTTAAGTTTTAGGGTACATGTGCACAATGTGCAGGTTTGTTACATATGTATACATGTGCCATGTTGGTGTGCTGCACCCATTAACTTGTCATTTACATTAGGTATATCTCTTAATGCTATCCCTCCCCCCTCCCCCCACCCCAGAATTTTTTAAACAAACAAAAAAAAAGTGTTCAACTCTTTCTGAGCCTATATGGTGATTGACTACAAATTGATTAACTTCTCTAAATTTAAAATTTAAACATACACAGTTTTTAGTTGGCCAGGATACTTTTGAAGAAAATAAAGATGATGGAAGAACATGTAGTGTTAAACAACTAAATAAAAAATGGTTTTCCAGGCCAGGCTCAGTGGCTCATGCCTATAATTCCAGCACTTTGGGAGACTGAGGCAGAGGATTGCTTGATTCCAGGAGTTCAAGACCAGCCTGGACAACATAGTAAGACCTCATCTCTACAAAAAATAAAAATAAAAAACAAAATTAGCCACGCATGTAGTCCTAGCTACTTAGGAGGCTGAGGTGGGAGGACCATTTGAGCCTGTGAGCTCAAGGCTGCAGCAAGCCGTGATTGTGCCACTGCAGCAAGCCATGATCGTGCCACTACACTCTAGCCTAAGCAACAGAGTGAGAGCCTGTCAAAAAAAAAAAATCTTTCCAGTAGTAATAACAGTGAAATAACTGTGAAGGGATTGCAGTGCATGAGGATCCATCCTTAAAAACACCTACCACAGGCATACTCCACCTACTCTCTAGGTTTCATATCTACTTGTGCTGGGGTTGTTCCTCCTACCAATAGTTCTCTGGTTCTACCACTGCATCATTCTAGGGAGAAACAGTCCCCTTCCTGTTCCTCTCTCCCCGCTCCCACTTTTACCCAAGAAAATTTCAGCTATGCATTTTGCTTTCAATAATACCTGAATGAGAAAGTCCTTGAAATAAGAGAAGGATGTATTATATGTCAAAATGAGCTATTCATCCCTGGTGATCATTAGAGTGTCACAAGAGAAGAAATGTACCCAGGAGGGTCTTGCAAAATTTCAACTCTGGGAAATGTGTTCTATCTAAAGACTCTCCATCATTTCAGCAGCCCATTCATTTACTCAAAAATATTTATCAGGTGCCATTATATCCAGCACTGTGTTAACATCAGCAAGACATTAAATCTTAAAAGTAGTTTCTTATTCTACACTTATGTTGACACATTTAGGTGGGGCCTTAAATTCTCTACTCAGCTAAATGCTTTAGTTCTCTTCTAAGTAATTTGTCATTTTCCGTCACATTTAAGTGGGTTTTATTTTTTATCAATAGAATTCTACCATATATAATGACATTTACGTAAAAGTTCAAATCATGAGAAATAGCGATAGCAAAATCCAAGCATTACAGATTTAAATATTCTTCCGGAATTAAATTACTGGAGTTAAACTTCTAGATTCCAGACTCACAGTTTCAAGAACTAAATTTCAGCTTTGACTACCCTCAAAGTCTAATCAAGCCCTATGTCTTCATAGAATAACTTGCGTTTCTTTTCGTGATCCAGAAAAGGAGGAAATGGCCATAATCTGCCCTCACTACAAACTCTAGCATCACGGGAATTTTCCCAGGCGGCTTTGTGGCAGTCTAAGGAGGCTCCAAGCATGTTATAACTGCTATTCATTTAACGTCTATAGTGCCAAGCACTTTACATTCAAGACTTTGGCTAATTTTAAGCTTCCCTTGCAGTCTAAATATTGTAGTTCCTATTTTCCCGAAGAGGAAATCGAGGCTCAGAGATGTTAACTTGACTCAAACCAATGCAATTTGTGTGTGCCAGCGATGCATCTGTGACATTGCCCCATCAATTCTCTCCACAATGTGTTTGTACGTTTAAGAAAGAAAAAACAATCATCCGTGAAGGTTGAGGAGAGAGATGGGGGTTGATAATGTTGTCTGAGAAAGATTTCTGAACACAAGGGGAAATTTAAAAAGAAAATTCTGTAACAAAACAAACCAGTCGCAGCTGTTTGGGTTAAGGGGGAAAACTCGCCTTGAGGGGTCCTGGGTATACTTCCTCCTATCTACGGCTAGGCTGCGCCTGCATCAGGCGTGGTGATTGGCAGGCGCCTACGGCCCACGCAGAGATGGCCGCGTGGGGGTCGGAGCGCCAACTTCTCAGCTCCCCTTCTCCCATGACCCTCACCCCCCACACCATCTTCAGCCGCCCACTGGGAGCTTCCTCCACCCCTACCCCCCAGTGCCGGCGAGGCCCCCTGGCAGATGGAAGCTGCTGACTGATGGGGGCTGCCGAGCGCGAGGGAGCTGAGTGAGGCCCTTGCGCCCTAGGCGGTTGCACCCCGGACCCCTGCAGCTGTGGACGCCGGAGCTGTGCGCAGTCATCCTGAGCCAGCCCGCGGGGCCCGATCGGAAGGGACGCCTCTCCTAAGAGCTGGCCTGGAGTCCTGGAGCCTCCAAGCGGGCAAGTAGGGGCCGCAAAGGCTGGGCTGGGCCTCCGCTGAGGCCCTCGGGGGCCTCTGGGCCCTCATGGCCTGGAGGCCGCGCGGCCCAAGCCCCTAGAGCAGAGGCCGCGCTAGCCTGCAGGGGTCGACGCAGGGCCGGAGGCAGCGGCTTTTCCTTCCCACTCCGGGTTGACCCTAAAGACACGATTTAACGTGGCGGCGGCAGCTGCCCACGCTGTCTGGAGGAGCAGGGCGCCTGGGATGCGGCGGCGAAACTGGCCCGGAGGGGGGCCCAGGCCTCACGCGCCCGGCTCTCTCCCAGCTCTCCTCCTCCTCCTTCTCGGGCTCAGAAAGCCTTCCAGCCGCGGCCCCAGCCCTCCCCCCAGCCTGTGCTGGGCTCCGCTTTCCCTCCATCAACTCCAAGCCGAATTCAATCCGAGAAGGCTCCTTTGAGCTTTTGTGTTTGCTGGGGGAGATGTGGGCGCAGGAGGGATCGCGTTACAACTTTCATTTCCTGAAATGTTTGAGGGAACATCCAGGGTTTTTATCCCCACATCAGGCCGGGCGATGGGCTCGAGTTTCAGGCCTTGTCACTCAGCTGTCACCAAACAAACGAAGCTCTCAGAGCCCAGGAGAGGGAGAGCTACCTGCTATTCATGACCCCTGGAGCAGGTGATCGCTCATGGGAAAAACAGGTAGAATTAATCATAGGACTGTTCTCTGTTTCCTCTCCTTTTTGGCAGACCTGCCCACAGTGCGAAACCTATCAGCAAACAAATTAACTCTTTCTTGTCACCCAGGGGAATTAAAAATACGGTTTTAGAAAATAACTAAAACACACACGTTTCTCACCAAATGACAAAATGGGAGTTGGAAGGAACATCTTACATCCCGCCCTACCTTGCAATTTCTTAGTTTGTGGGATTCTCATCTTGGTAGGATTTAGAACTTGGGGAAACTGGTAGAGAATGAGGCATTCTCATGTTACCTGGTCCTACTACTGGATGGAGCCCCAGGTGTGGTCCCTGAACTCAGGTAGATTTCAACATCTCCTTCTTGGCTGGGTGTCAATGCAGTTGGGCTTGATCCTACTAAAACAGAAAATCTCTACTCCAACAGGAATTTCTAAGAAATTTCTGTAAATTAGTGTTTTGCTTCCCCCAGCCTCTTCCCTAAGTCAATCATGTTGAGCATCCATGTTGGCTTCTGTGTTAGAAAATCCAAATGCTTTTGAAATCTCCCCATTCATTTCAATTCTAACTTAATCCTAACAGTTTTTTTTAAAAAAATTACTTCTTGCCTTAGTTGAACTAAGAAAGTTCAGCATACTGGCGTTGTTTTTGTAGATACTGTTTAATGGCTACTTATTAAATATTACAATACAAATTTCAAAGTGTATCTTTATTTTGTTTAGTTCTACTTTTCCCTTTTTTACATCTCTTTCCCTTCCCTAGAAAATAGAAAGAAAGAAAGAAAAAGAGGAAATTCATCTGGACTTGCTTCTAAGATATATTGATACTGGAAAAGTTAGGCAAGATGGCTTGGGAATCTTCAACCAGACTGATTTTTTTTTTTTTTTTAAGTAGAAATATGGTAAGGGGCCAGTATTGTCATTCTGCCTTTCAGTTCTTCCATAAAAGTTTTGTGTGCATGTGTGTGTGTGTGTGTGAGAGAGAGAGAGAGAGAGACAGACAGACAGACAGAGAGAGGAATCAGGAGATATACTGTATGTAAAATAATCCTCCTGGTCCTCTTCATGAAGATTTTGTCTGTTTATTTTTAAAATAGCCATTGGTTCCAGATTCCCAGAGCTGATTTTCTTAGATTAGCTATTTGTACTCAGAGGTAGAGCCCTGAGCAATATTATTCTTCAATTAAAATCAAGAACTTGACTTTAGGAGGAAGCATGTTATGTTTATATAACATCTGCAATGCATAGAAAATATTCACCACACATATCTGAAGACAAAGCTTCAATTGTTTAAATGTTCTTTTCACTTCATAGATACTAAGGCATGTTGATCTTCTATCGAGCTTAATTTTTTAAAAAGCTTGTTACCTACTTTCATCTCCAAGGCATTTTAAATAAATACAGAGCTAATGCTGTCTTCCTTGTAACTACCTCCTTGATTTAAAGGTAAAATTACCTTTTGTAAAGTATTGCAGGCTGCCATCTCACCCTCATACATGTGCATTTTCTCTACAAGCACTCCACCAAGTCCCCACCACTACCAGTCCCCACCACTATCACAGGCAAAAGTGCTGCAAAAGTTAAGAGGAATATGACTGCATACAGAGTTTAATATAATAGCTGTGTGAAGGCCAACACAAAATGTCACAATTACGTGGGTTTGGTTTGGTTTGTTGGCTCTTTTGGGGGGTGGAAGGGAAGAGGTAAGGAGGTGTTCACAATCCCATTGTCTTTTCCTGGTATTTAGACTATTTGGAAAACTGGCAACTCAAATTAAAACTGAATTATTGCAAAGCAACTAAAGTTTTTCCTTGAGGGGGAAAAAAAGGAGAGTAGTTAAGTTTGTAAAAACACTTAATAACAAGAAAAGAACATCTAGAAGGTTGATTTTACAGGCATCCTGGCTGGCATCTGCAGATTTTCTATCAAGGATGTCTATGAAATGTTCTTTAACATTTCAATATTCTTTAAGAATCCTGACACTTAATGGCTTATGTCAGTAAAAATATGTAGTCTAGACTGTTTTTTCCCCCCTTTAATATCCCACATGCATATCAGCTCAGGTCTTAAACCACCACCAACCCCCCACTGCTCCCCTCCCCCCACCACCAAAGAATGTTTCTACTGTAAATAAGCCATGGCATTTTAAAACCAATAATCAATTTTAAATCACTAATTAAAATAAATTATATAGAAACTTAAAGTAAATTTGCCTTGTGTTAATCCACGAGTGTTTCTACTTGGGTCTACTTATGTCAGTCTCATAAAACACTGATCTTCTAAGTTAGCATGGAAAGGACGGGACCAGATGAAGGGAGGTGGTATACATTTCCATGCCTTATTATAGTAACTAATTTCCATGCCTTATTATAGTAAGCAAAGAGCCAGAGTCTCTCTGTCTACTTATTTATCTTTTTAATGGCAACCACTAATGGCAGTAAAGAAGGGAGAGTACCCAATATCACCTAACCATACTTTAATTACAGTTGGGTAGCCACTTCAGGTAAGCTTAAGTATGTGTTAAATCTGAAGGTAACTGTTTTCTCTTTCCAAGATAAGATTGTTTGAGTTTTGGGTTTTAGGTTTTTGCTTGTTCCTGCATTTTTCTGTTTAATCACAAAAAAAAAGAATGTTATTTCAAGAATATTTAACATATGGCAAAGGAAAACAGTGAGCACTCTCCCGAAAGGAGAGGGGAGGAGGGAAGATTCTCAGGTAGCAAAGCGGGAGGGAGCAAACCTTAAGGTGATGGGTTGGACTCTATCTGCTGAGAACTGGGGTCTCAGCTGTCCATTAACAAGTTAAAAGGCGAGAAACTTAAACTCCATTGGAGAAGAGACAGGCGTCCACGCGCCTCAAGCAGTCTCTTTCTCTTTGTTTTTAAACGCTACTGCAGTGTTGTTTCTCGCTGTCTGAAAGGACCACAGCGTCTAAAACCCTGATTGTCATCCTCAGTGGGAGAACAGGTTTCCAATTTCATCAGCTGGACCCAAGTTGTGTGTGTGAGTACTTGGTTTAAAATATTAGAGAAAATGCAGCCTTTCCAGGGCAGCGCTTTTTCTGGGTAGACCAATAGCCAACAACTCGCCTATGATTTTGGCTATTTTTGTTCCTGGCTGGCTCACACCACTCGTATCTAACTCAACCCCTTTAGATATTCTTCCAGGTGGAATTATTGGATTCGGTCAGAATGGGGGAGGGGCCACTATGCCCTTAAGAGGCTCAGAAGTGCCTACCTGGCTAAGGTCGCGGAACACGCGTGCAGGCGATGAGACTGAGCCTTCGGGTCCCTCAGTGTGAATTGTCCATGGGGGCGCGGTGGGGACACACACTAGTGCGCTGGCTTCGGGCAGCTGAAGGAGGTAGTCTCCGAGAGTTTTTAGAGTCCCCTCCAAGGGAAAGCTTGGAAAAAAGAGAAATGGAGCGGAGAGAGCACGTGGGCTACCAGCGACCACCCTCACCTTAAACCTAACCCACCTGTCCCTGTCAACGCCACCCTAACAAATCAGGGCAGAAGGTGAGCCGCGACAGCCTGACCCGAAGCGCGCTGCAGACCTAGGCTGGTGCCTTCCCCTTGGGGCCAGGGCTGTGCGTGGGGGACAAGGCCGCTGCTCTCCCTAGGGCCGCTGGCTAAGAAGGAAATACCTGACCTGGCCCCACCAAGAAAGTGGAGCTCCTCCACCCCCAGTTCTGCTGGAGACACTAGAAGCCAGGGCCCCTCTCTCTGCCGCGGGAAGTTCTAGCGACAAGCCCAGAAAGTGACGTCCTCTCTACCTGGCACCCCTCCTCAGAGCGCGCGGGTGAAGAGTTTGGGTCCGAAAACCAAAGCCAAGACCCCAGGAAGCGAAGAAGGAGACAGGAGGTGTCTGAAGCAAGAAGGGCACTGGAGAATCGGCAGCAGGGCCTAGGCCGCCTCCGAACCAGGATCCAAGGCCTGCGCCATCTGCCCTGTGCGGGAAGCGCGGGGCCTGGGAGGCAGGGAGCGCTCACACCTGCGGTCGGGCAGGAGGCGCAACGCGCTGCCAGGGCGGCTTTATCCTGCCGCCACAGGGCGGGGACCAGCCCGGCAGCCGGGTGTCCAGCGCCGCTCACGTGCCTCGCCTGGAGCTTAGCTCTCAGACTCCGAAGAGGGCGACTGAGACTTGGGCCTGGGAGTTGGCTTCGGGGTACCCAAGGCGACGACAGCTGAGTTGTACCACGAAGCTCAGGCCGAGGCCTCCTCCCTTGTCTGGCCTTCGAATCCATACTGGCAGCCTCTCCTCTCAGGCACTCCGCGGGCCGGGCCACTAGGCCCCCTGCTCCTGGAGCTGCGCTATGATCCGGGTCTTGAGATGCGCGCGATTCTCTCTGAACCGGTGGAGAGGAGGCTCTGCCCCGCGCGGAGCGAGGACAGCGGCGCCCGAGCTTCCCGCGCCTCTCCAGGGCCCAATGGCAAGAACAGCCTCCGAAGTGCGCGGATGACAGGAAAAGATCTTCAGTTCTTCTGCCGCTAGAGAAGTGCGGGATACAAGCCTCTATTGGATCCACAACCTGGAGTCCTGCCTTCGGACTTTGCCAAAGACTTGCAGGCGGTGGGGAGGCAGTAGGAAATGAAGCCCCCTCCAGCCTCAGCCGCCGCCGCGTTCGGTGCAGCAGCAGCAGTGCCACTGCCACAGAGCAGAGGAAGGCCCGCTCCGCGCGAGTTCTGTGCCAGGTGTCCCGTTGGCCCTCAGCGGACAAGGGAGAGCCGCTAATAAGGGTCGCTGCTCAGCAAACTCAGAGCTCATCCATAAGTGCCAACGCCACTGCTTCTTTCTGGAAGCTTCCACTCCGGCCCGGGGTCCGGCCCCAGCCACGCTGTCCTAGCCCAGAGAACAGGTTCAAGAACGGTGGTGCCCAGCCCCAGCGGTGCCCTTCTCCGTCCCTGTAGCTCGCTGGGCTCTTGAGCCCCTACCCACTAAGCCAAAAATTCGGGAACCGGGAGCCAAACCCCTTGGCCTCTGAGAATTTAGGAAGCTTCGTTTTCAGCCAAGAGGTCAAGGCGAGCAGAGAGTGGGGACTCGAACAATCGCGTGTTTAGGTTTAAAACGTTAAAAAATAAACATCACTCGAGTGTTTTTTTTTTTTTTCATTTCACTTGGCACAATGCTGTATGGTTTCGTCCTACAAACTATTTATAAGCCGTTGTTCATTACTTTTGGCTACCGTTATGACATCTGTAGAGGAGAAACGAAAAGTGGCTTTAGATTCAGTTAAACTGCGACGCCCAGAAGGTAAACTGGAGGTCCCTTAACAGCTGGTTCTCGAAGATTTCCTCGAGGGAAGAAAAAAATATGGTTAGTTTCCCCTAATGATCTCTCTGAAATGATTGCCAAAAAAACTCAAAGCAATATCCAGCTTTCTCGCCTCCTCCTGCTCGCCCCTTTTACCCAGACTGAGCCGAGGATGGCGGAAGGAGGCACATTGTGCAATTTCTTATTAAACACATCTGGAATATGCGCGCTCTGGATTTAGTGCCAGGGGTTTTACAAAGAGTTTATGACTGTGACAGAAAATTGTCCTTTTAACAAGTTTACAAGCAGTAATCACGGGGGCTTTTACAGGACCAGCGCTCTTGCTCCTCGCCGGATCTGCAGACATTTCCAAGATTCACCAACTAAGGGAGCAGGAAGTGGGCCGGGGCGCCCTGCGAGACACAACTTCCACGAGCCTAAAATTATCCCAGGCGGAGCTGGGAGAGTGGAGGGTAGTCACCGGAGTAGGAAGAGACGGCATGTAAGAAATTAAAGTAATTGGCCCTTCCTATTTTCCAGAGAGATTTCCGCAGCGTCCTTTGAAGCCTGTCAGGGTCATTGAAAGCTATCTTTGTGCAGGGTGTTTGTTTTGGGGAGTGAATGTGAAGAATGTGAGGAGATTCCCTGTGAGAGCCCCTCCTGCAGAGGGTGGCATTTCTCCGTGGCCCAAGACAGGGAGAATAAACACCCTAGTGACTTAAATAAACACCGACTTAATGATCCAAAACACTAACAAGGGAGATTGGGACCCTGAGCTCCCAAACCAAATGATGGTCTCTGAGTGGCTGTGTGCACATCTGTCCATCACTGAGGGGGAAAAACGACTTTATAAGTAAAAGTGTGTACAGTTAAGTACAGTGACCATTTCTCCCTGGAACTCAAAGCTATTTGACAGTTTTAAAAAATAAGGCCTTGATTTCCCCAAGCACACCTCAGTTTTCTAGACCAGAACAGAAATAGGAAAGAGTAAGAAAGAAATAATATATTAATGGTGACAATTATAGATGGGAAAAAATCAAAATTATGAAACTGTCATGTCAGAAAATAAATAGATTCTCCCTGGGGAACAATATTTTACAAAGCACAAGCAAGCCAATCCTGTTATCCTGAGTAGAATTTTAATAAATAATGCCATTTGTTTCACTAATTTTAAAAGCTAAATACAGAAGATACATCATTTTGCCCCAGGCAAAAATAATATGGAGCCTACATGATTACTGGGATTTTTCTAGACACCATCCGGCAGCACTGCAAAAGAGCTCCTGTCCTGCTGGTCTGCTTTCTATTTGTACAAATTAATTCACAATGTTTCTATCCTTGTTCTCCTTCCCTTTTTTGTCTTCAAGCAGATAAATTATTTTTACTTTCACAGTCTTGTCATAAACTTGTTAACACAAAAGAGCTTAGTTAACATATGAATGCTGTGAAGAGATAGTGGTAAACAAAATTGCATATCTAAATAATAGAAGTTAATAAATACCCCAAGGCTAAATTCACTCTTTCTGTCATATAATTAATCTAGTTACTACTCTTGGTTCAGATGATGGCCTTCAAAGTACCCTGCAATTCACAGCCACCATTAAGTAAGAAAGAAAAATATATTTAAAAAAAAAAATAGGGCCCAATGACAGCAATACACCACTCACCTTTCAGAAACAGAATCATACTCCTGGTGTTCTACTAAGTTTTAATTTAGACTGCTTTAGGTACAATAGAAAAGAAACCTGAAAACACATGCTGTTTTAGTAACAAATACCAGGTTGCCAGATTCGTTGGCATACCTTTGCAAACTAGAAACTAGAAACAGGAGAAACCCTTTACAGGAGTAGGCTACAGATATGAAAGCTTTGAGGGCATGAGTAATGGCATTCAGGAAAGTGTTTTTTCACATTGGTACATTTTTAGAGTTTGTCATTTAAAAAAAAAAAACCCAAGAAAACAAACAACAACCAAAAAATCCCACTAAATTTGACAAAAATAGTTGCATTACTAATGGTCACGTCTATTTCTGTCTCACATAGAGAGCATTAAGACATTTAGGCACTTGTTTTTTCCTCCTAATACTGGTCTTTTATTTTAATCTACATTAAATTGTTTAACACTAAATATGAAAAATGTAAACTTAATTTTTCCTCATCAAAGAAAGTTATAGATTGTATTTTTCCTGTTCACCTTAAGAATGTAATCAGTTCTTCTGAGCCTGGAGGCTCTTATTTTCACTATTTTTATCTCCCTTTCTCTTTCTCTTTCCATTTCCTTTCCCTCTTCACATTTCTCCATATATAAATTAAAAGGAAATAATGAAAATCCAGTTGATTTGCAATTCCCATTCATTGAAAAAAAAGAAAGGCTGCTGAAACAGGCGTATCAGTTGCCCAGAACTCAGACTGGGTGCCTGGGTGCTTTTGTTTGTTTGGGTTTTTTTTTTTTTTTTTCCCTGATCTCTGCATTGGGAAGGAAAATGCAAAAGTGGAAAGAGTTGGAGAGAAGAGGAGATTAAGCTTGAGATCGCTGTTGGTTTTGATTTTTAAAAAGATATTTGTGAAAGTCCACCATTCCTTTATGCGCAAACAACTCCAGAAACAAGCTGCAAAAATGTTCCTGATTTCTATTTACAAGTGTCCCTAGTCGCTGCAGTGGTTGCTGCTCCAGGAATCCCTTCGAGGCCCCAGTCCCTCCCCACTTAGGACCCCAAGTCCACCAGACTGGAGGTGAGGGGGCCGAGCAGAGAGTCTTGGAGCTGATGCTGGTGGGTCTGCAGGCCGTGACTGGGCTGCGAGGCTGTTAAGCCCGGGAGAGAATAGTTTGAGCTCCTGGCGTGGCCCATATTGCCCTGCAGCAGAAGGACCGAGTTCTGGTCTGGACTTTGGGGAGGTGAGAATTCCTCTTCTGAGCTGGACATGAGCGGCTTGCCCCCTTCCAGAGGAGAGAGTTGGTTCTGCTTGTTGGAGGAGGAGTTATTGTTTTCGGTGTTCTCCCTAAGAAATAGAGGACAACACCATATGGTTAAAAAAAAAAAAAAAAAAAAAAAGTAGGTTAAAAAAAAAGTGTGAGATGGAGGGAGGGGAGCTGGAAGGAGGAAAGGGCCATTGTGCAATCTGTCACCAACCCAAATGGAGGAGCTCTACCCTTCCACCCATCCCCAAGGGTAATGGGGGAGGTGAGGAGTCAGAGGAACCTGGAGAAATGGAGAGCTACGGACAGAGCCTCCTGTTAGGAGCCAGGTCCTTTTCTCTTCCAGATTTCAGAAAGTGATAGATTAGCAGGATTTATTTGAAACATACAAAATATATGTTTTAAATTTTGTTCAAGCAGTTACATTTAAATACATATAAACTAGCAACATATTTAAATGTAACTGAAAATCTTTCAATAAATAGATATTGGTGATAAAGAAATGATAGAGGACAGAGTCCAATGCACAAATGTTTGGGGTGAATCAAGTCCATTGCCTTGTTCGCATATGAGGAGACAATTAAACATCCCGTTTTCCTGCCCCAGCCCAGAGTTGGTGGTTTTGCAGACACAGAACAGGTCATGGGAAGTGGTGCCCAGCGCGGCCCAGTGACCTGAGTAAACACAGGGAGCGCAGCCAGTCTCTGATTTCATCTGGAGTCGGCCCTCGGGCCTGGCTTATAGGACGGCCGTTTTGTAACTAAAGGCTAACTGCAACCATACAATCCCTGTTCCTGTGTTACTTGCTAACTCTTCAGCCCCTCGTGTCCCCCTCTCAAACTTCCTACCAACACCCACCCCAACCCATCCTTTCTGGGCAGGGGAAACTTCGCCGCCCCGCACAGGCTGCCAGCGGGCGCGGCGCGCTGGGGCGTCAGTCCGGGCACTCGGTACCGGTTAACTTCAGGATTTCGCTTCCCTCGCCGCTTCCGCCTTCCGAGTGCTCGTCAGTCCTCCCGACTCCTAGCGCCTGTCTGTCTCCTTTCTTTCCCCTTATCCTCACAGTCTCTGTCTCCCGACAAGCCCATTTCAGCAGAATTTATCCTGGCTCTGGTTTTCCACCAAGACAAGAAAGGGAGCAAGATCTTCGGCCCCTAGTCTTGGAAGCGAACAAAGGAAAACCTAACCGGCCCCTGCGCTCAGGTTTTCCCCCAAACTCTTTGGCTTCGCGGAGCGCTCTCCCCGCCACAGCCACCTCCCCACCGTCCTTCTGAATCTCTGTCCGAAACGCTATAGAGAACAGAAGGAGCCTGCCCAGGTGGCCGAAGGTGTTGCCCCGAGGTGGGGGAAAGTAGAGACCAATTTTTAAAATATTGCCTTGTGAGCTCCAGTGCGAGAGAGGGCTGCGACTGGAGACCCTTTCCTCGTCTGGGCATGCGGCGCGGTCAGCCAGACCGACGGGCTGCAGTGCCGGGCCACGCGCGAGCGAGCACGGCGAGGATCAACCCTTTCTTAATTTGGGGCGCCGGGGAGTAAATGCAGCGCCAACTCTCCCCAAAGCTCTCTTTTTGTTGTATCTTTAAAAGTCTCCTCCATTTGTCCAGCTAGTGAGAAATGAAGCAGGCTACCTCTAAACCAAAAGACTATCAAGAGAGAGCTGTGGAGAACCAGGCGGGAGTGGGGGCAGAGCCAATGTCTCAGGCCAGCTTCACCCCTCTGGGGAGCAAGAGGAGAGAGGTTCGCGAACCTCAGCTCCCACCAAACCCCTTTCCTTGCGACACCAATCAACATTTCACTGCCCGTTGATTTAGAAACTCACTCTCCACCCACCACTCATAGCCGCGGCCAGCCAGGGAGGCATAAAGACCAAATCTAGCGCCAATATTTCCCGACACTCACATCCCAGAGAAACCCACGCGCGGGTGCTCAAAGCAAATGAGGCCCCATCCTTAGCAAGGAACCTCAGAGTTCATGAACTTTCGCTGCAGCGCCGCGGAGGGCCTGCGCGCCGCCCCGTGGACGGGCTCCGGCCGGCGGGGAGGACTTGGTGGCTGGTGCCTGCGGGGGCGGGAGGGGGCGGAGGAGAAAGGACGGCTTCCTAGGGTCGCCCGAGTCGCGGGAAGCACGCCGCGTACCTTTCCTTGGCCTCCGCGGCCCGGTCTCTTTGCCTCCGGTTCTTAAACCAGTTGCTGACCTGGGTGGTGGTGAGGCCGGTGGCCTCGGCCAGCTCCCGCTTCTCACGCGGCGATGGGTAGGGATTGTGCGCGTACCACTCCCGCAGGACACCCCTCGACTTCTCCTTGAAGCAGTAGCTGGTCTCCTCGCCGTCCCAGATGGTGCGCGGCAGTGGAAATTTTCGGCGCACCCGATATTTGCCCACGGCGCCCAGGGGTCGGCCGCGCAGCTTCTCGGCCTCCACGTAATGCGCCTTCAGCCACAGTTGCTGCAGTTTGGGGTGGTTGTGAGGCGAGAACTGGTGGCTCTCCAGGATCTTGTAGAGCTCACGGAAGTTGCCGCGGTGGAAGGCGACCACCGCCTTGGCCTTGAGTACGCTCTCGTTCTTGTGCAGGTGGTCGCAGGCGGGCAGTGACCACAGGAACCTGCCCAGGCGCTCCAGGTTTCCGCCTTGCTGCAGAACCTCGCACACGCACGCCACTTGCTCCTGCGTAAAGCCAAACGACGGCAGCATCGACATGGCTGGGGCCTGCCGGGGCGCACGGCCCAGGCGCACGCGGCAGGGAGCAGAGCCGAGAGGCAGGGGGCGGCGGCCGCAGGGAGGGGGGCGCGGCTGTTCCTAACCTCCTCCTTAGGCTTTGCAAAGGCGAAAACCGGAGTCGGAACTTGGCGGTGGGCGGCCAAGGAAGAGAAGGCGGAGGAGTAGGGGAGGTTCTGGACACGGAACGGCCGGCGCACTCAGTAGCCTTTAAGGCCTTGCTGCCTCCGACCTCCCGCCCGGTGGATGCTGCTAGTTGCCGGGGAACTTGGTTTCTGTTCTCCCCGCAGCGGCCTTAAAGCGCGCAGCGTCCCCGGCACGCTGATTGGCTGCCGGCGGCGCCTATCCGGGGCTGGCCAGCCAGCGCGCCGCCCGGCTGGGCAGAGAGGCCGCACCGCCCAGAGCGGGGAGGGCGAGGCTGCGGAGCTGGGGGTTGGGGGTGTTGCCGGGGCTGCGCGGGTAGGGAGTGGTGGGAGGAGAAGGAAGAGGAAAGGTGGGAAGCCAGTTGGGGTCTGAGGGAGCTGCGCTGCGGAGGTGTGGGGAGGTAGGGAGTGGGTGAGCGCGTCAGGACCCTGCAACGCGGGACCCGTCGCCAGTATCACCTAAGGGGAGTCGCGCACAACTCCGCACAAATCAATGACTCCAAACCTTAATTCCTCCCCTCTCCCTCCGTACTCTTGTCCTCATCCCTTGCAGACTTGCCCTCTCCCGGTGAGCTCATATTTAATTACTTTAATGTTGGAATGAATAAATAATGGATTGATGAATAGCTTATGGAACGCGATAAATAATTCAAGAGCAGACCAGGGTCCGCGCATGCAGCCTCTGGAAGAGTGGCTTCGGGTTGGCTTCAGCTCGAGGAGTCCAACCCTATTTCCTCCTCCCTCCCCCCACCAACTACCACTGTCCTCCCCCCACTGCTGCACACCACCCTCCAAAGGGCACAAGTACTCCCAGTCGGACAGCGTTTCCCTCGTTCACAAAAGACCTCCATGATTTGAGACCAGGCAGAGAGCTGTTTAGAGCATACTTGCTGAGCACCTAGAGACTCCGAGCGTTCATTTGTGATTTGGTATCTTAATGTTCTGCGATTGAAACCAGCAGGTTCCTGAAGCTTCTGGACTCAATTTCCCCATCTGTGCGGTTGTGTTTTGCAGTGCCACCTCTGCTACTGAGGAATGCCGAGAGGCTTTACTTGCTATTAGCAAAAATGCTTTGGGAACCTCGTACGAAAGGCGCTGGATGTGGTGTAAATTAAATAAAACTGTGCCCGGCTCCAATAACCGTCCGGTTGTAATATAATCCTTACCCTGCTCTGAGAGGGACACTGCCCTCAAAGCGAGAACGACAGCGGCTCCAAGAAGATTAAATAAAGAGGTGTGTGTGTGTGTGTGTGTGTGTGTATGTGTGTGTGTGTGTGTGTTGCAATGCTGGCCTATTTTGCTGCCAGGGAATGAGAGATGCACTGCAATTTAAGTCCCATCATCTGCTGTTTTGTTTATGTGTGGAGAATGCTTAGTAAAACTGCACAAACAAGTGAAGTTGTAATTATCTTAAGCCTCATTTGCACACCTAGTTCCAAAGCAATAATTAAAAGGATTTTGAAAACAATTAGCCTCTCTAAACAAAGATAATCTATTGTCAGTAGCTGAGACTAGCAGGAGATAAGAACAATGCGTGGAGATAAGGGAAGCCAAATGGTGGAAGGAGAGTGACTTTATGACTATACTTATCTCTGATTAGATAAGTTCAAAACAGAATTCTAAGTACACTTCAAAAATGCTTTTGATTTCAATGTGCCCTCTTAGTGAGTGGTGAAGAACAAACTGTAGGCTCCTTAAACTGGCTTGTCTTCTTCAAATATGTTTTGATTCCTTTAGCCAAAGAGCCCAGCACTACAGAACCTTTTGCATATTGAGATGCAAGTGGGAGAAGGAGAAGCATGTCTTGGTTTCCTCTTTTATTATTAATATGGTTTTAAAATGATGCACCCAGTACAGTGCACCCTGCAACATACATTCTAAACTCATAAAGGGTTCCCACCTCAGGGCTGCCACATGGGAGATTCCAAGTAGACAGGAAGCTGCTTCTCTGCTGAACATAATGTTTTCTGCATCCTTGAAACTCTTGCTTATTCCATGCAATTAGATCTTGGAAGCAGATGCTGATATTTCATTACCTTAGGCTTTTTTTTTAAAAAAATGCATTTAATAGGTGTGCATGCTTTCAAAAGAGCCTCTGCCATATAGTATGCCCAATGACTTTCTAAACTGGAAGCCTGGCACTGCTAAACCCAGAGCCATGTCTGGTAATTTCCCCTCACTGTCTTATTTTAGTGCTTATGATGTTTCACATGAAGTCTTAAGGAGCTGCAGTGCCCTCCCAGAAGGAATGCCTCTGCTTGAAACAGTCCTTATTGACATGGCAGCTGTGTGAGGACCGGAACGGAGGCTTAAACCCGGCTCTAAAAATCAGTTAATACCCTAAAGTCTGGAGCAAGTGCGCACAATTACAATGGGGGGAGGGTCTTTAAGCACAACCACGTCTCTTAAAAGACAAACAGTATGTTGAGTATGGGGTGTGCTTTGTAATTAACAATTTTGTATAAGGAAATGAGGCATAGCCTGCACAAATAAGGGCAGGTATAAATTTACAGAGGATGACAGCAGAGATGGCAATTAGACACAAATAGGACCACCTTTTTTTCCCGGCTTCCTCCAGACCTACCTGCCCATTTCTTTTTATCTGTCTTCAAAAGGAACCAGGACGTACTACATTGCCGTCATCTGGGAAGACGACGTGTAGAAGGTGTGATTGCGGGAACCCGGGCAGAAAAGAGGTGCTCTTCCTCGGAGGCCGTGACTGGGCCGGCCAACATTTTTCCTCCCGCTTAATCCAATAGATCGCGTAACTGGAAAGGGAAAGTGCTATGCGCTTTATACCAAGGAGTCTACCTGCTATTTCGATCCCTCGGTTAGGGGAACCAATTGTTATAAATGTTAATTATTGGCTCGGATATATAAGGTTTCCCAAAATGGAACCTTTCACTGAAAACCGCTGAAAGAGGTAAAATGACATGAATTTACAAACCACCTAAACTAAATGATCCATTTTAAATCGCACACAGAAAGGTTTGAGTTGTTCTCGTAACATAAAACCTTTGCTGTCAATGCAAATCGCACGAAAAGCAGAGATGCGTTGGAGATTTAAAGGAAATGAGCAACTCTAGCCAGCCGGCTGCTGCCCTCGCTGCAGCGCGGCTCGGGAGGGAACACCGCTGGCAAGGAGCGCCCGATGCCAGGTTTCGGCTCTCCAGTGCCTCCTCTGTGCAGGTAACGGCCGCGTGCGCTTTAGTCGATGAAAAAGCATTCAGTGGGACAGCATTAGCTGTTGCTAGGGTTTCTCGGCTGGGTTGACAGGCCTTGATGCAAACACCCCTAGCTGGGACCCACTTGTTTCCCTTCTGGCTTGTAGCAAGATAGTTAGGGGCTCCCGGGCCGCTTTCTTGGAATTCTTTCACCATCCAGAACGACGGTGAGGATTCTACTCTACCTACAAATATTTGGAAAGGGAGGGCATAGAGAGGTGTTTCTTCAATAAATTCGTGTCATCGCTCTGGGGCAGTGCGGAGACTCCCCAAATCCGGCTGAAGTGCCAAAATTCTTTTTCCTCTGCTTAGTCGGAAACTCCGGGTGCCCTCGACCCTTGGGAACTCCGGCTCCGATGGCCGGCGTGGCGCCGGAGCAGCAGCCCACCTGCTCCTGGGGGACGCCGCTCCCCGCGAGGTCTGAATAGGCCTGGGGCTCAGGCAGAGAGATTTGCGGACTCAGAGAAGAGAAACCCAAAACCAGTCCATTAGTAAATGAGTTTTGTGTTGTCAAGGTTCTTTCCCATCCACTTGCTGTTCTGAAAAATAGATCACGTTTCGTTATCTTTAGTGGGAATCTGCAACGTGACACCGGATCCGCGCGGCCCCCGCCTCCCTCCCTGCCTCGCTCTGCCTGGCTGAGGGGAGCAGGCGGGCCTCCTCAGCTTATTTCTGAACAATGAAGATTTGTCTCTTCCCCAAGTGTATTTATGTATGTATGGAGGGAGGAAGTTTTCTCCTGGAAGCGGGAAGCTCGAGAGCAGAGCCTCCTACTTCTTTGGTGCGAAAACGCTGCGCTGGCCCAAGATTCAGGGCGACTGACGCCCCCCACCACCTCCACCGCCCACACCTGGACAAACAGAGCCAGCTGTGAGCCTGGCTCGCCGCTGAAAACCCTGCCGCCCCGCGCGGCTCCCGAAAATACCATCTCCGTATTGTCTCGAGGTCAGGGAAGGGAGAAAGAGAGAAACACACACAGACTGATGGACCGACTGAGGGTCAAGCACTGGGAGGGAGCTCAGACTGGAGGGGAACAGAGCTGGGGTGTGTGTCTTTGGAAGAGTTATTCTCTCTCTCCCTCTACGTGTGTCCCCGTGGCAGGTCTTTCCCAGAGTGTGTCTCTAACTCTTTTCTCCATCTGAAAGAGGACGCTCGTTCATTCTGTCTGTATGTGAACCTGTTTCTCATTCTCTCTCCTTATCTCTCTCTCTTCTTTCTCATTGTTTTTCCTCTTCCTCTTCTCATCCTCCTCTTTCTTCCTCCTTCCCTCCCTCTCCCTTCCCCTCGGCTCTGGGCGCTCGTTTTTTTCTCTCCGGGACTGGGCGCTGTGAGGTTTCACAGAGTGTGCTTATGTCACCCACTGAGGCAGCGCAGGTAAGTTCTCTTGAAAGTAGACCCTCAAGTCTGGGCGGTGTAGTAGGCCTTACTTGGCGAGAACCTTTCACAGGGAGTGGAGGGCGGGCAATAGATGGTGTAGCCTGCACGGAGGGCGGGCAAAGGTGTATTGGCCACCTAGGGGAGAAAAGGGTTAACAAATTGCCCTCTGAGAAAGCTCTGACCAATCGCCAGGTTTGAGCTAGAAGACCCTACTCAACATCAGATGCCAACTACCTCTCTGGAAAGTGGAGCCAAGGTGTCACAAGAAACAATTCTTAAGAATTAAAGGGACTCTGCGCCCCACCCCCCATTCCCTGTTTTTTAAAATGTCTCCTTAGGGCAGGTTTATGAAATGAAACTCTCCAAAACCGCTATCTTCCATTGAATTTCCAATCAACTTTTTTTTCTCAACTTATGTACATCCTGAATACCACATCTGTCTAAGCTAAAAAGAATTTCCTTTTGGGAGGTGAAAGCCTGCAGCTCCTCCTGTTCAGAGGAAAGTGCTAGTGACGGTAATGCAGGGTGACACTAAATAAACAGTTAGGGTGGACTGGAAAGATGGAGTTAATTATCCAGTGAGCTGCATTTCAGCCCAGACCATCAGGGGCTGATTTGTTTTGGCTCATATTTGGAGGAAGGAGACAAACCACTCTTCTCCACATCTCCTTGGGATCCTGATCATTCATGTCTTCAAC
The DNA here is from genome assembly GCF_000001405.40 of Homo sapiens. Lineage (NCBI taxonomy): Eukaryota > Metazoa > Chordata > Mammalia > Primates > Hominidae > Homo > Homo sapiens. The sequence continues at coordinate 60,654,650 of NC_000014.9, forward strand.
AAAACAAAAAACAAAAACCACTACCCAGGTATCACTGCTTCACTTAAATTTTGGTTTATTACTCCTCTGCAGGCTCTGAAAAAATGTCCACTCCATTGCCCCATATCCCTGGAGGGAAGAACCAAAGCGACTCAAAAATGTACTCCCACGAGAAGAAAAATCAAGCTATTTGGAGTCCAAATGGTAAGGAGGCCCAGTGACAAGGAAAGCAGACATTTAGCACCCCTCCCCATCTCTTCACTTGAATTCTTACAATAAGCTTATAAAACTATGTGTTTATAAAAACTAAGATATTGGCTTGGTTTCATGATGGTTTTACTCCACTCTCCAAAAAAATCAGGCTTCGTGAAATTTGAAATGCAATTAGATTTATCGTTAGCGTGATTCACTGACTATCTGGTTTCCTCAGGTAAACCTGCACTTACATATAAATCCTAGTAATTTGAAACTTCTCCCTACCCACTTTGCCCACCCACTCCCCCCCCACCCCCGCATTCTGATATTAATAATCCCCGGCTGCCCCTCTTTCCGGGTCATTACGGTACTGCTGGTCTCTAATCAATCCTAATGCGATGGCAATTGGAGTCCCTGATGACTGCGGCTCGGGTTTCTTGTAATGGCTCTACCACATTTTCCTGGACCTCCTTCTTTAACCTGAGATGCCAGGGGGACAAGTCTCTTCTCGGCTGCTGATTACTTCAAGATGTGGGGGCTGGTTTGAACTGAAGGATAAAGACACGCGCACAGCGTGGCTGCCACAGCAGGCTGGGCGGCTGGGGAGAGCAGACGTCTGCACGCGGGGCGCCGCAACCCGAAAACCTTTCGCTACTCTCTTTTCTTTCCCCCATTTTCCAGGCCCAAACTCACCCTGGTGGACCGAGATGAAGATTCTCAGAGCAGATTTTTTTTTTTTTTCCTGGTGCGGAAAGGCCTGGTGGTCTCTGGGACTCTCCAGTTATCGAGCGTTCCCACCCTACAGCGTCCGCCCAGGCGCAGGCCTGCCCCTAGTTCAGGAGTGAACCCCTTCTCCCATTGCAAAGAGCCAGCTTCTTTTTCCTTCGGGTTGTTTTCTCCCAATGCCTTCCTCCTCCCCAATTGCCCAATTGTAGAGTGGGTGTCCTGAAGAGAAACTGGAATCTCTGTCCCGCCCCCCCGCCCCCATCTCATTCACTAACCCTTGACCTTTCTCCTGTTCCTCATCCCAGCAGTGCCTGAAGTTCCCAACCTGTTCCTGACCCAAACCCCAGACCCTGAGACCAGAAGCTTGGCCTGGTCATGTTGGGATATGACCTCTTCTCCCTCGACCTTTGGGGATTCGTCGCTGGGAATCCTTAGCCTTTAGAGATAAAGGGCCAACACTCCTTTCTCGCTGGTGCCACCCGGAGACGACCACAAGTGGGAACTTGCGCCTGCCTCCCTTCTCCCCGGCCGAAAGCTCTAGTTCGCCTCCCCTACCCCCGGTCCAGGCTCGGCAGCGAGGCAATCAGCACGTTCGCGGCATTTGTATTCTTCCATTTCTCAGCCTAAGCCATTTAGTGTAACCCGAGCTCAGGATAATTGCCACGTCTCTGCCGTGATACTTTTTAAAACAAGATAATGCTTCTGAATTGCGGAAGAAAGTGCTGCGGACAAATTGGGCGCTGAGCTGCTGAGATGGATCGCTTTGTTAGTGGAGGCCAGTGGTTTGTGACTCAATTAGTGCATTTCTGGGAGCCGCCTGTGTTGTACAGTAGGGTCAGCTGGAAGCAAACTACCCCTGTGGCTCCCACAAGCGGGTAGGAATTCGGGGGATGGGAGCACTTCAGGCCTGTACCTCAGTCGGTGCATACCCAAGCCGTGGGATCTGTTTTTGCATTCTCACACGAGCATATTGCTCGGGTTCTAAAGGATCCAGATTTTCGCAGACAGAAGCTCGACCGCCTCTGTTCCCAAAAGGGCCGAGCGGCGTTTGTCTGAATCACCAGTCCTCTGAGCAGTGGGAAAAGAGATACTGGGTAGAGGGTGCTGGGAAGGTGCCCACTCATCCATGCCCCTCTGCGCGTCTCGCCCACTCGCTTAGGCTTGGACTTTGCAACAAGGTTTCCAACACCGCTGCAGTGCTTGACAAAGCCCTCCTGGAAGCCAGCAGGGTGAGGCTGCCAGCAAGCAGGCGGGCTGCGAGGGACGCTTTTAGGACTAGGAAGAAGGCCGTAAGATCTTTCCTTACCTCTACTCAAGTTCACCCGCCACCCTCACCCATCAACCCTCGTGCAGGCCCGGGTCCACGTTTCGCGGACTGATCCTGAGCCTCAGTATAACTCGCTGTGCCAGGTGCGCGCGCGCAGCCAAGTATCCGCGCGCGGACGCCGGGGAGGCTTCACCGCCCGGTGTGCTGGCGGCCCCGCCCGCTGGCTCGCAGAGCGGGGTCTCGCAGAGCTGGGCCTCACCCGTCGCCCCGCCGCCTGCACCAGAAACTCCCTCCCCGGGCTGTGCGGGAGCTCTTGGGCGCCGCGTCTGCGCCGGGGCCGACTCCGCCCAGGCTTGTAGCCAGAGGTCGCGCTATCTCGCCGGGCTGGCCCGGCGCTCTCTGGGGTTGTTCCCTCGGGCGGTGCATGGGGCCCACAGGCGTCGGGGCTTGAGGGAAGAGGGGCCGGGGCCTGAAGGGCGGGGACCACAACGAGGCGCGGGGAGGTCAGTGGAGCGGAGAGCCGGCGCAGGCCGGCGGCGGCGCGGCCGGAGGAGAAAGAGGGCGCTGTCTTCCTGGCAAAGGAGTTTTCGCCTGGCCGGCAGGAACCGAAACAACAACAACAACAAAAAAAAAAGAAAGAAAGAAAATCTGCTCCGCCGAGTCCCCGGAGTGAAGAGCGCGCGGCGGGAAGGGTCTGGGGTAGCGGAGCGGATTCTCGGCCCAAAGCCTGGGGACCGCTCAGCCCACCTTGGCTTCGCCAGCGCCACGTAGCCCCGGACGGCACTCGCGAGGAGGGAGTTTTCTTTGGCTTCTTTAGCTGTTTCCATAATCGCCTTCTTTTAGGGCCATCCCTCCCTCACTTTTTCCCTCCAAAAACTGGAGGCGTTGGGATAAGGACGGCGACGCTTCGCTGGCGAATGAGGTGCCTCAATTTGCCCGAGGCGAGCGGGGAAATCGGGATCTCCTTTCATGAAGCCGAGTTGGCTTCTCGGTTTCGTGGAATCTGCGGCCGGAAGCCGCGACCCCAGCCAGTCATTCGCGTTGAAGCGCCGCAGCAAGTGGCAATGCTTTTGGCCGCGCATTGCCCAGGAACAGCAAAGAGATGGAAGACCCTCTCATTTACCATCACCAACTGGTCGGGGAGCACACGCAGAGACCAATAAGGTCCCAAAGACAACTACTATCAACCATTCTCCACCCAAATCCACACATCAAAAAGACTGAACTTGTATTAATGCGGGTGAAACAGCCATCCCTCCATTCCAAAAGTACATACTTCTCTGTCATCTACCCAGGATAATTTGTTCTTGCCTTTCCATGAGCGTAGTAAACCAGGCAAAGCAAAACAAAAGGATCCCAGACTCACTTATCTTCTGCCTTGAAAGGTCGCTCTGGATTCATGGACATATTTAAAGGCCCTCCTGATTTGTACATAGATACTAGAGCCGATCATCTCCATCCACCTCTGCCGCCAGAGCGCCTCAAACTCCAGTCTCTATTTGAATTTCCTGTGAAGTCTTGACTCTTCTGTAGCCCCTCCAGTAGAATCCAGGTGGCCTTGTAGTTCCGCCTTTGGCAGGAGACTTATTTCCTAGGAGTAACTGGGTGGGCTGCAGTCCGCCTGCCTCTTCACATTGAGAAGCGCTTCTCTTGTGGGAACGTCTGTTTCTATTCAGCGGATTTTCTAATTTCTTTGATCAGCCTAAATATTTTCTTGGCAAACGGAAATTGACCATGCCATGAATATGATAACAACCTGCTTGGAAAAAAAGCTATTTTGTTTCCAAGCAGCAGAAAAAAAGGGGTGGGGGGACGGTGAAGGAGGCTGGCTGTTAGGAATGCCTGTAACAGATTCCAGCACATACATCTTTTTGCAGTCTCTGAAGCAGCTTTGTGAAAACTGCCTTTTCTCTCTCGTGAAGCTTCTTTCCTTCCTCTCCTCCTCTCAGTTAAACACACACCTGGTCTCCTAAAAGCCTTTGATACTCTTTATTAAAAAATAGAACTTCAATGGATGCCTCAGGAGACTTTCCCTTTAAAACATAGATGAAAGGCAAGGTTAATACAATGTTCTCTTAATCCCTTTGCCTTCTGAGTCAAAATAAATATTTTCTTCTGCATGTGATTGTACATCCTGCCATTTGGCTATGGCTATAAGCAAATTGACGGTAATAAAAATGTTTTGAGGCTGTGTATTAAATGCCGTTCTCTTGAAACCAAGGGAGGGGAGGGAGGAGCCTTACTTCACAGGCAAGAATTGGTGGATTTCTGAAAAAGCTGCAAGAAAAGGACCTTTCACCTCTCATTAGTGATGCCATCAGTGCTCAGGCAGAGTGGAGCTGAGGTCATGTTACATATGGCACACAGTCTGCTCAGCACTTGAAACGTCAGCTTTGAAATTTTAGAGAGGGGAAAGGTCATCTTTAATAAGCTAAAGTCTGGGGCTCCCATTGCCCTCACTGCTAGCTGGGTGGGTGTCCATATGCTTCAAACCCTATGCAAAAGTTTTTTTCTTTTTCTTTTTAATTTGCAGTTTAAGGCTGATTTTTGTTTCTTCATTGAAATCTTAATGTTTTCAGCTGTTAATACTCCAAAAGGCCTTTCATTTTTATAGCAACTTCGTCATCTTTCCTTTTCTTTTCATGCAGTCATAAAACTGTCTGTTCTGAGTGATAGCTTTTTAGAGCTCAACTTCCCAGGAGAAATGAAGTGTATCTGTCCATCTGCATACATGAATCCAGACATGTGGGCTATAGGGTTACCCTTCTGTATGGGTAATTTAGACTTCACTCTTGTGTACTCATTATTTACTGAACCTTCAAAACACTGAAACTTCCATATTATATGAAAACACTAGTTTCTGAAAACTTCCTGGGTACTACTAAAATTTTTTATGCCAGTTACTGAAATTTCACATTTTATTTTTACCATGTGGGAGAAACTCTCAAATCAGAATATACTGCTTTTTCTAGAAGGCTTGAAATTAAGACTACCCAACAGATGCTATAATGGTAGATACAGTACTGAAAAAAAAGGTGCTAACATCTCACTTCCTTGTTCAGAAAATATTAGAAACATTTGTGATTGTTTCATCCTCAAATTTGTTCAAGAAGTGAAGTCAACCAAACCAAGGCAACTGGCCGGACACAGTAGCTCACACCTGTAATCACAGCACTTTGGGAGGCCAAGGTGGGCGGATCACCTGAGGTCAGGAGTTCGAGACCAGCCTGGCCAATATAGTGAAACCCCATTTCTACTAAAAATACAGAAATTGGCTGGGCATGGTGGCGCATGCTTGTAATCCCAGATACTCAGGAGGCTGAGGCAGGAGAATCACTTGAACCTGGGCAGCAGAGGTTGCAGTGAGCCGAGATCGCACCACTGCACTCCAGCCTGGATGACAGAGCAAGACTACATCTCAAAACAAAACAAAACAAAAAAACCAAAGCAACTGAACTATCCCCAGATCTCTTTGCAGCCACTGTAAAGATGGATAAAAATACCTTTAGGTAGGCCAGGCGCAGTGGCTCAAGCCTGTAATCCCAACACTTTGGGAGGCTGAGGTGGGGCGCATCACAAGGTCAGGCGTTCGAGACCAGCCTGGCCAACATGGTGAAACCCCGTCTCTACCGAAAATACAAAAATTAGCCGGGCGTGGTGGCGCTCACCTGTAATCCCAGCTACTCAAGAGGCTGAGGCAGGAGAATTGCTTGAACCCAGGAGGCAGAGGTTGCAGTGAGTTGAGATCGTGCCACTGCACTCCAGCTTGGGCGACAAGAGTGAGACTACGTCTCAACAAAAATAATAATAATACTTTTATGTCACCCTGTAAGGAACTTCTCAATAGTGATTTGTTACTGAGTTCCAGAACATTTTTTTTTTCATATGGACCCACAGTCCAAGAGGAGTAGCCTTAACACACCATTACATGTATTCCTCACTTATTTTTCTTTGTATCTGTCAACGCATTTTTTTTTCCTTTTTTATAGATAGGATCTTGCTACATTTTCCAGGCTGGACTCAAACTCCTGGGCTCAAGCAATCCTCCCACAATAGCCTCCTGAGTAGCTGGGACTACAGGCATGTGCCACCATGCCTGGCTACTTGTCAACCTTTTTTTTTTTTTTTTTTTTTTTTGAGACGGAGTCTCCCTGTGTCGCCCAGGCTGGAGCGCAGTGGTACAATCTCTGCTCACCGCAACCTCTGCCTCTGGGGTTCAAGCGATTCTCTTGCCTCAGTCTTCTGAGTAGCTGGGATTACAGGCGCCCGCCACCATGACCGGCTAATTTTTGTATTTTTAGTAGAAACAAGGTTTCACCAGGTTGGCCAGGCTGGTCTCAAACTCCTGACCTCAAGTGATCCCCCACCCGAGTCTCAGCCTTCCAAAGTGCTGGGATTACAGTTGTGAGTCACCGCACCCAGACCTTGTCAACCCATTTTATCTGTTTATATATACCAGATTCTGATTCTTTTTCCAGTTTTTTCTTTTTTCATAAAGGTTACATATCTTGTGCTTATAAAATTAACTTTAAAAATAACACAACAATGTATGCTAATCGGTTTCAAACAAGTAGACTCAATGATACTTTGAAATCCTTTTTCCTACTCTGCAAATCGAAAATATTGGAACAATCTTTAAACATTCTCTTGAGCCAACTAGGGGTTCCTCATTACTAAAGAATTTAATGATGGCGATATGCAGATAGGTGTTGGTTTTGCTTTGTGTCTAATCAGATTCTCAAAAATCCTTAATTTTGAATGAGCAAAATTTTAAAATAACAGTTTTGCATAATTGCAACTGAAACTATAAATGGGAAGGATGATTTTTACAACCAAATGACATCAAGTAAATAATTTATTTCTAATCACTTTGCTACATTAGGGTTTACTGCTAATGAGCTAGTGGACTTTGTGATACTTTAGCTAACCCAAGGCACTTGAGGCTTTGATGACCCAAATGGTTTAGTAAGTTCAATCAATCTAGTCAATAGAAAGTGAAGATAAAGATGCACGCTGTGGTCTTAGGGAGTGCAAGTGCATGCATATGTGTGTGTGCATGTGTGTTTGGGAGGGAGATTATGTTGCTTTTTCAATTTTAAAGTTCCCCAAATACTCCAGGAAAATTTATGAGCAGATTGCATCACTCTAGTAAGCCTGAAAAAACAAGAAGTGAAATACTTCAAGAGGCAGATTCATTAATGATAGGTTAATAACTCATTAACAGCCTATACAAGGAATAGTAATAATTTTTTTTCTTTTTTCTTTCTTTTTTTTTTTTTTTTTTTTTGAGGAGTCTCACTCTGTAACCCAGGCTGGAGTGCAATGACACGATCTCAGCCTCACTGCAACCTCCGCCTCCCAGGTTCAAGCGATTCTCCTGCCTCAGCCTCCCAAGTAGCTGGGATTACAGGTGCCTGCCACCATGCCCAGCTAATTTTTGTATTTTTAGAAGAGACCAGGTTTCACTATATTGGTCAGGCTGGTCTTGAACTCCTAACCTCAGGTGATCCACCCACCTCAGCCTCTCAATGTTCTGGGATTATAGGTGTGAGCCACTGCACACAGCCCAATTTTCATTTCTTTTACCATACCTCATTCAAGAACATGTAATATTTTACAAGCCTGATCTCATCCATCTCAAAATTTTGGGAAATATCATCCTTATTACAAACAGTGATTATCTCTATTACAAAAACATAGCAAGAGCTGGGCACAGTGACTCAAGCCTGTAATGCCAACACTTTAGGAGGCTGAGATGGGAGGATCACTTGAGCCCAGGAGTTCAAGACCAGCCTGGGAAACATAGTGAGACCCTGTCTCTACAAAAAAATTTTAAAAGCCGGGCATGGTGATATGTGTCTCTGGTCCCAGTTACTGCAGAGGCTGTAGCCAGAGGATTACTTGAGCCCAGGAGTTTGAGGCTATAGCGAGCTATGATTGTACCACTGCACTTCAGCCTGGGCAACAGAGCAAGACCCTGTTTAAAAAAAAAAATCCAAAACACCGTGGCAGAGAGGTCGCATAATTTGCTTAAGGTAATATAATTCAGAGGCAGTTTGGGGGCAAGAGCTATAAATCCCAGATCCTTCCCAATTTATTTAAAAGGCAATTTTTCGCAAAGAGGTCAGTGATTAAAGTGACTTGGATTTAGTGAGTTTTTGTAAAATATTTTTCTCCTCTATAATTCAGGGTCAAGATTTGTGAGAAATTTGATAAATGTCTTTAAATTACCAAGAAAAACGATGTAACATGAAGTGGCATCAGCCCACCTAGATCTGGTAGTTCTTCCATTCTGTCTGGAAGTAAGCCATAGTCTTAGTTGGTACAAATGTCATGTGGGAGGAGACATACAGATTACAGAACCATGAGGTAATTACTACAGCTTAACTGTCCCACACAGAAGCTATTAAGTGATCATAAACAGAGTTACAATAGAATACACATTCTATGACAAGATTTGGCCTGTACTTTTAATGCTTACAATTCTTTCTTTGGCTTATTGAGGAGAAGAAATATAAGATACACTAGAAATTAAGAATTTGGTTGATCTTTAGGGCAATGCTTCACAAACTGTAATGTACATGCAATTGACCTGAAGCATTTATAAAATACAGTTTACAGGACCCTGCCCCAAGAGTTTCTGATTCCCTCGGTTTAAAGTGGGACCATGAAATCTGCATTTTAACAAGCACCCCAGATAATTTTTTTTTGAGACAGAGTTTCGCTCTGTTGCCCAGGCTGGAGTGCAATGGCACGATGTCGGCTCACTGCCACCTCCGCCTCCCGGGTTCCAACAATTCGCCAGCCTCAGCCTCCAGAGTAGCTGGGATTACAGGCGCTCGCCACCATGTCCAGCTAAGTTTTGTATTTTTAGTAGAGATGGAGTTTTACCATGTTGGCCAGGCTGGTCTCAAACTTCTGACCTCAGGTGATCCACCCACCTCAGCCTCCCAGAGTGCTGGAATTACAGGCATGAGCCACCGTGCCTGGCCGCACCCCAGATAATTTTGATGCAACTGGTCGGTGGGCTATCCTTTGAGAATAAACATCCACTCTGCCTAAGAGTAGAGCATAACAAATCAGCAGGAATAAAATCTAAACTTCAAATTTTTACCTAATCAAAATTTACTTTTCTTTGTACCATTCTAAAGAGGACTTGTAGATTAGATTTTTGGCAGGATGGGAGGAGAATCTTTGGGTTTCTGAAGAATTTTGTAGGAATTAAAATGTTTCTAACTAGTAATTAGGTATGAAATCATTTGTCCTTTTTAAGTGATTGGTCTTGCTAAATGAGATAGTAGGAAGTGACACCAGATCAGGAGTGACAAGAAAGAAAAACCTCTGAAGAAAATCCAAGCACCGTTGCAAAAATTAAGCAAATCTCATCATCCAATGAACACTGCAGAGTATCCAGTATTGCTAGCTAAATGCCAGCTTAAAAGGCCAAAAATTTTTAAACATCTCTTCATTGTACATGACCCCTGTGGAATACTGTGACTCAATTAGACCTGCCCTCCCTCAAGATTTGCAAGAAATGGAGAAGCTCTGGAGAGTTGTCACAATATGATAAAAGGAGTAGAAAATAGACTGTATGAAGAAGTTAAAAGTGGTTGTCCAGGCTGGGCACAGTGGCTCACGCCTGTAATCCCAGCACTTTGGGAGGCTGAGGCAGGCAGATTACCTGAGGTCTGGAGTTCAAGACCAGCCTGGCCAAAATGGTGAAATCCCGTCTCTACTAAAAACACAAAAATTAGCCAGGCATGGTGGTACGTGCCTGCAGTCCCAGCTACTTGGGAGGCTGAGACAGAAAAATCACATGAGCCCGGGAGTCAGAGGTTGCTGTGAGCAGAGATCACACCACTGCACTCCAGCCTGGGCGACAGAGGGAGACTCCGTCTCAAAAAAAAAAAAAAAAAAAAAGTGGTTTTCTACATTGCAAATAGAGGTCATTTTTTGCTTATAAAGGTTTATAAAGGGTTTTTATAATAAATAACATAAATCACAGCTTCTCATTTATAAAAGATATTAAATACTGAAAAAATTAATAATCATAATTTATAATATTTTCCCTTTAAAGATAACTTGAAAATGAGATAATAGAAACATAGACGCCAGACTCTTTGCTGTTGGAAGAGGCTGAGAAGTCAATTGGCAGTTGAACCTGCCAATCTTAGTAGAATCCTTTAGAAAACATTCTTGATGGGACAGCCCTCAGCTCTGCTTAAACACTTGAATATTGGAGACCTCATTATTTCACATCTGTCTTGCATATTTCAAGACACATCAAAACAAGAAAGATGTGCATGGTGATCATAAAGTCACATGGAACCCATGATCCTGTACAAACTAGATAAAATGTGAGTAACGTGGAGGGGCTCTTCTAATTACTTGTTGGTCAAGTAGAAAATAAACTGTACTAGCTAAACTGCTTTCTCAAGTTTCCATTTTAGGTATTTCTACTGTTTGCCCACTGCCTAGTAGACTGCTGGAGTTCACTATAGGAAAAGTAAATATTGTCATTTCAAATAAAGCACTGTTTATTATATAACAGAACAGAGGCTGCTTTCTATTTTTGAGACTCTGCTAAATTAATTGCGGACAGTAGCCAAAGCAGCTGCCCAGGAGATGGTGTTTTCCAACAGCTGCGGTTCTTAAAGCTAAACTGGGATTCATGTTTGTCTATAATGTGGCATCACATTGTTCTTTTCATCAAATGTATTTGGCTGCTATTGGGATTTCATAAATGCGGGTACCATTTGTACTACTTTACTAGCCCATTTGACTCCTGCATTGAGGACAAATGATAAGCCAAGACAGATAAAGCCAAAGTTGGAGGCTTCCATGAATGAGAGTCAGCCCAAATTCTTCTAAATGAAAGAGAAACGATGGCCTTAATGCCCATTTCCATCTAAAACAGGGTTTCAAAAACTTTGGTAGGTTGAGACTGGGCTCAGTACTTTTAATAATGTTTTAATAATGTTTCCACATCCATTTTGATCTGGTGCCCATACTTTGCTACCTACAGTTTGAGAAACACTGGTCTAAATCAGTGATAGGGAAAATAAATCTGGACTGAGTGGTGATTTAAGAGAAACAAAGTTTTAGTTAAAAAGGGAATGTTATTTCGGGAGTCACACTTTGCACTTCCGTAACACTTTCCGTCTTTCAAAGGGCTTCTTACACTTGATCCTCACTTGTGAGATGGATTAGGAAGGACAATATTATTAACTTTATTTTACAAATAAAGAAACTGAGACAGAGTAGCTAAGTAACTGGATATGGGGGCTAGAAGCCTGAGCTTTCCCATCTTTGTTTACACAATTCAGTCTCATTTTTAGTATATCAAAACATATAGATAAACCTCAAGCTCTTTAATGGCTATAACATATTTCATGGGTATTATTTTAATTATCTATTTTAGATAATTTAGATAATCATTGAAGACATGTTGATGAACATGTCTTTTTTCCCCAAGCTTTTTCTTGTATGACTAATGTTTTATTACTATCTTTTCACACATATCTTTGAGTACTTGTATGAATATTTTGTTAGGGTAAATTGCTAAAAGTTAAATTGCTGAGTCAAAGGGTATATATATATTTTTACATATATATGTGTGTACATGTATGTGTGTGTATATATATACCCACACATATATACATACACCCACCCACACACACACACACATACACACACACACACACACACACACATATATATTTTTTCAGACAGTGTCTCACTCTGTTGCCCAGACTAGAGTGCAGTGGCACAGTCACAGCTCACTGCAGCTTCCACCTCCTGGGCTCAAGCAATCTTCCCTCCTCAACCTATTGAGTAGCTGGGACTGCAGGTACACACCACCATGCCCCACCAATTTTTTTATTTTTGTAGAGACAGGGTTTCACTACATTGCCCAGGCTGGTCTTGAACTTCTGGACTCAAGCAATCCTCCCACCTCAGTCTCCCAAAGTGCTGGGACTATAGGTGTGAGCCACCATGCCCAACTGGGGTAGATGTATTAAAATTTTGATGTATATTATTTGATTGGCCTTCAAAAATGTGTACCATTTTGTACTACCCTTGACAATATACAAAAAACTATCTTTCCCTAAATGCCTGTTTAATCTTCGCGAATAATTGGGAAAATGCGGCAAATTTAAAATTTTTCATTTTTATTATTAATGCAGTTAGCATCTTTCAAAATTATGTCTAAGTAAATATAAAGAGATGATAAGAAAGTGTACAAATCTAAAGTATACAGGTCAATGGCTTTTTAACATATGTATCATCTGAGTAACCATCATCCAGATACATAACACATTTCTACTATTAATACCTCAGAAAGTTCTCTCTTGCCACTTTACCCACCTACCCAGAGACGATCAGGCAAAGTGAATTATTATTAGAAGTCAGAAGACTTCTAATATTAGATGCTGACTTGTAATATTAATTCATTTTGCCTGTTCTTGAATATAATATCAATGAAAGCAAATAGTTTTATGACGTCTATGCTCAACATAATACCTGTGAAGGCTGGGCATGGTGGCTCACGCCTATAATTCCAGCACTTTAGGATGCCAAGGTGGGCAGATAGCCTGAGGTCAGGAGTTCGAGACCAGCCTGGCCAACATGGCAAACCCCATCTCGACTAAAAATACAAAAATTAGCCGGGTGTGGTGGTGTGTGCCTGTAATCCCAGCTACTCAGGAGTCTGAGGCAGGAGAATTGCTTGAACCCAGGAGGCAGAGGTTTCAGTGAGCTGAGATCGCACCACCGTACTCCAGTCTGGGTGACAAGAGCGAAATTCTGTCTCAAAAAAAAAAAAAAAAAAAAAATATATGTATATATATATATATATATTTGTGGACTCATTCATGCTGTTGTGCATATTAGCCATTCATTCTTTTTTATTAATATGTTATATTCCATCATATGACTACAAATTAGATTAGTTATCCACTCTGCTGCTAATGGGCATTGGAGTTGATTCCAGTTTTTTACTGGAATAAATAAAGCTGCTGTCAACATACTTGTATATGTCTTCCATTGGGCATAAATTCTCATATCTCTTGGTTATATACCTGAAGTGGAATTGCTAAGTCAAAGAAGACATACAAATGACCAACAGATGTATGAAAAAATGCTCAGCATCACTAATCACCAGGAAAATGCAAATTAAAGCCACAGTGAGATATTGCCTCATATCTGTTAGAATGGCTGTTATCAGAAAGATGAAAGATAAGTTTTGGCAAGGACACAGAAAATAGAACCCTTGTACACTGTTGGTGGGCATGTGAATTAGTACAGACATTAGGGAAAACAGTATGGAGGCTCCTCAGAAAATTAAAAATATAACTATCATATGATATAGCAATCCCACTTCAGGGTATATACCCAGGGGAAATGAAATTAGTATGTCAAAGAGACATCTTCACCCCTAGGTTTATTGCAGCATTCTATTTACATATACGTAAGACGCTAACTGCATTAACAATAAATCACCAAGATAAGTCAGCCTAAGTGTTCATTGATGAATGAATGGATAAAGAAAATGTGTATACTATACAGCCTTAAAAAAGAAGGAAATCTTGTCATTTGCAACAACATGGATGAACCCGGAGCACATTATGCTAAGTGAAATAAAGCAGGCACAGAAGACAAATACTGCACAATCTCACTAAAATCTGTGAAATCTGAAAAAGTCAAACTCATAGAAACAGAGTAGAATGGTGGTTGCTAGAGGCTGGGAGGGCGAGGGGGGATGTTGGTTGAAGGGTACAAAGTTTCCGTAAAGAGGATGAGTAAGTTCTGGAGATCTATTGCACAACATGGTGAATATGGTTGATAATAATATATACACAAAAATTGCTAAAAGAGTGGATCTCAAAACGTTCTCACCACACACAAAAAAGATAACTATGTGAGGTGATGGATATGTTAATTAGCTTGATCATAGTATGATTAAAGTATAAATTATTATAGTCATTTCACAATGTATACATATATTAAAATATCATGTTGTACACTGTAAATATATACAATTATTATTTGTCAATTATACCTCAAAAAAGCTGGCCAAAAAATTGCTGAGTCATAGAGTATGTGTGTGTAGCTTTAACAGACACTGTCAGAGAGTTTTCCAAAGTTACACTCCCAACAGCAGTTGTATGAGAGTTCCAGTTGCTCCACATTCTTCCCAATATTCAGTATTTTCAGTCTTTTAAGTTTTTAGACTCTCGTAAATGTGTAATGGTGTCTTGTAGTTTAAATTTGCACTTGCCTGAAGAATAATGATGTTGTCTATCTTTTCATACACATAATGGCCATTTGGATATTCTCTTTTGTGTGGTACTTATTCAAGCCTTTTGCCCATTCCTTATAAAAATATTTTTGTCTTATTTGATTTGTATAAGTTCTTTATAGATTCTGGAAAGAACCCCTTTGTTAGACAGATGGATAGATAATGATAATATTATCCTTGCCTGTGACTTGCCTGTTCACTCTTTTATGGATATTTTTTAGTAAACAAAAAACTTTTTATTTCCATGAAGTCCAATTATGTTTTTATTCTTGTATGGTTATTGTCTTTTTATCCTGTTTAAGAAATCTTTGCCTACCCTAAAATCATGAAGATTCTCTCCTATTTTTTTCTAGAAGTTTGATTTTTTTAATTTGATATTTATATTTTTGAGCAATCTTGAATAATTTTTGTATATGGTATAAGGTGGAGGTCAAATCTATTAGTTCATTTTCATGCTGCTGATAAAGACATACCTGAAACTGGGAACAAAAGGAGGTATAATTGGACTTACAGTTCCACATGGCTGAGGAGGCCTCAGAATCATGGTAGGAGACGAAAGTCACTTCTTAAATGGTAGCAGTAAGAGAAAAATGAGGAAGAAGCAAAAGTGGAAACCCTTGATAAACCCATCAGATCTCCTGAGACTTACTATCACAAGAATAGTATGGGAAACACCAGCCCCCATGATTCAATTACCTCCCCCTGGGTCCCTCCCACAACATGTAGGAATTCTGGGAGATACAATTCAACTTGAGATTTGGGTGGGGACACAGCCAAACCATATCACCAACTTTGTGTTATTTTTCTCCATCTGGATATCCAAGAGTTCTAGCCTCATATGCTGAAAAAAACCTGTACTTTCTGTTTTCTTTTCCTTTTTTTTTTTTTTTTTTTTTGAGATGAAGTCTTGCTCTGTCTCCAGGCTGCAGTGCAGTGGCGTGATTTCAGTTACTGCAGCCTCCACGTCCCAGGTTCAAGTGATTCCTCTGCCTCAGCCTCCCGAGTAGCTGGGACTATGGGCGTGCGCCACCACACCTGGGTAATTTTTTGTATTTTAGTAGAGACAGGGTTTCACCATCTTGGCCAGGATGGTCTCAATCTCCTGACCTCCTGATCCACCCACCTTGGCCTCCCAAAGTGCTGGGATTACAGGCGTGAGCCACCGCACCATGCCAAAACCTGTACTTTCTACCACAGAATTGCAGTGGCCCCTCAGAGGAAAAGCATTCAATGGTTCGCCATTACATATGTCAGCCATAGTTTCTGGGCTTTCTGCAGATAGCTGTTGTCAGATTAAAAAAATTCCCTTCTATTCTTAATTTGCTGAGCTTTTTTTTCCTGAGTGGGTGTTATATTTTATCAAATGCTTTTTCTGTATTGATTAAGATAATTATATGGTTTTCTTTGATAAACCATAGTTGGTAATGATGTGCTATCTTTTTTATTTCTCTGTATTCAACTTGCTAATGTTGTATTTATAATTTTTACAATAAAATGTATTATGATTTTCTGATATATAACGTATTATTTATATTTTTCTAAAGCATATTAATAATCCTTTCCATATGCAGAAAAGATTTTTGTTTTGGCATCAAATTTATGTTAGCCATAATAAAATATGTTAGCCACAAAAACAGTGTTCTCTTTTTCTCTAATCTCTGAAAGGGTTTGAGAAAGATTGTCATTATTCCTTCTTAAATATTTGGAAGAAGTCACCTTTGAAGACATCTGGGCCTGGATTATCTTTGTGAAATTAAAAAAACATAAATTTCCTTCTAAGCACTGTTTAAGCTATATTCCACAAATTTTGATGTTTTATTTTCATTATTCTTCGATTCAAAGTATTTTCTAGTTTTGTTTGTGATTTATTCTTTGGCCCGCAGGTCATTTGGAAGTATGTTCCTTAATTTTTATACATTTTGGAATTTTCTACTTATCCATCTGTATTGGTTTCTGGTGGTCAGTGAATATACTGTATATTATTTCAGTACTTTGAAATTTTTTAAGACTTGCTTTATGCCCCAGCATGTGGTCTATCTTTGGTATGTGCTTGAAAAGAATGCGTATTCTGCAGTTGCTGGGTATAGTGTTCTATAAATATCAATTAGGTCAAGTTGCTTAATAGTGTTGTTTAAATATATCTGTATTGACTTTTTGGTCTTCTTGTTTTTAACAGTTACTAAGAGATGTCTGTTAAAACCAATTAAGGCCAGGCTTGATGGTTCAAGCCTGTAAACCTAACACTTTGGGAGGCCGAGGTGGGCAGATCACTTGAGGTCAGGAGTTCGAGACCAGCCTGGCCAACATGGAGAAACCCCATCTCTACTAAAAAAAAAAAAAAAAAACGCCAGGCGCGGTGGCTCATGCCTATAATCCCAGCACTTTGGGAGGCTGAGGCAGGCAGATCACAAGTTCAAGAGTTCGAGACCAGCCTGGCCAACATGGTGAAACCCCGTCTCTACTAAAAATACAAAAATTAGCAGGGCTTGGTGGTGCACGCCTGTAATCCCAGCTACCTGGGAGGCTGAGGCAAGAGAATCACTTGAAGCTGGGAGGTGGAGGTTGCGGTGAGCCAAGATCTCGCCATTGCACTCCAGCCTGTGCAATAGAGTGAGACACCATCTGAAAAAAACAGAAACAAAAATTAGCCAGGCGTGGTGGTGGGCACCTGTAATCCCAGCTACTCGGGAGGCTGAGGGAGAAGAATCGCTTGAATCTGGGAGGTGAAGGTTGCAGTGAGCCAAGATCCCACCACTGCACTCCAGCCTGGGCGACAAAAAAACCTCCAATTATGATTGTGAATTTGTCTATTTCTCCTTTTAGTTCAGCTCATATATTTTAAAGTTATGTTATTATGTCCAGACAAATTTAGAATTGTTGGGTCTTCCTATTGAAGCAAACCTTTTTAGTATTATGAAATGTTCTTTCTTATCTCTAGTAATACTTCTTGCCTGAAAGTATACTTTGTCTCATAAATATGGTCATATCAGTTTTCTTTTCTTTCTTTCTTTCTTTTTTTTTTTTTTTTTTTTTTTAGACAGAGTCTCACTCTGTCACCCAGGCTGCAGTGCATGATCTCAACTCACTGCAACCTCCGCCTCCTGGGTTCGAGCAATTCTCCTGCCTCAGCCTCCCGAGTAGCTGGAATTACAGGCGCATGCCACCGCAACCAGCTAATTTCTGTATTTTTAGTAGAGATGGGGTTTCACCATGTTGGCCAAGCTGGTCTCAAACACATTACCTCAAGTGATCCACCAACCTGGGCCTCTCAAAGTGCTGGGATTACAGGTGCGCGCCACTGCACCCTGCACCTGGCCTCCAGCTTTCTTTTTTTCTTTTCTTTTTTTATTTTTGAGACGGAGTCTTGCTCTGTAGCCCAGGCTGGAGTGCAGTGGCGTGATCTCGGCTCACTGCAAGCTCCACCTCCCTGGTTCACGCCATTCTCCTGCCTCAGCCTCCCTAGTAGCTGGGACTACAGGTGGCCGCCACCACGCCCGGCTAATTTTTTGTATTTTTTAGTAGAGACGGAGTGTCACTGTGTTAGCCAGGATGGTCTCAATCTCCTGACCTCGTGATCCGCTGGGATTACAGGCTTAAGCCACTGCGCCCAGCCTCCAGCTTTCTTTTTATTAATATTTTCATGCTGTCCTTTTCCCATCCTTTTGCTGTCATCTGTGTCTTTATGTTTAAAGTGTGTTACTAATGAACAATGTATCATTTAGTGTTTTATAAAGAAAACTGATATTCAGTTACACTTAACGAACTTACTGATATGATCTCATGTAACTCTACCATCTATTTGTTTTCTGTTGGTTTCATCTTGTCTATATTCCTCCTTTCTAACTTGTTTTCTAATAATTAAGTGGTTTGGTCTTTTTTAAGAGACGGGGTCTCACTCTGTTGCCCAGGTTGGTGTACAGTGGTGTTATCATAGCTCACTGTAACCTCGAACTCCTGGGCTCAAACATTCCTCCCACTTCAGCCTCCCAAGCAGCTAGGACTATAGCTATGGGCCACCATACCTAGCTAATTTTTTAACTTTTTTGTAGAGACGGAGTCTCTCTGTGTTGTCCAGGATAGTTTCAAACTCCTGGCCTCAAACAATCCTCCCACCTCAGCCTTCCAAAGCATTAGGATTACAGGCATGAGCCACCCTGCATAATCCATTAACTTTTTATTTCATTTTATTTTGTCTCCACTTAATTTTTATTTTTTTTTAGTAATTACAAAATGACATAGTCAAACTATTAAGTCCTCCTTTTCAGAAATATGGTATATTTCATTCTTTATTCAGGTCACGTTAAGCCTGCAGTGAGTTAAGCGGTGCCCCCTTGAAATTCCTGTCTACATGGAACCTCAGGATACAATCTTATTTGAAAATAAGGTCCTTGAATATATAACTAAGGAAAGAACCTGGTGTGGTGGTGCCTGTTGTCCCAGTTACTTGGGAGGCTGAGGCAAGAGAATTGTTTGAGCCTAGGAGATTGAGGCTGCAGTGAGCTAGGATCACGCCATGACATTCCAGCCTGGGTGACAGAATGGGACCCCATCTCTAAAACATATATATATACACACACGTATATATGCAATATATATGTATATGTACACACACATATATGTGTATATACACATATATGTGTATATATGTGTGTATATATACACATATATGTGTATATGTGTAAATATATACACATATATGTGTATATGTGTAAATATATACACATAAGTGTATATATATACACTTATATGTGTAAATATATATGTGTGTAAATATATATATAACATACATATATGTGTGTGTGTGTGTGTATATATGTGTGTGTATATATATATAGTGCCATGGCTGGCTCATGCCTGTAATCCTAACACTTTGGGAGGCTGAGATAGGAGGATTGCTTGAGTCCATGAGGTGGAGGCCAGCTTGGGCAACATTGTAAGGGGCCATCTCTACAAAAAATTTTAAACCTAGCTGGGTGTGGTGGCACACACCTGTACTCCCAGATACTCTGAGATAGGAAGATCGCTTCAGCCTGGGAGGTTGAGACTGCAGTGAGCTATGATTATGCCACTGTACTCCAGCCTGGGTGACATAGCAAGACCCTTTCTCAAAAAATTATATATATATGTGTATATATATATAGATATATATATACACATATATGCTCAAATAGTGCCCAATTTCCAAGTTCCATATATATATATATATATATATATATATATATATATATATATATATATATATAAAGGATTGAGATGAGATCTTACAGGACTATTGTGGTCCCTAAATTCATTGAGAGTATCCTCATAAGAGACAGAAAAGGACACACAGAGGTGCAGAGAAAGCAATGTGAAAATAGAGGTAGAGATTGAAGCAATGTGTCTTTAAGCCAAGAGACACCAGGAATTGCCAAAACCACTAGAAGTTAGAATAGCAGCATGAACAGTACCTCCCTCATGGCCTCTAAAACCAACTTTGCTGACACTTTCTTTTAAGACTTCTATGTCCTGAACTATGAGAGAATAAATTTCTATTGGTTTAAGCCACCCAATTTATGGTGATTTGTTATGGCAGCCCTAGGAAACCAATCCAAACCCTTCAGGAAAGTTTTAGAGTTTATTAATATAAATCTTGTAAAAGTCTTGTTAAATTTATTCCTAGAGATTTTATTAGATAGTTTTATTGCTACCATGAATAAATTTTTTTTTTTTTTGAGACGGAATCTTGCTCTGTCATCAGGCTGGAGTGCAGTGGCATGATCTTGGCTCACTGCAACCTCCAGCTCCCGGGTTCAAGTGATTCTCCTGCCTCAGCCTCCTAAATATCTGGGACTACAGGCGCGTGCCACCACGCCCAGATAATTTTCGTATTTTTAGTAGAGACGGGGTTTCACCATGTTGGCCAGGATGGTCTCGATATCTTAACCTCATGATCCGCCCACCTCAGCCTCCCAAAGTGCTGGGATTATAGGCGTGAGCCAGCACACCCAGCCCTTGAATAAAATATTTTTA
This sequence comes from Homo sapiens, assembly GCF_000001405.40. Classification (NCBI taxonomy): domain Eukaryota; kingdom Metazoa; phylum Chordata; class Mammalia; order Primates; family Hominidae; genus Homo; species Homo sapiens. The sequence continues at coordinate 60,675,127 of NC_000014.9, forward strand.
AAGACCTTTTATTTGATTACTGCTGGGGATTAGGGAAGCTATGATCTTTTATCTGGCCTTCTTATTGAATATGGGTGTAACTATTTTTTTTATTATTCCCATTGACTTTCTAGGTTGACCTCAAAAAACAACTTGAAGAAAATAAAATTTTATATTCCCACCATCTAGATATTACCACAGTAAACCTAAGTAGATTTCTTTGTGTTGACTGTCTCAAATTCCTTGTGTAAAATATCCTAGGTCATGATATAATGGTTTTTAATACACTACCATATTTATTCCATTAATATTTTATTTATAACATATCTATTCTGACTGGTGAAACTGCTCTATTGTCATGGTTTTGTTGTTGTTGTTGTTTTGAGAAGGGGTCTCACTCTGTCACCCAGATTGGTGTTCAGCAGCATGATCATGGCCCACTGCAGCTTTGACCTCTGGGACTCAAGGGATTCTCCTATCTCAGCCTCTAGCATAGCTGGGACAACAGGTATGCGCCACCACGCCTGGCTAATTTTTTAAATTTTTTATGGAGGTGGGGTTTTGCTATGTTGCCCAGGCTGGTCTCAAACTCCTGGACTCAGGCAATCCTCCCACTCAGCTTCCCAAAGTGCTGAGATTATAGGCATGAGCCACTGCACCTGGCCTTCACCATCTTCTAAATTAGTTGAAGCTTATGGATGCTAAAAACAGTTGATTAAGCAAACTTGATTATAATGCAGCAGTGTTAATTTAGGCCAAAATGTATGCCAAAATAAAGCAGTGTTGTTGATTCTATCTATGAATTTAGGTATGTATGTATGTATCTCTCTCCCTCTCTCTCTCTCTCTGTCTACCTATTTATCTATCTACCTGGTTTCTTGGGCCTGGCCTTGAATAACTGGATGATTTATAGAGGGGGTTTTGATTATTGTCTCTCCCAGGCAGTCTGAAGCAACAGGACTCAGAGTTGCTGCTGGAGTTTAACTGGTTAGAAAAAAAAAAAAAAACACAATTCCTCCCTTAACGAAACAAAAGACTCACTTTCTTCTGCTCAAATAGTGCCCAATTTCCAAGTTCCTTACATACCTGATTGAAAACTGGAAGTCCATTTTTTAAACTTTGTAATTCCTTTTCTGTTATCAGTTTTAAATAATCTTTACATTTCTTGCAACTCTGCTTACATTTCCTATGCTTTACTTACAAGTTCATTACGAGCTGCTCCGCTGTCTACTCCATTGCTTTCTTGCATCCCATGTGGCAATGGGATCTCTCTGCAATTATTTGTAGTAATCTGTCCTCACTACCCCACCAGGCCAAAGTGTTGTAAAACAGTTTTTCCATGCCATTCTGAAATTTCAGAATGTGTCTAGATAAGATATGTAACTTTTTTTTTTTTTTGAAGTGAGTCTTGCTCTGTCGCCCAGGCTGGAGTGCAGTGGCACGATCTCAGCTCACTGCAACCTCCGCCTCCCGGGTTCAAGCAATTCTCTGCCTCAGCCTCCCAAGTGGCTGGGATTACAGGTGCCCACCACCACGCCTGGCTAATTTTTTTGTATTTTTAGTAGAGACGGGGTTTCACCATCTTGGCCAGGCTGGTCTTGAACTCTTGAACTTGTGATCCACCCGCCTCGGCCTCCCAAAGTGCTGGGATTACAGGCATGAGCCACCGCACCCAGCCCCCCTTTTTTTTTTTTTCGAGGTAGGGTCTTGCTCTGTCATCCAGGCTGGAGAGCAATGGTGTGATCTCTGCTTACTGCAACCTCCACCTCCTGGGCTCAGTTGATCCTCCCACCTCAGCTTCCTGAGTAGCTGGGACTACAGGCCTGCACCACCACACCCTGCTAATTTTTGAATTTTTTGTAGATACAGGGTTTCACCATGTTGCTCAGGCTAGTCTCGAACTCCCGGGCTCAAGCAATCCACCCACCTTGGCCTCCCAAAATGCTGGGATTATGCACTTGAGCCACCACGCCCAGCCGAGTCTTTTTTTTTTTTTAATTCGTCCTGTTCTGTACTTAATAGGTCCTTTCAATCTAAAGTTTTACATATCAATTCTGGGGGATATCCTGTTATTTTTATCATTCTTTTCTCTCTGTTCTCTCTTCCTAGAACTCCTCTTGGACAAATATTTATTTATTTATTTATTTTATTTATTTATTTTTTTGAGACACAGTCTCACTCTGTTGCCCAGACTGGAGTGCAGTGACACAATCTCAGTTCACTGCAACCTCTGCCTCCTGGGGTCAAGCAAGTCTCCTTTCTTAGCCTCCTGAGTAGCTAGGATTACAGGCCCTCACCACCACACCCGGCTAATTTTTGTATTTTTAGTAGAGACGGGGTTTCACCATATCGGCCAGGCTGGTCTCGAACACCTGACCTCAGGTGATCCTCCCACCTCGGCCTCCCAAAGTACTGAGATTACAGGCTTGAGCCACCACGCCCAGCCAAAATATATATATATATATGTTTTTAGTTGTTCTGCCTCTCTTGACATTTTTTCGCCCAAATGTAGAAAGCTGGGAGGAAAGGGAGGCTCTGCAACCCACCAGCATCATAGCAAAGATGCAGTAGCCTCGGTTCCATACCACCCTCTAGTTTCTGATCAACTGAAAATCTTTTCCTTAAAATGAGCATAGTGTAATCATGGGAGGAGAAGAATGTGGCTGTGGAAAGGACATTTGGAATTCTGCAAAATGTTTAAGGCCTATTCATTCCATGTGTATCTCTCCCTTCATTTGTAGAGTTCCTATCCACTTCAAAGGCTTCTCTGAGTGCTGACAAGGAAGAAAGTTCTGCTAAATTGGAACCTTTTAAATAGATCAAGATTTTCAACATATCCCAAACATGGTTAGATTAGATGCAGATAAATCTCAACCACATCACAATGTTGATGGGATCATTCATTTCCTTTCTTTTTAGCAGCAGAATAACTGTCATTCCCAAACACACATCAGGCATTTAACCCTAACAAATGTTGTAGTAATCAAAATAGAGGGTGAACAGCTTATCCAGTTTCCCATCTGTGCTTCAGCTGGGATGTTTAATTTTCATTTCCTCCTTTCACTTGACATCCTAACCTAGTCAGGGAGGTCTGATAGCCCTTTCCAGGGGATGTTGTTATTTCCTTATTCTTACATAAGAGCCGGAATTCCATTTGGAAAGAGCAATTATATTGAGCTTGATCAATAACCTCAAAGAACAAAGAGAAAAAAATTACCTGTTATCAGACTTTAATATGTACTTGATGTCCATGATTTGTGTTATTGTGTTAATTGTAGGGTCACTAGCAATTAGATTTAGCTATTGTTAACATCTAAAATTGATTTAAATGCTAAAAGAATCAATACTTGAGCTAAATGTTTAAATATCAGGACACTAAGAAGCTACTGAGTCTTCTTAATTGAATTATTCTCTGCTTTCTGCATTTTAGAAGACTGGGCCTATTTCAGAGAGATGAAAGTAATAGATGTCTATATTGTAAATGACAATGTAAATACTTGCTATGGTTATAGAAATGAAGGCGGTTGCACAGGTGGGAGTCATGGTAAGTATAGCTTGTGAAACTAAAATACTTGGTTGGGTGTGGTGGCTCACACCTCTAATTCCAACACTTTGGGAGGCTGAGGCAGGCAGCTCTCTTGAGCTCAGAAGTTTGAGACCAGCCTGGGCAACATGATGAGACCCCCATCTCTACAAAAAATTAGCCAGAAATGGTGGGGAGGGCTGTGATTGTGCCACTGCACTCCAGCCTAGATGACGGAGTGAGACCCTGTCTAGAAACAAAATATCTTGGCAGTCAAATTTCACAAACGATTATAGTAACTACAATGGCTTATGTTTTTGAGCACTTACTGGATGTTTAACACTCTTATTTTATTTTTCTCATTTAATCTGCACAACAACCGTATGAAGTAGGTACTAAATGAGTCAGTGTAATCAATACAATATCCATGTTTGACTACACTGACTTGCCTCCCACCAAGTCACAGATGGGAAGTAGGGGTATTGGGTTGAAGCCCAGGTCTTCTGACTACAGATCTAGAACCTATAACCACTGTGCTACGTTTTAGCAGTTGCGATTTTAAATATTCTAAACAGAGTCTTGACAGAGCTTAAAGTGTGGGAAGTCAAAAAGACTGATACATTCAGACACGCTTTGGAGTTTACAAATGACTTACCCTTATTGTTCATCAGTTTTACTCTCTTGTTAATTCCGATACCACCAAAACCCTAAATATTGTTTATTGGAGTCTACAGTTATAAAGGAAACTTACAAAGTTTTTAAAAACAAATTCGACTCTTTACATTCTCCCTATTTTCTAATTGAGAATATTAGAGTATATACAATCACAGACCACAGAAACATTCATGAATCTGAGTTGAGAGAAAGCTAACCTAGGTCAGTGTGCGTGTGTGTGTGTCCATGTGTGCACACAAATAAGGGTATGCCGGGCTGGCTGTCAGTGGAGAGGTTTCTTGGTTATATTAAACTTCTGCCAAATAAATTGCTTTTAAACATTGTCTCTGTTTTAAAAACAGCAAGACTCCTTGGAGCAGATTATCCTTGTTCTTTTTTGTTCTGAAGAACCACTTGAGAAGCAGATCTTAGTTATGCAAATTATATCAAGTAGGACCCTGGGCCCTGGGGAAAGTGTATAACAGGTTCTTTTGTGGCTTGACAAAGGCTGCTCTTACCAGTAGCCTTTGGTTTGCAAGCCTGGACCCTGGAGAAGGGAGGGGAGTAAACTGAGTAAATTTGCGGAAATGCCTGAAGAAAGTTTTCTTTTCTGTGGTTCAATATTATAGCTGAACCACAATATTATCTCTGAAGGACTGAGATAATTTGACCAAGGCCAAATGATAGGAAAGGATGCCAACAGACTGCAAATGGAAATTACCCCAAGCCAAGGAAATTCTGACCTGGTAGCCTGGTTCAGCAGCAGCACAAAGAGAGTGTGAGTGGTCTTGGTATAGCATGTTGGTGAGGCTAGACGTCCCTCCTCTGACATTGTTGCCTGAGCATAGTGGACATGCTTTAGACTCAAATGATTGAGCACGTGAGGGTAAAGCTTGTACCCCAAGCCTGCAGTGTTCTGGGCCCATCCTTTCTTGGTTCAGCAATTTTAAAACAACGCAAGTTATTTGAACCCCAAGCTATTGAAGTGTAAATAGCAACAATATTTTAACACACACTCCAACTTCCCCAGTTCTTTTTTTTTTTTTTTTTTTTTTAGATGGAGTCTCGCTCTGTCGCCCAGGCTGGAGTGCAGTAGTACCATCTCGACTCACTGCAACCTCTACCCGCTGGGTTCAAGTAAGTCTCCTGCCTCAGCCTCCCTAGTAGCTGGGATTACAGCGTGTGCTACCGTGCCCAGCTAATTTTTGTATTTTTAGTGGAGACAGAGTTTCACCATGTTGGCCAGGCTGGTCTCAAACTCCTGACTTCAAGTGATCTGCCCGCCTTGGCCTCCCAAAGTGCTGGAATTACAGGCATGAGCCACTAAGCCTGGCTTTTTTTTTTTTTTTTTCAGAGATGAGGGTCTTGCTATCTTGCCTGGATAGACTCAAACTCCTGGACTCAAGTGACTCTCTCGCCTAAGCATCCCAAGTAGCTGGGACTATGGGCATGCTCCACCACACCTGGCTAACTATTGAGAGTACACCAAGAGTTTTATCGTAGGGACTTAAGAATCTCAGGAGAAATAGGTAAAATGGTCAACAGCTTTTATGTCAGCCTGAGGTGATACAAAGACCTGTAATCAGTAGACTGGGTCTGATTCTTAGCTACCATTTAAAAACAAGAGCTTAACTTTCCTTCACTCATTGAACAAATATTTCTTTCTTACTTTATTTGGTAGAATAAAGAGAAACAATCTTACTAAAAATACTTAAGGCTGAGAACGGTGGCTCACACGTGTAATTCCAGCACTTTGGGAGGCTGAGGAGGGCAGATAGCTTGAGTTTGAGGCCAACCTGGACAACATCATGAAATCCCATGGCTACGAAAAATACAAAAATTAGCAGGGCATGGTGGCACATGCCTGTAGTCCCAGCTACTTGAAAGGCTGAGGTGGGAGGATCACCTGAGCCCAGGGAGGTCAAGGCTGTAGGGAGCCATGATCTTGCCACTTGCACTCCAGCCTGGGCGACAGAGTGAGATTCTGTCTCAAGAAAACAAACAAACAAACATTTAAAGTTATATTTGAATTAGGTATTGTTTTCAGAATATTTCAATAATCTGTAGTCTTTTTTAATTGACACAATTTTGTACATATTTATGTGGTATATGTGATGTTCTGTTACATGCATAGAATGTGTAACAATGAAGTGGGTATTTGGGGTGTGTATCACCCCAGCTATTAATCATTTCCATGTGCTGGAAATATTTCAAGTCCTCTCTTCTAGCTATTTTGAAATATATAACACATTGTTGTTAACTATAGTCACTCTACTCTGCTATCAAACATTAAAACATATTTCTTCTATTTAACTGTATGTCTGCACACATTAACCAACCTCTCTTCATCCACCCATCTCCCAGCACACACCCTTCCTAGCCTCTGGTATCTATCATTTGACTTTCTACTTTCATGAGATCCACTTTTTTTAGCTCCCACATATGAGTGAGAGCATGAGACATTTGTCTTTCTGTACCTGGTCTGTTTTACCTAACATAATGACCTCCACCAGTTCCATCCATTTTGCTGCAAATGACATGATGTCACTCTTTTGATGGCCAAATAATATTCCATTGTATATATATACCACATTTTCTTTAACCATTTGTCTGTTGATGGACATTTAGATTGATTCCATATTTTGGCTATTGTGAATAGTCCTGCAATAGACATGGCAGTGCAGGTATCCTTTTTATAAATATTTTTATTTATTTATTTCAGACAGGGTCTCACCTTGTTGCCCAGGTTGGAATGCAGTGGCACCATCGTGGTTTACTGCAACCTCCACCTCCCAGGCTCAAGTGATCCTCCTACCTCAGCCTCCTGAGTAGCTAGGACTACAGGCTTGTGCCACCACACCCAGCTAATTTTTGTATTTTTTATAGAGATGGGGTTTTGCCATGTTGCCCAGGCTGGTCTCGAGCTCCTGGGCTCAAGCAATCTAACCACTTTGGTCTCCCAAAGTACTGGGGTTACAGGCATGAGCCACTGTGCCCAGACTTTTTTTTATTTTTAATTTTTGTGGGTACATGGTAGGTGTATGTATTTATGAATTACATGAGGTATTTTGATACAGGCATGCAATATATAATAATCACATCAGGGTAAATGGTGTATCCATCACCTAGGTATCCTTTTGATATACTGATTTCTTTTCTTTTGGATAAACACCTAGTGGTGGGATTGATGGATCATATGGTAGTTCTTTTATTTTTAATTTTTTGAGGACTCTTTATACTGTTTTCAATAGTGGCTGTACAAATTTACATTCCCACTAACAGTGTATATGAGTTCCCTTTTCTCCACAATATTGCAAGCATCTGGTTTTTTAAGAAGTATTTTTAATAATAGCCATCCAACTGGGGTAGTATGATGTCTCACTGTAGTTTTGATTTGCATTTCCCTTATGATTAGTGATATTGAGCATTTAAAAAATATAGCTATTGGCCATTTGTATGTGTTCTTTTCAGAAGTTTCTATTCAGATGCTGTGCCCACTTTTTTTTTTTTTTTTTTTTTTGAGACAGAGTCTTGCTCTTTTGCCCAGGCTGGAGTGCAATGGCGCGATCTCGGCTACTGCAAGCTTCACCTCCCAGGTTCATGCCATTCTCCTGCCTCAGCCTCCCGACTAGCTGGGACTACAGCCGCCCGCCCAGCTAATTTTTTTTTGTATTTTTAGTAGAGACGGGGTTTCACGGTGTTAGCCAGGATGGTCTTGATCTCCTGACCTCATGATCCGCGTGCCTCAGCTTCTCAAAGTTCTGGGATTACAGGCGTGAGCCACCGCGCCTGGCTTTTTTTGTTTGTTTGTTTTTTTGGTGACGGAGTCTTGCTGTGTCCCCCAGGCTGGAGTGCACTGGCATGACCTCAGCTCACTGCAACCTCTGCCTCCTGGGTTCAAGCAATTCTCCTGCTTCAGCCTCCTGAGTAGCTGGGATTACAGGCGCACACCACCACACCCAGCTAATTTTTGTATTTTTAGTAGAGACGGGGCTTCACCATGTTAGCTAGGCTGGTCTCGAATTCCTGACCTCATGATCAGCCCACCTTGGCCTCCCAAAGTGGTGAGATAATAGGCGTGAGCCGCTGCGCCTGGTGTGCTTAAGTCTTTAATACATCTTGAGTTGATTTTTGTAAATGGTGAGGGAGAAGTGTCCAGTTTTATTTTTCTGCATATGGATATCCAATTTTCTCAGTATCATTTATTGAAGAGGTTGTCCTTTCCCCAGTAGATGTTCTTGGTGCCTTTGTTGAAAATCAGTTGGCTACCAATCCATGGATTTATTTTTGAGTTCTCTATTCTGCTCCATTGGTCTATGTGTTTGTTTTTATACTAATACCATGCTGTTTTGGTTATTATTGCTTTATAATATATTTTGAAATCAGGTAGTGTGGTGTCTCCAGCTTTTGAACAAATATTTATTGAACATCTATTATATGCCAGGCAATGCTCTAAGAAACAGAAATGAAGAAAAAAGACAAAAATCTCTGCCCTTGGAGCACTTACATTCCAGTGACACTTATACAGCAGGCATTTGTTCTGGCAGTTGATTGCTGTGTTATTTATTTATTTATTTATTTATTTTTGAGACAGAGTCTTGCTCTGTCTCCCAGGCTGGAGTGCAATGGCACAATCTCGGCTCACTGCAACCTCTGCCTCCCAGGTTCAAGCGATTCTCCTATCTCAGCCTCCCTAGTAGTTGGGATTATAGGCACGTGCCATCACGCCGGGCTAATTTTTTTGTATTTTAGTAGAGACAGGGTTTCACCATGTTGCCCAGGCTGGTCTCCAACTCCTGAGCTCAGGCAATCCACCTGCCTCGGCCTCCCAAAGTGCTAGGATTACAGGCGTGAGCCACCGCGCCCAGCCCGATTGCTGTGTAATTTAATACCAAAAACAATGGTATTAAAATGTGGGCAAAATTTATTTGGCAATTCTTTTCTTCATACATTACCAACTCTGGTCACTGGTTCCTATTCAGCTGACAGCTGATCTGGTCTGTAGGATCCATATAGCTTCACTCAGATGCCTGGCACCTCGTCAGGATAGCAATAAAGCTGGCCACAATAAGGCCTCTGTCCTCCATGGAGTCGCAGGGTTTCTCCATGTGGTCTTTCCAGAGGGGTAGTCAGAGTTCTTACACTGTGACTGGATTTCCCCAGAGGGAGCATTCCTGGAGGTCAGGGAAGAAACTGAAAGGCTCCTGACCCAGACTTAGAAACCAAGCAGGATCACTTCAGCTGCATTTTATCAGTGACAAGTGAGTACTTGCTACCAGTGTGGATGCAAGGGGAAGAATATTAGGTCCCATTTTTTTCATGGGAGAAGTTGCAAAGAATCCGTGGGCATTTTCATGCTATACGATATGTATATATGGGTATGTGTGTATATATACGTTCTATTTAATCCTCATAACAACCCTATGAGGTAGGTACACTTAAGTTATACTTATTTTACAGACAAGGAGACTAAGACAGCAAGGTTAAGTAACTTGCTCAAGGTTACATAGCTGTCAGCAGTCAAGCCACAATTCAGAAAACAGGAGTCTAGCTCTAGAGCCCAATTTTTTAGCACTGCACTTTACCGCCTCAAGTGATTTACATTACCTTAGATAATGTATTGGATTAAAATGGCTGGCTCCCAATTCCTCATGCACAAAATGAGAGGCTAAGAATGGATGTTTCCCACCTCACACCAGTTAGAATGCCCACTCTCAAAAACAGAAATTAAAAAAATTAAGTTGAGGATGTGCAGAAATTGCAATTCTTGTGCGCTTTTCCTAGGAATGCAAAATGGTGCCGCTGTTATGAAAAACAATATGGTGGTTCCTCAAACAATTAAAAATAGGACCAGGTGCAGTGGCTTATGCCTGTAATCCCAGTACTTTGGGAAACTAAGACTGGTAGATCGCTTGAGCCCAGAAGTTCGAGACCAGCCTGGGCAACATAGTGAGACCCTGTCTCTACAAAAATATATTAAAATTAGCTGGGCATAGTGGCACATGCCTGTAGACCTGGCTACTTGGCAGCTGAGATGGGAGGATTGCTTGAGCCCAGGAGGCAGAGGATGCAGTGAGCCAGGATGGTGTCACTGCACGAGACCCCGTTTTATACACACACACACATACACACACACACACACACACACACACACAATTAAAACTAGGATTACCATATGATTCCATAATTCCACTTCTGAATATATGCCCAAAATAATTATTCAATTATTTTGGACCCTTTTGAGACCCTTTGTCTCAAAAAGATGTTTGTACGCCCATGTTTATTTCAAATGGCTGGCTCCCAGTTCCTCATTTTTCAGCAATTATTCACAATAGCCAAAATGTGGGAGCAATACAAGTGTCCATCAACAGATGAATGGATAAACAAAACGTGGTACATGCAACAGAATATATTCAGCCTTAAGAAGGAATGAGGCCAGGTGCGGTGGCTTACTTCTGTAATCCCAGCACTTTGGGAGGTCCAGGCAGGTAGATCACTTGAGGTCAGGAGTTCAAGACCAGCTTGGCCAAGATGGTGAAACCCCATCTCCACTAAAAACACAAAATTAGCTGGGCGTGGTGGTACACGCTTGTAATCCCAGCTATTCAGGAGGCTAAGGCAGGAGAATCACTTGAACCTGGGAGGCGGAGGTTGCAGTGAGCCAAGATCGTACCACTGGACCCCAGCCTGGCCGACAGAACGAAACTCCATCTCAAAAAAAAAAAAAAAAAAAAAAAAAGAATGGAGTCCAACAATAAAAAAAAAATTAAAAAAAAAAGAAGGAACAAAATTCTGACACTTGCTACAACATGGATGAAACTGAAAGACATTATGCCAAGTGAAATAGGCCAACCACAAAAGGACAAATATTGTATGATTGCACTTATATGAGGTACCTAGAGTAGTCAAATACAGAGTCAGAAAGTAAAAGGGTGCTTGTCAGAGGCTGGAGGGAGGGGAAAATGGGAAGTTCTTTAATGGGTAAAGAGTTTCATCTTTGCAAGATGAAAAGAGTTCTGGAGATTGGTTGCACAACAAAGTGAATGTACTTAACACTACTAAACTACAATTAAAAATGGTTACAGGTTGGGGACAGTGGCTCACGCCTGTAATCCCAGCACTTTGGGAGGCCAAGGCAGGTGGATCACCTGAGGTCAGGAGTTCGAGACCAGCCTGGCCAACATAGTGAAACCCTGTCTCTTCTAAAAATAAAAAAATTAGCCGGGTGTGGTGTTGCACGCCTGTAATCTCAGCTACTCGAGAGGCTAAGACAGGAGAATTGCTTGAACCCGGGAGGCGGAGGTTTCAGAGAGCTGAGATGTCACCACTACACTCCAGCCTGGACAACACAGCAAGACTCTGTCACACACACACAAAAAAAGTACAATAGTAAATTTGATGCTGTATGTATTTTACCGCAATTGAAAAATAAAAAGAATGGATGAATCTCATCTTCAGCTTTTCATAATTCTATGTAATTTTATCCTATATCTAGTATAATAGTGATTACTTCTGTTGTACTTAGAAATAAATATGTACTTAGAAATAAATATTAGAAATATTTATTGTTGTACTTAGAAATAAATATTCCATTATGAGTTGGTCCTTAGTCTCATAATTTTACAGAAAGTAACAAATTGTCTTAAGAAAGTAGAGCACATTGTATAATCTTTTTCCACAAAACATTGAAATAATGAGTCATTAACAAAGGTGTCTAGTGATGTATACAGAAAGTTACTAAAATACACAATAGAATTAGCAAATCAAACAGTGAAAGGCAAACTCAGACATGACTCCTTGCCCATCAGGACAGGCCAAAGCAAACAAGGGTATTTTGCATTGTGCTGTGAAGGTCAATAAACACAGACTTGGCTAGTTCAGGAGAGGCAGAAAAATGTAGAAACCAGGGCCTTTGGAATTAAGCCTCACCCCAAAATTCAAACCATAGGGTAGAACTCAGATGCAAACAATGTTTCTGTTGACTGGAAGATGACTTGGGAAAAAAACCACAACTAATCAGGTTCTGGGTGTCAGAAAACGATTTTACCAGGCCATTTAGGGGTGAGCAAGTTTGATTCCAAGTTCTAATCAAAAGGTGAATATCATTGTCTTCCCAACTGACTAGAAAGTCTGTAAGAAAGTGTTTCAGGGACACTACTGAGCCCCAGGGCAAGAAGGAGAAAGAAGGAAGTGGTGTTCTTTTTTTTACTTTAAAATTTTCTTCCTGATTATCTGCATAAAACATATTCATTGAAAAGTGCAATACACATCGTTATTCTGAGGGCCTAATAGCTCTCCTCTTTTCTAGATACATGGCACTCTTCATTCCCTTGCACTAGCCATCTGGTCAGTGAATATTGCTGTCTCCTTTCACAAATCTGTCTTCCTGGCCACAGTGATTGTTCTAAGAGTAGACACATGATCCAAGTTGGCCCCTAATACTCTCTCATTACCACCACCTGAGCCACTGTGATTGGGTAATGGTTGGACACGAGATCTAACATGGGCCAGTGAGAACTTTTCATTGTGATTGTTCTAGATGCACCTCCCCAACCCCACTCAAACAATGGAGAGACAGTCTTTTATTTTCCTTGGCAAAACTAGAAAATGTGAATCCAGGAGCTACTGGCAACAGGGTTCTAAGGCTTGTGGAGAAGGCAGAGCTACCCTAGGAGACATTGACCCCAAGGTACAGAGAGGAGCAGAAACTGGATTCTAAAGAACTGGAGAGACCCTGGTTGCAGTCAGTTTTAGCAAATGGTTTCATGAGCCAATAAATATTAGTGCCCTGACTGACTCTGTGAACCAATAAATATCCTTCTTACTAAGCTAGTTTGATTTAGGTTTCAGACGCTTACACCCAGAAGAGCCCTAACTGATATCATCAAACAGAAAAGTATTAAGAAACAGAATACTCATCCATAGTGGTATTCTCTAGTGGCAACAGCTGATAATGAGGCAGGAAAATAGGGTCTGGAGGAAGGGAACCTAAGGCCATTTCACACTGACTTCCTAGAACTAAACTGAAAGGAAATCCCTAACTTTCCACACCTAAGTAACAAAAGGACCACAGGCTACTCCCTTTGTAAACCCCCATCTTTTCTGCAACGCAGATGGGAAATTGAAAATACCTCTGCAAGAAGCAACCAATGAGGCATTTGCCTAGGAGTGTAACTTTATAATTTCACTTCAGCCTCTGATTAGTTGCTGTCTGCAGCCAATCAGACCGATTGCGAGCCAAGTTTTCATTTGCATAGAAGTGAAAAATTTGTAACATCACTTTAGCCTCTGATTGGTTGCTTTCCACAATCAGTCAGATGTTTGCATGGGAGTCTGACCTTTGCAACTTCATTTCAGCTGCTGATTGGTTGCTTTCCACAACCAATAAGCGAGCAACCACTGGGAAACCTCTAGCCGTTGTTTGGACCGGAGAAGATTCTGTATCTGGAGCCCTTGGGCCGCTGCTCTGGCCGCTCCCACGCTGTGGAGCGTACTTTCATTTGCAATAAATCTCTGCATTTGTTCTTTCGCTGCATCATTCTTTCCTTGCTCTGCTGTACATTTTGTCCAATTCTTTGTTCAAAACGCCAAGAACCTGGACAACATGCAGTCAAGACCCTCCACCAGTAACAGTAACATTCTGGTATGTGTACTTGTGGACTTTTAACTAAGCTTTTTTTTTTCCATTTATTTTCTCATCAAATTGAAGGTATAATATATACCCTTTTGGGGTCCTTTTATTTCTCTGTCACGTTGTATCATTTTCTAGTATCACTGAAAATGTTATAAAATAATTATAATTTTTTGGCCAGGCGCAGTGGGTCACGCCTGTAATCCCAGGACTTTGGGAGTCCGAGGTGGGCGGATCACGAGGTCAGGAGTTCGAGACCAGCCTGACCAACACGGTAAAACCCTGTCTCTAATAAAAATACAAAAATTAGCTGGGTGTGGTGGTGCACATCTGTAATCCCAGCTACTCAGGAAGCTAAGGCAGGAGAATCGCTTGAACCCGGGAGGCGAAAGTAGTGAGCCAAGATCGTGCCACTGCACTCCAGCCTGGGCGACAGAGCAAGACTCCCTCTCAAAAAAAAAAAATTATAATTTTTACAATTGTTTACATAATATTGGACTTTAGGTTATTTTCAAGTTTTTGATGCATATTGGGAATGAATTTTTGTCTCTCAAATTATCGTGGGAAATATATTGCTAGGAAGAAAATTACTGAGGCAAAGATTATGAATAGTGCCTTTGAAAGTTTTACACTTTTGTCATAAAAGCGATATATGATAAAAATAATTAAACAATTTAAAAGGATATAAAAGTGAAGGTCATCTTTCCATCTCTGACCTTCAGTCTTATTTCTTCTCCCTAGACTATAGGTATGTGTGTGTGTACATATTCCCCTGGAACTTTTTTTTTTTTTTAGTTGGAGTCTTGCTGTGTCACCCAGGCTGGAGTGCAATGGCACAATCTCGGCTCACTGCAACCTCTGTCTCCCAGGTTCAAGCGATTCTCCTGCCTCAGCCTCCCAAGTAGCTGGGACTACAGGCAGCAGCCACCACGCCCAGCTAATTTTTGTATTTTTAGTAGAGACAGGGTTTCGCCATGTTGGCCAGGCTGGTCTCGAACTCCTGACCTCAGGTGATCCACCCGCCTCAGCCTCCCAAAGTGCTGGGATTACAGGCATGAGCCACCGCGCCTGGTCTCCCCTGCAACTTTTGAAGAAACCCACCAAATTATGGTATTGTAAGAATACTGTTGTGTATTTTGATTTTCATAGTTTTAACAACATGTATTTTTAACAGCTGTGTGGCATTTAATTACCCCTTCCAATGATGGACATCTAGGCCTTTTCCACAGTTACCATTACAAAGAAGTCTACAACATGCACCCTTAATATATAGGATTATTGCAAATGTGTAAAATATGTCTGTAAAACAAATCTCTACAGAAGAAATGACGGAGTCAGAGTATATGCATTTTGTTTGTTTGTTTGTTTTTTGAGACGGAGTCTCGTTTTGTCACCCATGCTGGAGTGCAGTGGCACGATCTCGGCTCACTGCAACGTCTGCCTCCCGGGTTCAAGCGATTCTCCTGTCTCAGCCTCCCGAGTAGCTGGGAGTACAGACGCGTGCCACCACGCCCAGCTAACTTTTTGTATTTTTAGTAGAGATGGGGTTTCACCATGTTAGCCAGGATGGTCTTGATCTCCTGACCGCGTAATCTGCCCGCCTCAGCCTCCCAAAGTGCTGGGATTATAGGCATGAGCCACCGCACCTGGCTGCATTTTTATTTTGATAGGCAATTTCAAATGTCTCTACAATGGTTATTCCAAACAGACTCCCATCAGTAATGTGTGAAAGAGTATGCTTCCTGATACCCTCATCAAGATAATGTATTAACAAATTTTTATATCTTTGCTCATATGATTAGCAAAAACTTGTTTGTTTTTGTAGTTGTAATTTTAAAAACTACCTTTGGGAAAAGTTGTGCCAATTTATACTTCCATCTGTAATATGTAAAATCGTCTGCCTTATTGCACATACATCAGCATTAAGCATCATCATTATTTTAAATCTTTACTAATTTAGTAGGAGATAATAGTATCTAATTTTAAAATATTGCTTCTTATTCATTCATGGAATATTTATTTCCCAAGTACCTATAGTGTGAGACATTGCTCTGACAACAATGGTAAGACACTATCCTTATGGAGCTTATAATTCGTTGATTACGAATAAGTCTAAATTTTTTTTAAATGAGCAGTTTCGGAGCCAGGCACAATGATGCACACCTGTAGTGCCAGCTACTCAGGAAGCTAAGGTGGCATCCCTTGAGCTAGGAGTTCGAGGCTGTGGTGTGCCATGATTAGGCCTGTAAATGATCACTGCAGTCCAGTCTGGGCAGTATAGTGTGTTCCATCTCTTAAAAAACAAACAAACAAAAAAAAAACAGCTTTTGAGTTTCATTTTAAACTGAGAATTGTACATTGCCTCAAACTTTTTAAGGAGATACAAGATGATGATAATTTAAAGATGATATTTATCATCCTGATTCAAAGAGAGATCTATAGACATCTCCAATGAAAAATTGGCATTTCGTCTTTCATTTATATGACTACTTGCATTCTGTTATCCAGACGAGAGAGCTCCATAAGCTTCAAGGAAGTAGGCCAAATACAGTGGCAGGTTACTCATTGACCATTGCCCTTGACCCCAGTGTCTATGGTCCAAGGCAGATTACTCATTGACCATCGCCCCCCACGCCAGTGTCTATGGTTCCTTTTTCCTTTTTGGAATATAATTTCCCCACCTTTTAGTAGGGGATATGGCTACTCACCTAGAGACTACAATTCCCTTGGAGCTAGGTGTGGACATGTGACTAGCCAATGATATGTAAGAAGTGATTTAAGCAATATCTTGATTATTTCTTAAAGAAATAATTTCTGCTGGGCATGGTGGCTCATGCCCATAATCACAGCACTTTGGGAGGCCAAGGTGAGTGGATTGCCTGAGCTCAGGAGTTTGTGACAAGCCTGGGTAATGTGGTGAAACCCCATCTCTACAAAAAATACAAAAGATTAGTGTGTGTGGTGGTGAGTGTCTGTAGTCCCAGCTACTTGGGAGGCTGAGGTGGGAGGATCCCTTGAGCCCAGGAGGTGGAGGCTACAGAGCTGAGAACATACCACTGCACTGCAGCCTGGGTGACAGTGAGACTCCATCTCAAAAATAAATAAATAAAAAAAGAGATAGCTTCTACTCTAGAAATGACAGGGAGTGAAAATCAATGTTGAGGGGCACAGAGACCAACTGCCTGCCTGGGATCCTGGATGGCCTGATAGAGCAGAGGTATCTTGTCAACCTAGGCTACTCACCTTTGGGCAGTCACTTGAGATAAATAAACCTCTATCTTATTGAAGTCACTGTAATTTTGGGCCTCTACAACAGCAGATAGGCATGTATACTAACTGATATGCTTACATAATGTGATATGATATGAAAGGTACTACAGAAGCCCAGAATATCTGTTCTACTGGCCTATATAATGTATGAAATGTCCTCATTAGAGAGTCCTCCCTCTGAGTTAACGCAGTGTTTCACAAAATATGTGCTGCTGAACACCAGTTTATCAGATAATTACAGATACTGAGATATGCTAGAATAAAAGGGCTAGTGGCCGGGTGCGGTGGCTCACACCTGTAATCCCAGCACTTTGGGAGGCTGAGATGGGCAGATCATCTGAGGTCAGGAGTTCAGCCTGACCAACATGGTGAAACCCTGTCTCTACTAAAAAATACAAAAAATTAGCTGGGCGTGGTGGCGGGTGCCTGTAATCCCAGCTACTTGGGAGGCTGAGGCAGGAGAATCTCTTGAACCTGGGAGGTGGAGGTTGTAGTGAGCCGAGATCGCGTCATTGCACTCCAACCTGGGCAACAAGAGAAACTCCGTCTCAAAAAAAAAAAAAAAAAAAAAAAAAGAATAAAAGGGCTAGTGTCCAATTACCCAATTACATTTCAGACATGCAGAGTCATATCACGTTTTTTGGCCTGTCTTTTATTTTATTTCATTTTTAAATTGACAAATAATAATTGCACATATTCATAGGGGACATAGTGATGTTTCGATGTATGTAATGTATAGTGATCAAATCAAGGTAACTAGCACAGCCATCATCTCAAACATTTATCATTTTTTTGTGTTGGGAACATTTGATATCCTCCTACCTAGTTGAACTATATATTATCGTTAATGATAGTCATCCTATGGTGGCATAAAACACTAGAACTTATTCCTTTTTTTTTTTTTTGAGACGGAGTCTCGTTCTGTTGCCCAGGCTGGAGTGCAGTGGTGCAATCTCAGCTCACTGCAACCTCTGCCTACCGGGTTCAAGTGATTCTCTTGCCTCAGCCTCCCAAGTAGCTGGGACTACAGGCACGCGCCACCACACCCGGCTAATTTTATATTTTTAGTAAAGTTAGAGTTTCACCATATTGGCCAGGCTGGTCTCAAACTCCTGACCTTGTAATCCACCCGTCTCTGCCTCCTAAAGTGCTGGGATTACAGGCATGAGCCACCGCACCTGGCCAGGAACTTATTCCTTTCATCTAGCTATAATTTTGCATCCTTTAACAAAAATTTATTTCAACACTGTCTTTACTAAAAATATAAAATTAGCCGGGTGTGGTGGCATGTGCCTGTAGTCCCAGCTACTTGGGAGGCTGAGGCAAGAGAATCACTTGAACCCGGTAGGCGGAGGTTGCAGTGAGCCGAGATTGCACCACTGCACTCCAGCCTGGGCAACAGAACGAGACTCTGTCTCAAAAAAAAAAAAAAGGAATAAGTTCTAGTGTTTTATGCCACCATAGGATGACTATCATTAACGATAATATATAGTTCAACTAGGTAGGAGGATATCAAATGTTCCCAACACAAAAAAATGATAAATGTTTGAGATGATGGCTGTGCTAGTTACCTTGATTTGATCACTATACATTACATATATCGAAACATCACTATGTACATTCCCGTCCTCTTCCCAGCCTCTAGTATTGTCTGTTCTACTTTTTACTTCCATGAGATCATTTTTTTAAGCTTCCACACTTGAGTGATAACATGGTGTCTAACATTCTGATCCTGGCTTATTTCATGTAACATAACATCTTTCTGTAACATCCATGTGCTGTGAATGACAGAATTTCATCCTTTCTTATGATTGAATAGTATTTCACGGTGTATATATACCAAATTTTCTTTCTCCATTCACTTGTCATTGGACGCCTAGGTTGATTCCATATCTTGGCTATTGTGAATAATGCTACAATAAACATGGGGATGTAGAAGTGTCCCTGATATAATTATTTCCTTCCTTTTGGATAAATTCCCATAGTGGCATTGTGGGATCATATGGCAGTTATATTTGTAGTTTTTTGAGAGAACTTCATACTGTTGTACATAGTAGCTATACTAGTCTGCACTCCCACTGACAGTGAATAGGAGTTCCCTTTTCTCTGCATTCTCACCAACATTTGTTATTTTTTGTCTTTTTGATAATAGCCACCCTTAAGGGGTGAGGTGATACCTCATTGTGGTTTTGATTTGCATTTCCCTAATGTTGTTGTGCATTTTTCCATGTATTTGTTGGCCATTTGTATGTCTTCTTTGGATATGTCTGTTTAGATCGTTTGTCCATTTTTAAATTGGATCATTTGGTTTTTGCTGTGAGATGTTTGAGTTGCTTATGTATTCTGGAAACTAATCTGTTGCAGTAGTTTGCAAATATTTTATCCCCTTCTGTAGGTTGTCTTTTCATTCTGTTGATTGTTTCCTTTGCTGGCAGAAGGCTTTTAGTTTGATATAATCCCATTTGTTTATTTTTGCTTTTGTTGCTTGTGCTTTTGAGGTCTTATTCATAAAATATTTTCTCAGACCAGACCAGGCGCAGTGGCTCACGCCTGTAATCCCAGCACTTTGGGAGGCCAAGGTGGGCAGATCATGAGGTCAAGAGATCAAGACCATCCTGCCCAACATGGTGCAATCCCATCTCGACTAAAAATACAAAAATTAGCCGGGCTTGGTGGCACGTGCCTGTAGTCCCAGTTACTCAGGAGGCTGAGGCAGGATAATTGCTTGAACCTGGGAGGCAGAGGTTGCAGTGAGCCAAGGTCAAGCCACTGCGTTCCAGCCTGGGTGACAGAGTGTATGATACGTCCAGCTTTGTTCTTTTTACACAGGATTGCTTTAGCTAATTGTTTTTTTTTTTCTGGTTTCATGCAATTTTAAGATTTTTTCCCATTTATGTGAAAAATGTTATTGATGTATTAATAAGGATTGTGTTGAATCTATAGATTGCTTTGGGTAGCATTGTCATTTTAACACGAGTAATTCTTCCGATCCAAAATCATGGGATGTCTTTCCATTTGTTTGTATCCTCTTCAATTTCTTTCACCAGTGTTTTGTAATTTTCCTTGTAAAAGTCTTTCACCTTTTTGGTTAAATTTATTCCTAGGGGTGTGTGTGTGTGTGTGTGTGTGTGTGTGTGTGTGTGTGTGTGTAGCTATTGTAAAGGACATTGTCTTTTTTATTTCTTTTTCAGCTAGTTCATTGTTTGTGTATGCAAATACTGATATTTGCATATTAATTTTGTATCCTGCGACTTTGCTAAATTTGTTTGTCGGGTCTAAGAGTTTTTTGGTAAGATCTTTAGGTTTTACTGCATGTGAGATCATGTTATCTGAAAACAGGAACAATTTGACTTCCTCATTTGTGGATATCCTTTATTTCTTTATTTTGCCTAATTGCTATGTCTAGGAATTCCAGTATTATGTTGAATAAGAGTGGTGAGAGTGGGCATACTTGTCATACTCGTCTTGTTCCAGTCCTTAGAAGAAAAGCTTTCCGCTTTTCCACATTCAGTGAGATAGCTGTAGGTTTGTCATGTGTGGTCTTTATTATTTTGAGGAACTTTCCTTCTTTACCTAAATCATTATGAGTTTTTATCATGAAGCAATGTTGAATTTTATCAAAAGTTTTTTCTGCGTCTATTGACATCATCATATGGTTTTTGTCCTTCATTCTACTGATGTGATGTGTGACATTTATTGATTTGTATTATGTTGAACCATCCATATATTCCTGGGAGAGATGCCACTAGCTCATGATGTATTATCTTTTTTATATATTGTATGATTTGGTTTGCTAGTATTTTGTTAAGGATTTTTGCATCTGTGTTTACCAGGGGTATTGGCCTGCAGTGTTCTTTCTTTGTGGTATCCTTGTCTGGTATCAGGGTTGTGCTGGCCAAGTAGAATGACTTAGGAAGAATTCCCTCTGCTTCAACTTTTTGGAATAGTTTGAGAAGAATTGATATTAATTATCTAAAGGTTTGCTAGAATTCGGCTGGGCATGGTGGCTCACACCTGTAATCCCAGCACTTTGGGAGGCCGAGGTGGGCCGATCACCTGAGGTCAGGAGTTCGAGACCAGCCTGACCAACATGGAGAAACCCCATCTCTACTAAAAATACAAAATTAGCTGGGCATGGTGGCACATGCTTGTAATCCCAGCTACTCGGGAGGCTGAGGCAGGAGAATCACATGAACCCAGGAGGCAGGGGTTGCGGAGAGCCGAGATCACACCATTGCACTCCGGCCTGGGCAACAAGTGGGAAACTCCATCTCAAAAAAAAAAAAAAAAGTTTCCTAGAATTCAATGGTGAAGCCATTTGGTCCTGGACTTTTCTTTGTGGAAAGACTTTTTATTATTGACTCAATCTCATTATTTGTTATTGGTCTGTTCAGGCTTTTTATTTCTTCTTGGTTTAATTCTGGTAGGTTGTATGTGTTCATGCCAATAAATTAAAAAACCTAGAGGAAATGGATAAATTCTTGGACTGCAGGAAAAGAAGTCACTAAGAAGTTATTCAAGCAGTGTACCTTATACCCAATAGATAGTTTTTCATCCCTCATCCCCCTTTCACTGTCCCCTGTTCTGGTTCTCCAGTGTCCATTAAACCATTCTGTACACCTTGCATGCTTGTAGCTTAGCCCCTACTTATGAATGAGAACATGTGATATTTCGTTTTCGATTCCTGAGTTACTTACTTAGAATAATGGCCTCCAGTCCCATCCAAGTGACTGCAAAAGACAGTATTTAGTTCTTTTTTGTGGCTCAGTAGTATTCCATGGAGTGTGTATTCCATGGTATATACATATGTGTATGCATACCACATTTTCTTTATCCACTCATGGGTTTATGGGCACTTAGGTTGATGCTATATCTTTGCAATTGTGAACTGCACTGCAATAAACATACACATGCATGTGTCTTTTTGATATACTGACTTCTTTTCCTTTGGATAGATACCCAGTAGTGGATTTGCTGGGTCAAATGGCAGATCCACTTTCAGTTCTTTGAGAAATCTCCATACGGTTTTCCATAGAGGTTGTACTAATTTACATTCCCATCAGTGTTTCTTTTTCACATCTACATGAATATCTATTGTTTCTTGACTTTCTAATAATGGCCATTCTGGATGGAGTAAGGTCTGATCTCATTGTAGTTTTTATTTGCATTTCCCTGACATTTAGTGATGTTGAGCATTTTTTCATTTTTTTTTTTTGGCCATTTGTATATCTTCTTTTCAGAAATGTCTATTCATATCCTTTGCTGACTTTTTAATGGAATCATTTGTTGTTTTCTTCCTGATTTGTTTGAGTTCCTTATAGATTCTGGATATTAGTCTTTTGTTGAATGCATAATTTGCAAAAATTTGTATCCATTCTGTAGGTTGTCTGTTTACTACGATGATTATTTCTTTTGCTGTGCAGAAACTTTTTAGTTTAATTAGGTCCCATTTATTTATTTATTTGTTGCATTTGCTTTTGGGGTCTTAGTCATAAATTCTCTACCTAAGCCAATGTCTAGAAGAGTTTTTCCTAGGTTTTCTTCTAGAATTTTTATGGTTTCAGGTCTTAGATTTAAGTCTTTAATCCATCTTGAGTTAATTTGTGTATATGGTGAGAGAGAGGGATCCAGTTTCATTCTTGTACTTTATGTATCTACTTTTATACCAGTACCATACTATTTTGGGTACTATAGCCTCATAGTATAATTTGAAGTTGGGTAATGACAATGCTTCCAGATTTGTTCATTATGCTTAAGATTGTTTTGGCTATTCAGGCTCTTTTTGGTTCCATAGGAATTTTAGGATTGTTTTTACTAATTCTGTGAAAAATGATGTTGGTATTTTCATAGAATTTATTTGAAACTGTAGATTGCTTTGGGCAGTATGGTCATTTTCACAGTATTGATTCTTCCAATCCATGAACATGAAATGTATTTCCATTTGTTTGTGTCATCTATGATTCCTTTCCACAGTGTTTTATAGTTCTCCCCATAGAGATCTTTCACCTCCTTGGTTAAGTATATTCCTAGGTATTTTATTTGGTTTGTAGGTACTATAAAAGTAATTGAGTTCTTGATTTGATTCTCAGTTCAGTCATTGTTGATGTATAGCAGTGCTGCTGATTTGTGTACATTGATTTTGTGACCTGAGACTACCGAATTCATTTATCAGATGCAGTAGTCTTTTAGAAGAGTTTTCTAGGTATAAGATTGTATCATTGGCAAACAGAGATAGTTTGACTTCTTCTTTTTCAATTTGATTGCTCTCTGTTTCTTTTTCTTGTCTGATTGCTCTGGCTAAGACTTCCTTTAAAAAAAGTTAGAGACAGCATCTCACTATGCTGTCTAGTTGTTCAGGCTGGTTTCAAACTCCTGGCCTCAAATGATCCTCCCACCTCAGCCTCTGAAAGTACAGGGATTACAGGTGTGAGCCACCGCCCCTGGCCTAAATTTTATTCTTAATTTCTTCCTTCACCCATTTGTTGCTCAGGAGCATGTTGTTTAATTTCCATGTATTTGTATAGTTTCTAATGTTCCTCTTGTTACTGATGTCTAATTTTATTCCATTGTGATCAAATAAGATACCTGATATGCTTTTGATGTTTAAACATTTTATAAGGCCAGGTGCAGTGGCTCACTCACCTGTAATCCCAGCACTTTGGGAGGCCAAGACAGGAGGGCTGCTTGAGCTCAGGAGTTTGAGACCAGCCTGGGCAACATCATGAAACCCCGTCTCTACAAAAGATACAAAAACTAGCCAGGCATGGTGGCGCAAGCTACTCAGTCCAAGCTACTCAGGTAGCTACTCATGGTAGTCCAAGCTACTCAGGAGGCTGAGGCAGGAGGATCACTTGAGCCTAGGAGGTGGAGATTGCAGGGAGCTGAGATCATGCCCACTGCACTCCAGCCTGGGTGAAAGAGCAAGACCCTGTCTCCAAAAAAAAAAAAGAAGTTTCTTTTTGGAGACTTGTTTTATTTCCTAATGTAAGTCAATCTGTGAGAATGTTCCATGGCTGATGAAAAGAATGCATATTGTGTAGCTGTTGAGTTAAATATTCTGTAAATGCCTATTAGGTCTCTGATCTATGGTACAGTTTTTTTTTTTTTGTTTTAAATTTATTTTTCTATTTGAGACATGGTCTCACTCTGTCACCCAGGCTGGAGGACAGGGACATGATTATGGCTCACTTCAGCCTCAAGTTCCTGGGCTCAAGTGATTCTCCTACCTCAGTCTCCTGAGTAGCTGCTGCTTCTACAGGTGTGCTCCACCATGCCCAGCTAATTTTCTTTCTTTCTTTTCTTTTTCTTTCTTTTTTTTTTTTTTTTTGAGATAGAGTCTTGCCCTGTTGCCCAGGCTGGAGTTCAACGGCACGTTATTGGCTCACTGTAACTTCTGCCTCCCAGGTTCAAGTGATTCTCCTGCCTCAGCCTCCTGAGTAGCTGATTACAGGCACGTGCCGCCACACCCAGCTAATTTTTTGTATCTTTAGTAGAGACACCATGTTAGCTAGGCTGGTCTCAAACTCCTGACCTCATGATCTGCCTGCCTCAGCCTCCCAAAGTGCTGAGATTACAGGCGTGAGCCACCATGCTTGGGCTAATTTTCTTTTTTTTTTTTTTTTTTTTTAATGTGGTGACGGGGTCTCACCATGTGGCTCAGTCTGGTCTCAAACTCCTGGGCTTAGGTGATCCTCCCACCTTGGCCTCCCAAAGTGCTGGGATTACAAGCTTGATCCTAGGTAAGAGCCGTTGCACTTGGCTTATGATGCAGCTTAAATTCAATGTTTCTTTGTTGATAATCTGTCTAGATGATCTGTCCAGTGCTGAGAGGGGGGTGTTGAAGTCCCCAACTATTATTGTATTGGGGTCCATCTGTACCTTTAGATCTAATGATATTCACTTTATATATTTGGGTGCTTCAGTGTTAGATGCATATATATTTACAATTGTTATATTCTCTTACTGCATGATTCCCATTATGATTATATAATGTGCTTCTTTGTCTTTTTTTTTTTTTTTTTTACAGTTTTCAACTTGAAATCCCTTTTGTCTGACATAAAGATAGCTACGCTGCTCACTTTTGGTTTCTGTTTGTATGGAATATCCTTTTCCCATTCCTTCATTTTCAGTCTATGTGTATCTTTACAGATGAGCTAAGTTTCTGGTAAGGAGCATATAGTTGAGTCTTGTCTTTTCATCTATTTAGCCAGTCTATATATTTTAAATGGGAAATTTAATCCATTTACATTCACAGTTACTATTGATAGGTGAAGATTTATTCCTGTCATTTGATTGATTGTTTTCTGATTGTTTGATATGTTCTTTATTTCTTTCTTTATCTTTTATTATTTACTGAAAAAGTTTTCAGTTCGGTGGTTTTCTATAGTGATACATTTTTTTTTCTCCTTTGTGTATCAGCTCTATAAGTGAGTTTTGTAGTTTTGCATGTTTTCATGATGGTGATTGTCCTCTTTTCATTTCCAGATGTAAGTCTCCCTTGAGCATTTCTTGTAAGGGCAGTCTACTGGTGATGAATTCCCTCAGTTTTTCCTTGTCTGTGAAAGATTTTACTTCTCCTTTATTGCTGAAGGATAGCTTTGCTTAGTATACTATTCTTGGTTGACAGTTTTTTCTTTGAGTAGTTCGAATATATCACTCTATTCTCTTTTGGCCTGTAAGATTTCTGGCCAGGCGCAGTGGCTCACACCTGTAATCCCAGCACTTTGGGAGACCGAGGTGGGCAGACCACCTGAGGTCAGGAGTTCAAGACCAGCCTGGCCAACATAGTGAAGCCCATCTCTACTAAAAATACAAAAATTAGCCAGGCGTGGTGGCGGAGCCTGTGATCCCAGCTACTTGGGAGGCTGAGGTGGGAGAATCGCTCAGACCAGGAGGTGGAGGTTGCAGTGAGCCAAGATTGCGCCTTTGCACCCCAGCCTGGGTGACAGAATGAGATTCTGTCTCAAAAAAAAAAAAAGAAAGAAAAGAAAAGAAATAGAAAAGAAAAAAGATTTCTGCTGAGAAATTCATTGTTAATCTAATGGGATTTCCCTTATATGTGACTTAATACTTTTGTCTTGCTGCTTTTAAAATTCTTTTGTTGTCTTTGACTTGTGACAATTTGATTATAATTTGCCTCAGAGAGAACCTGTTGGTTGAATCTATTTGGGATTCTTTGCACTTCCTCAACCTGAATATCCATCTCTCTCCCCAGACTTGGGAGATTTTCTGCTATTATTTCATTAAATATATCTTCCTCACCTTTCCCTTCTCTTCTTCTGGAATGTCCATAAGATGAGTATTTGTTTGCTTAATGGTGTCCCATAAATCCAGCAGGCTTTCTTCATTATTTTCCTCCCTCCTTCCCTCCCTCCCTCCCTCCATTCCTTCCTTCCTTCCTTCCCCCTTTCCTTCCTTCCTTCCTTCTTTCCTTCCTTCCTTCTTTCCTCCCTTCCTTCTTTCCTTCCTTCCCCCTTTCCTTCCTTCCTTCCTTCCTTCTTTCCTTCCTTCCCCTTTTCCTTCCTTTCTTCCCCTTCCTTCCTTCCCTCTTTCCTTCCTTCACTCTTTCCCTCTTTCCTTCCTTTCCTTTCCTTTTTTTTTATTTCAAAAGAGCTGTCTTCAAGTCCAGAAATTCTTTCTTCTGCTTGTTCTAGTCTGATGTTGAAGCCCTTGGCTGTATTTTTATTTCATTCACTGAATTCATTAGCTTTAAGATTTCTGTTTGTTTGTTTTAAATATCCATCTCATTTTAAATTTGTCACTAGAATAATGAATTGTTTTTCTTGATATCATTGAATTATCTGTCTGTATTCCCTTGTATCTCACTGAGTTTCCTTATGATTGTTATTTTGAATTCTTTTCTGGCATTTTCGTACATTTTCTTAGGGTTGAGGTCTGTTACTGGTGAATTATGATTTTTCCTTTGGAGGTAACATATTTCCTTGTTTTTCATGTGTCCCTACATTGATTTTTTTTTTTTTTTTGAGATGGAGTTTCACTCTTGTTGCCCAGGCTGGAGTGCAATGGTGTGATCTCGGCTCACTGCAACCTCTGCCTCCCAGGTTCAAGCAATTCTCCTGCCTCAGCCTTCCGAGTAGCTGGGATTACAGGCATGCGCCACCATGCCTGGCTAATTTTGTATTTTTAGTAGAGACGCGGTTTCTCTATGTTGGTCAGGTTGGTCTCGAACTCCCGACCTCAGGTGATCCACTGGCCTTGGCCTCCCAAAGTTCTGAGATTACAGGCGTGAGCCACCACGACTGGCCCAGGAGTTTCTTTAGCACAGTTTTGCTCCTGTCATACAGAAGCTTGCATCCAAATCAGAGGCCCGGTTTTTTGTTTATGTACAAATGCATTGGCATTGACAAGATTTGGGCTTCATCAGGTTAGCACCCAAGAGCTCAAAGATCCACTGAATGTTGCCAGATTCTGTACATCAGTGAAAATGTTTGGGGAAAATATGTGGCTTATGTTTACCCAGACCTCTGGGAAGTATGCATGTAAGGTAATATGATCATCAGGTATTTGAGGCAATGTGATCAGATTTAGGATAGTGTATCAAAGATTGCGCTTAACTATTTCCTTTTCCTCATAATAATTACTTTGATTTACAGATGTATCTAACAGTTTTCATGGAGAAATCCAACTAAGAAAGACTGAAAAGAGGTCTATCAGTATGAATTAATTAATCATTTTGAATTACAGAAATAAATTAAAAGGTAGTTTTATCTTGGCACGGTGGTTCTTGCCTGTAATCCCAACACTTTAGGAGGCTGAGGCAGAAGGATTGCTTGAGGCCAGGAGTTCAACACCAGTGGGTCAACATAGTAAGACCCTATCTCTTAAAAAAAAAATTAGCCAGATGTGGTGGCGCACACCTGTGGGGATTGCTACAGTGAACTGTGATTATGCCACTGCACTGCAACAGGGTGAGACTCTGTCTTTAAAAAAAAAAAAGAAAGAAAAGGCAGTTTCATTTATAGGGCATATAATAACTTAGAAAATATTTCCATGGGCCGGGCACAGTGGCTCACACCTGTAATCCCAGCACTTTGGGAGGCCAAGGCAGGTGGATCACTTGAGGTTGGGAGTTTGAGACCAGCTTGACCAGCATGGAGAAACCCCATCTCTACTAAAAATACAAAATTAGCTGGGCATGGTGGCGCATGCCTGTAATCCCAGCACTTTGGGAGGCCGAAGCAGGCGGATCACGAGTTCAGGAGATAGAGACCATCCTGGCCAACATGCTAACACCCCCGTCTCTATTAAAAATACAAAAAATTAGCCAGGCATGGTAGTGCATGCCTGTAATCTCAGCTACTGGGGAGGCTGAGGCAGGAGTATCACTTGAACCGGGCAGTCAGAGGTTGCAGTGAGCCAAGATCATGCCACTGTGCTCCAGCCTGGTGACAGAGTGAGACTCCATCTCAAAAAAATATATATAAATATATATATATATATACACACACACATATATATGTGTATATGTATATTCATGGATCTGCATGATAAACAGAGAGAAATACTCTATATTTAGCAATCAATGGCTACTGTATTTGAGAGGGTTTCCAAGGGATTTAAGATGTTTGTTAAAGTATCCCCACCTTAGATAATTTATATATGGACATGATGTTGTCTATACATTTAATTTATATTATTAATATGTACCATTTCAAATAAAATAGCTAAAGGTAAATTTTAGCCTAATTCATCACTCTTTGAAATAACACAAATTCTGTATTAACATAGTTTCACTATAATACTGAAAACTCAGTATTACAACACTGCTAGTTTGCTACCGTATATAAAAAAAAAGTCTGTGCTCAGTCTTAGAAAGTCAGATATGTGTTTGTTAAGATATCAGAGAATGACTGTAATAAGAATAGAAGTAAAAACTCTCATTAGCTGAGATTGCATATATTCTTAAATCTAGTGTGTGTTGGCCAGGCGCGGTGGCTCAAGCCTATAATCCCAGCACTTTGGGAGACCGAGGTGGGCAGATCACCTGAGGTAGGGAGTTCAGGATCAACCTGGCTAACATGGTGAAACCCCATCTCTACTAAATACACAAAATTAGCTGGGCGTGGTGGCACGTGCCTGTAATCCCAGCTATTTGGGAGGCTGAAGCAGGCAAATCGCTTGAACCCAGGAGGTGAAAGTTGCAGTGAGCTGGGATCATGCCACTGCACTCCAGCCTGGGCGACGGAGTGAGACTGCGTCTCCAAGAAGAAGAAGAAAAAAAACTAGTGTGTGTTTATTGAAGAGATTTAGGCAAATCTATTTAGTATAATTGGGATAGAACACTCCAACATCTTTTTTTTTTTTGAGACGGCGTCTCTCACTCTGTCACCCAGGCTGGAGTGAAGTGGTGAGATCTCAGCCCACTGCAACCTCCACCTCCTGGGTTCAAGTGATTCTCCTGCCTCAGCCTCCCCAGTAGCTGGGATTACAGGTGTCCACCACCACACCTGGCTAATTTTTGTATTTTTAGTAGAGCCAAGGTTTTGCCATGCTGGTCTCGAATTCCTGACCTCAAGCAATCCACCCGCCTTGGCCTCCCAAAGTGCTGGGATTACAGGCATGAGCCACCGTGCCTGGCCCTCCAACATCTTTTGAGATTAAGACCCCTGATGATTATTCATTTAGGGACAGGATTGAATCCATCCTCCTTCCTATGTAGTGTTAATAAGATTAATTTGCTGAGTAATGGGTAATGCACTCATTACTAAGCTATCTAAGGTCATCCATTTGATAAAGAACATAAGCAAGAATGTACTTATTAAATAAAGTGAATACAAAATTCATTATGTTCCCTAATTTTCAACAAAATATATTTTTGGTTTTCCTTTGGCACATCTCCTAAGTAGTTCTCATCTTAAACAACAAACACCAAAAAACCAGCAACCAAACAACGCTTGTCTTTCTATGGCTAGTGGCTAGATTTTATGGTTTCATTATAGCTAATGACTTATCTTTTCAACACAGGAATTCTCTGAAAGGGAATTTTCCCAGGCTGTGGATAAGATAGGTGTGGGGGAAACTACACTGTTAATTGCTTTCAGAGGCTCCAGCAGCTTAGATTTCACTGCCTGGGCCTTGATACCCAGTAGGGAAGTGGAGCACACAAAAGAGGAAATGGATAAAGGGTGACAATCTCTCTGCCTCTCCCCTTATCCATCCTTCTCTCCCAATCCCCCAAATGTACACACACACACACACACACACACACACACCCTGCTGCACTTACAAATAGGGAAAAATGCTCAATTTTACTAATCTACAGTTTATCAGCCATTATTACAGCTTGGTTCCTTTTGTGTATGTCTTTAAAAGCCTTCCTTAAAATGTAAATTATAGCTGGATGCTATAATCCTATAATCCTAGCACTTTGGGAGGCCAAGGCGGGTGGATCCCCTGAGGTCAGGAGTTCGAGACCAGCCTGGCCAACATGGCAAAACACCATCTCTACTAAAAATACAAAAATTAGCAGGGCGTGGTGGCAGGTGCCTGTAATCCCAGCTATTCAGTAGGCTGAGGCCGGAGAATTGCTTGAACCTGGGTGGCGGAGGTTTCAGTGAGCCGAGATTGCACCACTTCACTCCAGCCTGGGTGAAAGAGTGAGACTCCATCTCAAAAAAAAAAAAAAAAAAAAGTAAATTGCTCTGGGGTGGAGGGTTGGGATAATCATATCTGAAACTGTTAACCATCAACACCAGAGAGATCACTTAAGGCACTTGAGGAGGTAGGCCAATGCCTGAGGAAATGACACATCCCTTAGGGGGCAAAGTGGATACAGATGAAGGAGGTGGACAAGTACAGAACCAGACCTGCCTCACCTAGCTGTACACCTCTAAATAATCCTGGTGGGTCACAGGTTGTTGACCCCATCCCAATTATTTTATCTTCCATTTGCAGCTCTTAGCAGGTCACCATGTGCTTCCCCTCTGTAATTGATTTGAACTTAACTCTGTAGGGGTAAATGAATTTTATTAAACCATTTTTTTCTTTTATAATAATATCTAACATACCCATTTCGCAGAAAAAATACAGGGCCCAGAGAGGTGAACTGATATTTCCTAAATCTCAAGGCTAATTAGAATCCAGGTTTCTTGATGCCTACCTCTACATTTCATTTACTATTCTTCATAGACTCTTTAGAGATCTGCTTAGTTCAAATGCAAATAATGTGGATATAGCCACAGAGAAAATATTTTTAGAAAGTTTATCTATACATAAGTATAAATAGGTTTTCTGCACATCACTGGTATTTTGAAACATTGATCTAAAAAAGGGTCAAAAAAAAAAAAAAAAAGCTCAGTGAGTACATTTTTGTTAATGCCCCATTTGCCTGTCAATCTTTAGCCTCTATCATCTGGAACACAGTTTTAAACTTGCATGTTAAGCAGAAAAACCTTGGAATAGTAATGAAATAATTACCATAAAGACCATTCACTAATGTTAAAAGATTTGAGGAACCACTCTCAGGGTCTACCCCAAAATGTATTGATTTATTTTTGTGCTCTACATAGGGATAATATTTTAACCAGTTTAGCAATATAGTTCCCTAATCCATAGCAATGAAATGATTTAAAGTTATGGATGCCTGTTACCATCACTATTCATTCAACAAATAAATTTTAAGTGCCTCCTATGTCCCATGCATAATACTAAATGCTGGAGAAACCAAGATGAATATGTAAAGAGGCAAACATATACTTACAGTGATAAGTACATTAGTGCCACACTAAAGGAAGGTATAAATCCCTGTCTAATCACAGAATGGGCTATGCACAATTCTACTTGTGAAAGTAAGACAAGGCTTCCTGAAGATGTGACATTGAGTGAGTCTTGGGGATTGGGTCGTTATGAAGGAATCTGGTTCCTTTGGCGAACAGTTTTATGTGGCTAGAGATGTGAGTAGGCAGAGAGGCAGGGCCTGGATCTTGGAGACTTCTTATGGTAAAGGGTTTAAACGGTATTTCATAGGCAATGAAGAGCCATGGAAGGTTTTAAAGTGGAAAACGAGGCTGGGTTAAGTCTTGAATTCTGGAAGTTCCATTTGGATGTAGTTGTAATGTGGCCAAAATCAGGACCAGACACTAGGATACCAGGTAGGAAGCAGTTGCAATAATTCAGTAGAGAAATGGTAAGTGCCTAAACTGTAGGAGTAACCTTAGTAATGGAGAAGAAGAAACTGAATCAAAAGACTGTAAAAGAGCAGACTTGGATAGACTTGTGATCTGATAAAGGTAGGGAGAAGAAAGGGAGACAAGACTCCAGAGTGAATCCCAGATTTTTGTCTGGCCATCTGGGTGAATACATGTTGCTGAAATGAACAACACAGAGTTGGGGCAGGCTTAGGGAGATGAGAGTTTAATTTTCCACATGTAGAATCTTAGGTGGACTGGGACATTTTGAAAATATCTATTAGGGAGCTGGATCTACCAGGGGACAGGTTCAGGCTGTGACAATCATCTTCAGTAGCAGTAAGTGGCTTTGGCTAACAGCAGGCAGCAGAATAGACACAAGTCTTGGAGAGCACAAAATTCTGGAGACAGTTGGAGGGCAAACTGCCCTAGGTGCAGTTCAAGAGCTCCTGAAGTATCTCCTGTCTGACAGCTCAGGGCAACATGGTAATAGTTTCCTAGTTCCGGCTCTCCTGCCTCCTGCAACTCCATTTCCCAGATTAGCCATGGCAACATTTTAAAGTGTAAATCATGTTATATTACTCCTTGCTTACAAGCCATGAGTGGCTTCTCAGACTCAAATTCAAACTATTTGAGACCAATAAAGCTCTACCTTTGATCTGCCCTTGCCTACCTCTCTGGCTAGATTTATCGCATGACCCCTGGAGTTAGCGCCGTAATCCAGACACTCTGTCCCTCCCTCAGGGCCTTTGTACCTGCTGTTCCCTATGTCTGGAATGCTCTTTTCTAGGTCTTGCTGGCTGGCTTCCTCCTTATTCAATTACCTCTGCTGAAATGTTACTTCCTTAGAGAACTTCCTTGATCAATCTAATGTATGTCTCCCACCCTAACATTTCATATTATCAATTTCATTACTCCTTGTTGTCAACTTTATAACACTGACCGTTATCTGAATGTGTCTTGTTTATTTATTTACTATCTACTGTATTGGAAATGGTGATATGCAAAGGTAAATTTTCATTTATTGCTTTTTTTTTTTTTGATACAGGAATTTGCTGTCACCCAGGTTGCAGTACAGTTGCACCACCCTAGCTCACTGGAGCTTCCTGGGCTCAAGTGATCCTTCCGCCTCCTTCTGCCTCTTCCTCCCAAAGTGCTGAGATTACAGGCCTAAGTCACTGTGCTTGGCCCATTTATTGTTTCTTAAGGGCAAGTGAACAAGTGGGGTGGAACCATATAGCTGAAGGCCTTGAATTCCCATTGAGGGTTTTTATTTAATTTGCTAGTTTCTGAGGAGCCACAAATGTTTTACGTACAGCAATGATCTTGTCCAATTTTTAAAAATATTTGTTTAATGTTCTAAAATGTAACCACTTCATTGGCTGGAGTGGTTGAACTCATTGAAACTCTGTTCATGTTAACTGGTTTACTTACATATAAAATTGTTAAATAAATGAGTGGAATATCAAGAATATAAAAGTCTAGATATAATATCTGAATTTAATTTGATGGCTTTAACTAGTTTTACAGAATTGTACAGTTGGTTTCCAATCTATTTTATTAACCTCCCCTTCTTTTCAGTGTAGAAGCATAGAAAACCAGGTTATGTAATTTTAAAATTAGGACCAAACTGTACGAAGGCCAAATTTTCTATATAGTTAGCAGCAACGCAGTTCTACTTGTTACTTTCAGTGAAACTATTGGTGCACCCAACCGTGGTGGTACCAGACTTTGGCTAATGGCAGTGCCCTAGGGATGGGTGATATTGAACTCTTTCAATAAGGTTGAAAATAGGAGGTCTTTGGACCCTTCAATTTAATTCCATTAAACCCTACAGAGTAACTGCCGTGTGCCAAACATCACACTCATCTCTAGGGACAAAAAAACAAAAAACAAAAAACAAAAAATGCTGGGAAGGGGAAGGTACACTTCTTCCTTTTAAGGAGGATGCAATCTAATAATTTACCTCTA
This sequence comes from Homo sapiens, assembly GCF_000001405.40. Lineage (NCBI taxonomy): Eukaryota > Metazoa > Chordata > Mammalia > Primates > Hominidae > Homo > Homo sapiens. Next base: position 60,709,301 of record NC_000014.9, read on the forward strand.
TGTAGTACAGTTAATTGCATAATTCTGCACAACGACTGACAAAGATTATTTTTCCAAAATCACTCCAATTGGCCTTATAACCATTTGCCAGCTTTTGGAATGTTTGTTTTTTCCCTTCCTCTTCTTCCCTTTTCCAGAGATAAATAAAACCAACATTATTTCTTTTTTCTTTTCTAGTAAGATGAGTCATTCATATTTAAAAAAACACAATATTTCCCAAATAATTTTCAATGCAAGGTATGTATAAATATAAAGTTTATTTAGCATAGTGTTTAGAAAAATAAGTTCACATCATTTCAGAAAACAAATAAAACACTTAATTGTCCAGGCATAAACCCCCATTACAGTACGACATACATACTTCAGATCTCTTTGGTTGGGTAATTAAGCACAGAAATGTTCTGGGACATGCTCTGTGTGCCATCACCTAACAGTGCAGTAAAGACTCTGTTACCCCACCCCATGATATACATTCTGTATAGAGTTTCTCTTTGTGTAAGGCACAGTAAAACCATATTGAGTATATAATTGGTTGCCTCTAAACATACAGTACATGCAACAAAATAATATTTTTGAGAACTCTGAAAGCCAAAAGAGTCACATGCTATACAATTTTGATTAATAAAATGTATGGTGGTAAATTAACATAAAATGTATCAATTAGATACAAAGTAACTGCTAGGCTCTATTATCTAAGTTTTACAAAGAGTTTAAAATATCTTTTGTGAAATGTAACTATTTCCCCATAGTTTTCCTGAATTATTTTTATTATGAGATGATCTGTCAAAACATTTTAAAGAATGAAGAACTTGTGGCTATGTACTAAAGCACACTTGTCTAGCATGTAGCAGGGCAGGCTGCCACACATGCCCAATAATCCAACTTTTAACATGCAAGATACAAGGGCATACACAGAGAGATTTAAGGTCAGTGTGCAATTTAACTATGGATTTTTACCTATGGCTATAATATCTACCTGCCTTTCATAACACAAGAAAGGCACTGAAACGTGTACAATTTAAAAAGTCTTTTCATTACTATAAATATACATGAGATATAAAGCAGTACAACACAGGTGCTCTTGCTTGATTGAGGAACAAATGCACCTTCTCTTTAAACAATAGACTGTCCTTTACTAGATTTAACTAAGAGCTAAATGCCAAATTCTGGCTGATAGAGTGCATAGATAGGCTTACACCAAAAATCCCACAGCCAGCAGCATGGGTTGGGTTTTGCAGGGAGTCATTTACCCCTGTTTTGATCTTCAGGGATCATTAGAGGGTCATTTGCAGCATTTTCAAGCATTGGTTTATGTAAGAGGGAAATTCTGCCACATGACTCCAAGGGTTCTGAGTCTGGCCCTTGGTATGGCAAAAGACATTTGCAATTCTGTGCAAGGAGATCATGGGGTTTATCTTACTCCATTCACATATACATGGGCTGCATACCAACTGGCCCTTATTCAACTGAAAGAATAGAAAAGAACAATAAGTTCTTTATACTGTGCATTGATTCTTACCTGGTATATTGTGTAGCTACCTGAAGTAATTGTAGGGTTATAATTACATCATGGTGGGAATATGAATGGGTTTCCTAGGTAAGTCTTAAGTTTTGTGCTATCTTTTCTTTTTCATAAGGGAGAAAAGAGGAAGAACACTGAATAAAAGAGAGGCTTATTGTATTTTCGGAAAACATATAAAACATTTCCAGTTATATATATATATATAGCATATATAACTAAAAACCTCCCCATCTCTCTTGTTGGATGGGTATTTGAAAATAACAAACTCTTGATATCTGCAGCAATCAAGTGGAAAACATCATTTTTATGTAAACTACACTGCAGAGCCATGTAATTAATCTCAGTAACAGGATCAGCACACACCCAAAGAAAAAACAAGCTCTATGAGTAGTAGTAGAGTGGAAAAGAACTCTCAAACACCTGACTTTGTAAAACAAAACAAAAAACATGTAGCTTCAGCAGTTTAGGAACATTCACCAATTCTATCAAAAATGATGTAGTTCTTTATCAAAATGATGGGAGAGGAATTCTTCATAGGGTTCTTGATATATGCCTGCAAGTTCCATTTATGATAACAAAAGTTAAATCCTCTATGTCCCTTATTCAACATGCTTGATTGATTGACATGTAGAGAACTAGAGTGGGCCCTTTGTTCTGATCATAAAAAAAAAAGCAAGATGTGGCCAGGCACAGTGGCTCATGCCTATAATCCCAGCACTTTGGGAGGCCGAGGCGGGCAGATCACGAGGTCAGGAGATCAAGACCATCCTGGCTAACACGGTGAAACCCCGTCTCTACTAAAAATACAAAAATTTAGCCGGGCATGGTGGCAGGTGCCTGTAGTCCCAGCTACTCGGGAGGCTGAGGCAGGAGAATGGCGTGAACCCAGGAGGCAGAGCTTGCAGTGAGCCAAGATCGTGCCACTGCACTCCAGCCTGGGCAACAGAGCGAGACTCCATCTCAAAAAAAAAAAAAAAGCAAGATGTGCTAACATCTAACACCTTTATGTTCAACAACTTGAAGTTATCTCTGAAGAAATTATTTTCTCACTTTTTTTGCTTTTCAGAGACTAGAGAGCAACTTTACTCACTACATAAATTTATTTGCATTGTTACATCTTGTGTTCAGAGTCTTGATAAAACTATAGCCACGGCTTACAACATTATTAAACAAGCTTCTTACAGAAACCAAAAATATTTACTTTTAAAGAAGACATGATAATATAGTGCAAACAACAGTCATGTGTCAGAGTGTAACAACTGATTCAAAACCTTTAGAACTAAGTTTCAACAGGACAGAATTTTGCTCAATAGAATTTACATATTTTCTTTCCTTTAAAATGGTTTTCATAGCCTGTATAATCAATTTGACATGGTATTTATAACTTATTTTCCTTGTAATGAAAAGTATCAACAATAATTAGTTGTTTATCCATTTGTGTGATAAATGTCATATATATTATTTAGTGAAACTTAAGTTCTTCAGATTTAAAGCAATTTTGTGGTGAAATTAACCCTGTTAGATAGTAGAAAAGAACCATCAGTGCTTCTGTTGACACTTCTGTACCTTACTACCAATAAAAAGGCCACGAGGTAAAAAGGCACATAGAATTCTATAAAAAACATATTTAAATGAATCAGAGTTGCTAAATAAAGAACAAGGATGTGAAAAAAAGTACCAAAATTCCAATATTGGGAGTTAGATTTCCTGTTTCAGTGTTATTAATATTGACCTTAATAGATTCCTGGTAAAAATCATTATTTTTAAAATCCTACAAAAAGTAAAACTTTGTTGGAAACGACTATGTTCACTTCCTGTTCAAACAATAAAAATAAATTAAACAGTAAGAAAACATATTTTTCAGTTCATAGCGCCTGAAGAGAAACATATACATTAAAAATAAAATTCACTGTAATTACTCAAATCCTGCTTATAGAACTGATATATTTACATTTATACTGAAGTTTCAGAGTTTTTAGTGGAGTTCCGCACTTTCTCAGCCACACTGAGCTATTAGAAATCACATTTGGAAATGTGTTGAGACAAATGTGTTTGAGACCCAAGACTTTCTCAAAAAATGCTGAAAAAGAGGTGTGTGTGCATATATATATGCATGCTACTTAACTTTAAAAATATGTACCATTTATGTTTCTTAACCTTTTCAATGCCCATGGAGTAAAAGTAAACAAAAACAATTGTATTATTTCTAATGGTCTGCAGCTATCTTTAATTTTCTATGTTAGGTGTATACATTTTTTAATTTAAAAAACTATCAAGTTCCATTTTGACCTTAGAATTATAGAGTCAACTAAATGATTCACTTTGACTTGATACATTTCACCTTGTCCTTTGTCTCCATCTATTTAAAAGAGAAATTTATAAGTGAACAAAAAGGCTGCAATAATGCAGTTCTACTCCTGTATACTTAACTGTGATCTTCATGCAGATCAATCTAAAGTCTCTTGTATGCATATACTTGCAAAACTAGAGTGTTTTCCTTTAAATGGGAAAATGTTTTGTGTCCTTGGGGCTTCATGAAAAGATTTGCCGCTGATGCCAAAAAGAGGTGAGGAGGAAATAAAGTTCATAAGTCTTGCATATCTTCATCCAGCTGGACAGTCTGGAGCTTGGCAAGCTCTTTTTTGTCTGTTTCCAGGTCTTCACAGACAGTATCAACCATGCCATCTAAGACATACTTGGATTTAGAGTCCAGCATCATTAAGCTACTTGTTGCTTTGCTCTCAGAATTTGATAAGAAATTCTCTTTCATGTTAGCTACCGATTGCAGAACCAAACGATGTTCTTGGACAAAATCCTGATGTACTGCTGGGGAGGGGTGACCTACCTGATCTTCAGCTGTAGGAACTATTTCCCCAAGGGCAGCCTGAGTCATAGGGACTGACAATAGGTCTTGACCAGTAATAAGGGAGCAGTTCTGAAGAGTTGCATAGTTAGTGTTGCTGACAGATGTCACAGTAGATTTGCTTGCCACCGGTGCAGACATTGGTTGGCTATCGGCAATGTCGCGGTTTAGCTCAGTGGGATTTAGTAGTGTAGAGGGACTGAGAGAAAAATTGTGAGTTGGAGATACATTAACTAATGAGGAGGCCAGTGGATGCAGGCCACTCCCCGAGATGTTTTCAGAAGACAGGTTTGCATTTACTTGTGCATTCTGATTGACAGGCATCAACTGAGAAAATACCAGGCTCCTTTCCAAGCCTTCCTGTTTCACAGATCCTATAGTCTGGCCTGTATTAGGAACCGTGTATACCACTGCACTGGGAGCAAGAGAGCTCAAGAAAACCTTTCCTTGCTGGACTGTGGTAGACTCACTTGTAAATGTGCTTCCATCTGAAGTGCTTGAGCTTACTGAGATATTACCTAAAAAAAATAAAGTACTGATTATCACTGATGGAAGTGAGAGGGAAAGAAAAAAAGTTACACACACGTTTTTTTCTCAGGTACAGTATCTATAAAGAAGCAACACTTCCATACAATCATTTAGCCCAATTCTGGTTCAGAATTACCTTGGGCACCTAAAACTACAGATTCCCAGGCTCTACTCCTTGAAAGTGTAACTTAGTACATCTTAGAACATCTGTTTTTACCTCTCCAAGTAAATATATATATAGATATATTTTGTATGGAGACATCTTTTATGTTTAACCCCAACAACAACACAGCCAAAAAAACTACTTGCGTTCCTGAGTCGCAGGTGTGCCTGTGTTCCCCATCTTTCATCAGCTTCTTAGAAAACACAGTGACTTCCAAACCTTTACTTTTTATGTCTCATGACCTCGAACGGTCTTGAGGATAGAACATGTCAAAGGTTCTGTTGCTTATTATTTCTTTTTTTTTTTTTCAGATGGAGTCTCACTCTGTCACCAGGCTGGAGTGCAGTGGAGCGATCTCGGCTCATTGCAACCTCTGCCTCCTGGGTTCAAGTGATTCTCCTGCCTCAGCCTCCCAAGTAGCTGTGACTATAGGCATGCGCCACCACATCCAGCTAATTTTTGTATTTTTAGTAGAGACGGGGTTTCACCATGTTGGCCAGGATAGTCTCAATCTCTTGACCTTGTGATCCACCCACCTCGGCCTCCCAAATTGCTGGGATTACAGGCGTGAGCCACAGCACCCGGGCCCTTTCTTTAAAAAAAAAAAAAAAAAAAAATTAGATTCAGGGGGCATGTGCGCATGTTTGTTACACGGGTATATTGAGTAATGGTGGGGACTGGGCTTCTAGAGTACCCACCTTCCCAAGTAATTCTGATGACCAAGGGGGATTGAGAACTACTAGTTAGAAGCCAAGTGTGAAAAAAAAAAAATCTTTTCCAAGTTCTGATTCAGTCAAGTTTCTGTTTCTTCACTAGTAACTTGACATCTCTCAATTAGTTGATAGTTATTGCTAGCTCTGCCAGTTAGAATTAGAAAACACAAATGCACCTTCATTCAGGACTGACTGCTCAGTAACTGACATAAAATATAAATAAATGGCAATGCAGAACTTACCACATAAAATGAGTTACCCTGGGGCTTAAAACTTAACCATATAAACCTGTATAGACAAGTTGCAAACTTTCACCAAACTAGCCATAAAGTAATAAGTCAACAAAACATTCAAAAGCTTTTTTGCCTTTTGTTGTGCCAGTTCTGAATTTTCAGTGTTGTAGTAATAGGAACAATTAATGGTAATAAGAAATGTGCTTTTTAAAATACAGATTAACATAAAGGATCAGAGCTAATGCTTCTCTAAAAGGTTTGTATCTTTTGAGACTCTTACTATAATGGTCTATAGAGACCAGAAGTAGAAAAAAAAATGTTAAGTAGAAAGCTGAGATGTTCAAATCAGATCACTTAGACAATGTACACGAATTAGACCCCCCACTACCATCAAATAACACTCTTTTGTTCCTGATTCCTTACATAGGCATGAGATGATGGCAATTAGATAATCTAGGACCTCAAATATGGTCACTGAAGGAAAGGTAGATTTGGGGGAACTTTTGTGATAGGTGGGCTGTTTATCCTCATCTTGAATTAGATGTTCAGTCAACTCTTTTTTTTTTTTTTGAGACAGTCTTGCTCTGTTGCCCAGGCTGGAGTGCAGTGGCACGATTTCTGCTCACTGCAACCTCTACCTCCCAGGTGATTCTCCTGCCTCAACCTCTGAGTAGCTGGGATTACAGATGCATGTCACCATGCCTGTCTAATTTTTGTAGTTTTAGTAGAGATGGGGTTTCACCATGTTGGCCAGGCTGTTCTCGAACTCCTGAGCTCAAGTGATCTGCCAGCCTCGGTCTCCCAAAGTGCTGGGATTATGTGAACGTGGCTCACTGCAGCCTCGATCTCCTGGGCCCAAGCAATCCCTCCCACTTCAGCCTCCCAAGTAGCTGGGACTACAGGTACGTACTACTATGCCCAGCTAATTTAAAAAAAAAATTTTTTTTTGAGACAGAGTCTCGCTCTGTCACCCAGGCTGGAGTGCGGTGGTGCAATCTTGGCTCACTGCAAACTCCGCTTCCTGGGTTCAAGCAATTCTCCTGACTCAGCCTCCTGAGTAGCTGGGATTACAGGCACGCACCACCATGCCTGGCTAATTTTTGTATTTTTAGTAGAGACAGGGTTTCACCATGTTGGTCAGGCTGGTCTCAAACTCTTGACCTTGTGATCCACCCGCCTCGGCCTCCCAAAGTGCTGGGATTACAGGCATGAGCCACCGCGCCTGGCCAATTTTTTAAAAATTTTTGTAGAGATGAGGTCTCACTATGTTGCCCAGGCTGGTCTGGAATTCCTGGGCTCAAGTGATCCTCCTGCCTCAGCCTCCCAAAGTGTTAGAATTACAGGCGTGACACCACATCTGGCCTCAGTAAACTACTTTTTTGAGAGAGCAGCCCAATGTTAAAGGTAATTAATTCACCTAAAACATTTTCCTTCCTGAAGTATTAGAATATTGTGATTATATTATCACCTCTATTGATAAATAAGTGCCACAGGGCTGTTTATGTCTTCCAAATATTTTTAATGCAAAGGAATGTCTTCAAGTAAAAAGAAAACACTGCATATGAACCCTTTTAAAACATTTAACTAGAAAGTTTAATCACAGAAATACCAGTGTTAAGAAAAACATTTCTAAGTATGTTTCAGTTATTCTCTTACATTTCTGTTTCAGACCACACATATGAAAAAACTGCTTTTATTTGAAAACACTGCCTTCAACTTAAGTATGCTTTAAAACTCTTATTTTTATTTATTTATTTATTTATTTTTGAGATAAGGGGTTTTGCTCTTGTTGCCCAGGCTGGAGTGCAATGGCGTGATCTCGGCTCACTGCAACCTCCACCTCCTGGGTTCAAGCGATTCTCCTGCCTCAGCCTCCTAAGTAGCTGGGATTACAGGCATGTGCCACCATGCCAGCCTAATTTTTGTTTTTTTTAGTAGAGACGGGGTTTCAATATGTTAGGCTGGTCTGGAACTCCTGACCTCAGGTGATCCACCCGCCTTAGCCTCCTAAAGTGCTGGGATTAACAGGCGTAAGCCACTGTGCCCGGCGTCTTTAAAATTCTTGTAGGCAGCTGATTTGTGGCAAAAAAACATCTCAAATAGATGTTTAGTTTATTGTGTGTATGTTTATGAAATTGTTTGCCAATGTATGCATGAACAAAATGATTAGTTATCTTTTTATAGAGCCATAAATAGCATAATACATGCAACATTTTCCCCAACTGCTACTGAATATAAATACTTCTGAATTTGTAGAAATTATAACATATATAAAAGAGAATTTGATCTAAAATTTGATTTTTGAGCATAACTACAACTGAAGTAAAAATTGAACAACAATTTTAAGATAAAAAAATCCAACTGAAAAACCATATAGATACAAAGCATTACTTTGTAATGATAAGAAAAAAATCAGGCCAGGCGCTGTGGCTCATGCCTGTAATCCCAGCACTTTGGGAGGCTGAGGTGAGCAGATCACAGGAGTTCAAGACCAGCCTGGCCAACATAGCAAAACCCTCTCTCTGTTAAACACACGAAGATTAGCCGGTCATGGTGATGCACGCCTGTAGTCCCAGCTACTAGGGAGGCTGAGGCAGGATAATCACTTGAACACGGGAGGCAGAGGCTGCAGTGAGCCGAGATCGCGCCACTGTACTCCAGCCTGGGTGACAAAATGAGTCTCCGCCTAAAAATAATAATAATAATAATAATAATAATCTTAGTTGCTCAGACTGTAAAGTGAGTAAAAGATGTAGATATTCTACTTTTCCACATAAATCCCAACTATAGAAAGATAAGTCTATCTTGTCAAGACATTTTAAAGAATGGCTCAGTATCTGTTTGTGAGAAAAAACTGAATCCCCAAAATGTTTTATTGAGAACTGCAATACCTAACTACCATAGAAATGTTGCTTACTGGATTAAACTTAACTATCTGGTTAAACTTAGACTGTCTGTTCAACTCACCCAGACAGTCTAAGATTTGATCTTACTTATTTTAACTGAAAATGCTATTCTTATTCCTATTAAATGTCCCATTTAAAAACTCAGCTATTAGTTCATAATAATTTTCTATGGCAGTGCTCCTCTAGATTACACAATTAAAAGTATTTCTACTTTTCTCCTCCCCCAACATACATAACTCATTCTTTCTGCTCAAATTTGTTGCCTTTAAAATGTGACCTGTTTGGAAATTTTCCAAATGAGAGAAAAGGGGTTAGATCCACATTAAATTATTATCAAACTAAGCACTTTGGCTTTCCCTGTGGTTTTCATATTTTTGCCCTATGTTAGATAGTAACTTAACTCTTTCCATAACTTGGAACAATGATGAACTGAATAGTATGCTGCAGGAATGTCTTGTTTTAGTACCATTTTGCCTAAAGAAATGCAAATGTACAGAATGAAATTTAGAACAATTTTTCCATTAATTCCTTCAATAAGCTGACATAGACCATAGTTGTGGTAACAAGAGAGTTGTGCATAAATTGATTTTTTTGGGGGGGTGGTAAAACCATCTTATAGGAAGCAGACCTTTAAAGCCAACAATTACTACTTTGGTTTTGTAAAAATCTGGATTTTCAGATTTGTCTACAAGAAGGCAAACGTGCATTAAGATCTACCCTTCCTGAATTCAAGGGATTATGCAAACTCCACTGCCAAATTCTAACCATTTCTATTTCTTTAAAGAGAAAATGACATAGAGGATCCAGGCTTGCTTAAAGTCAGTGAAGAACTAATATATCAGCCTCAGTTTTCCTGAATTTCATTTAAGTGCTTTCTCTGGAAGATTGCTGTTAGTAAAGCCACAAACATATAAAATAAGGCTTACTATTATCTTCACAAATAAACCCACACATTTAGGGGGTTAGTATATATGCTGAGCGATAGAAATCCAATGGCATATTCCTCTGATTTTCTTTTAGGTCTGTTAGTCTTCATTATAGGAGGAAACAGGATTCAAACATAATTGATCCGGTCTTTTTAGCTTGTTCTTCTAAAACATTTTTTGGTCAAATAAATAATGCTTAGGTAAAGTGTATGCATTCTTACCAACTGCTAGACTAATTTTGTGTTCTTAGCAATTTTATTAATTTTTAATATTAAAATGCCAAGCAGTGAGTTATTTTGTAAGCACTGATTGACTTATCATATTTCTGTAATTGTAGAACTGGCAGGACTTGCTATGAACTGTATTTTTCCATTCAGTTGTTAGTAAAATAAAAGCCCATCCTCATGATGCAAGGGAATAAAGCAACCTGGATATGACATGGGTATTGTGAAAGAGGAGAATCACATCAAGGCTACTCTACAGCTTCGGCAGCTAATAAGGTACCTGAACAGAAACATCAATCTATAGCTATCACCAAATGCGTCACTTACAGCAGCTGATGAACACATTTGCTGGTGCATTAAGGTACCAAATGAGATTGTTACCTTGTGAAGCTGCCACTGACACAGGGGGCAGCTGCAGTGGAGAGAATCCAATGCTCCCATTAAGGAACTGGCTGTTTGCTCCGGAATTGGGGATCTGGACAATGCCATACTGGTTAATTTGCACTGGTGTAGTAAAAGTCACTACAGACCCTCCATCTTGGGAAGCCACTGTTTGAATGCCTTCTCTTTTCACCTCAGTGCTGGGTATCAGGCCTGGGAATGAGACAGGGACACTGGGGCTGTAGGACGTGGTGGTTGCTGAGTTAGCAGAACTCTGGAGGACTTTGAATTCCTTCACGTCCTGGGAAGTAGACCCCAGTATGTCAGTCATGGATATACCATTGCTCACAATGTTTGATGACATTTTTGGTGGGTTCAATGCCACTGCCTGTGTATTTCCCACATTTAATCCATTAAGGATAACTCCACTGGGTCCCTGAATAAAAGAATTTCCATTAAGGAAGACAGGTGAAGTACTTGCAGGTACCAAGCTTCCATTCAACAGAACTCCAGAAGAGCTTAATGATATCTTAGCATTTCCAATTTGTTGCATATATACTGGCTCCATATGACTGGAAAGGCTGAGGTTGGTGATGCCATCAGATGAACTGGAGAGTGGGTGAGGAGATAAATCCTCATGTCCCTTGCTGGATTCATCTTCAGTGCTGGGGTTGCCATCTGACTCACTGTATGGAGGGGGAAATCAAAATGTTCAGAAGGTCAGGGGGATGACATTCTACACAGTGCCACTTGTTTGGAAAACCAGCTTCTAAATCCATTAAAGGCAGTATTTAAGGAAAGCACAGCAGGATATCTGCTAGTCCTATTTAAACTAAGAGGCCTTTCAGCAGATTCCGACCAGCCAGAGAATCTGGGAAGATAAACTCTCAGATCCCAATCATTTAAAATAACAATAAATTCAGGGAAAGTCCAGACATCTGCAAGATGTAAATTCAGCATTACAGGAGAAGAACATATTTGATTTTACAGTGTAGAAGTGCTATTCCTTACTGTTACATATGCTGCTACTGACACCATAGAAAAAAACACCTTAAATGAGGTGGTCGGTCTTTCCTGTTTAGGAACTCCTTCCCCTCCCCTCAAACCAATTCAGATTAGTGTTATCTTGGAGGTAAATGAAGCTGCCAAAGGAGCAGGAGGTAGGAAGTGCTCAGCTTTTCTTTTTTGGTCAGTTAGTTAACAAGAGATCGTTTTCTCACCTGCTCCCAAACTTCTACTCCACCAGACTGACAACTCTCTCATTCAACAAAGTGGCTGTCCTTGTTGTAGGAAAAGGCACTTTCAACCCAAGAACAGTTATGTGCAGTCGCCTTTGAATCCAAAGGAAGCCAAAGGGGCCTATTTAACAAACACCATCCAGTGCCCTGGTGAGGTGGGAGGGAAAGGGTGTCACTCAGAGGCCTTCTAACTATTAGACCTCTTCCCCAACGTCCTTGGTCCCTCTGTTCCAGGCAGGACCCTGTTCCTCAGCTCTCTGACTTGGGAGAAATACCAAATCGGGGTTGGGGGGTGGGTAGTGATGGGGTTTCCCATTTGGTCTGAGGCTGGGAGGGAGAGCAAACGAGAGCAGAACAGAGGCGTTTTGGAAGCGCAGCAGGACTTGGCCCAGCAGAGGATCCGACATCCCCGCAGTGCCCCGCGGTCGGTTCGCTTTCATGCCGAGGGGAGGGGATTACCCGGGCTTTGGGCTGCGGGGCCAGGAGCGCAGAAAGCGCTTTGATTTACAAGCTGAGGCTGAGCCGCCGTCGCCGTCTGCGAGGGTGACTCACCGGGGGTGCGGGTGGGAGGTAGATCCGGAGAGGGGCCTAAACCAGGCAACTGGGCCGGCGGCGGGGTGGGTGTGGAGTTTATGGGGTGGGGCGGGGGGGACGAAGAAGCCAGCAGTGGAGCGTGGGGGAGTCCCAGGGAGCGTGCCCGGCTCGCGAGCGGAGGCGGCGGAGCAGCTGGCCTGCTCGCGGTGCCCCCTTGCCACCCTCTGCCCCGGCCCTGCGGATTCCGTTGGTTTCCGAGCGCGGGATCCGCGGCCTCTAGTGGGCGCAGGGCAGGTGGCTCGGCGTAACCAAAGCGCCTTCTCTGGACCTCTCCGCATATCTGCGGAAGGCGCACGCACATCCCGGTGCACCTTTTGTTTTGGTTACCGCGAGGGCCGGATAGGGCACCAAGCCTCCCTCCCAGCCTTGGGCGAGGAACGCCGGAGCCCGAGCCGTCGGACCCCCACAGGGGCCCAGAAGCGGCAAGGGCGGGCTGAGACCGGCTCTGGAATGCGCTGGTGATCACCTTCACCTGGCGCAGGCGGGCTGGATCCCCGGCTCCCAGTTTGCTTCCCCGAGAAGAACCTTCGAGCTGCTTTTGGATTCTTTCTCTCCTATCCCCGCGGGGCTGGAGACACCAGGTCTTTAGGCGACCTTCTCCTTACTTTGTTTCGTCCAACAAAACACACAGACGCACACACCAAGTGTCTGACTCGGGAGGACGCACAAAAGAGGTGGAAAATCCGGTATTTTTTTTACCAGAGGGGGAAAGCAGTCTGCCAGGCAAAAAGCTCAAACCCAGTGGGGTGGGAGCGCCCCCACTCCTTTGCTGCCGCCCGCCGTAAGCCGGCCTGCCCCCCACCCATAACTACCGTACCAGGAGGGAGCCAAGCAGCGTTCGGGGGCCGAGGGAGGAAGCAGCCCTTCAGCCCTGCTACCCCGGCTGCGCTGAAACCCGATCCTAAGGAGTTCAGAATCAGGTTTCAAAACATGACAGAGCCGAGCTGCACCAGCACCCCACGTTGCCGCGGCCGCTAAGGGAACCATAGGGGCAGGGTGAATGATTAACTCTGTCATATGAAACCTCGACGTTCCGAGACCCCTTCTGCGCCGCCAGTCCCACAACACTCTCTTCCCTTCACCAGAGCAGCCACCGCGACCTCCAGCGCAGGCCCGGGGGGCGGCTGAACCCTGGGGATCCGGGAGCGTGCGCGCGCGCCAGGCCCGGTGTGACCTCGCGGAGGTGCAGACCCCGGCCGGCGCCGGCAGTCTCTGCGGGCCTCGGGCGGCAGGGAGAGCTACGGTGCCGGTGTCCACATTTGCTTCGTTAGCCCCTCCAGAAACGGGGAGAGGGTGGCAACTTCAAAGCCAGCGGGATGGGGGTGGGAAGCTGGGCAGCAGTGACCAGCCGAGGTGGGGGCGGGGACTGAGACCTAGGCGGGCGACCAGAAACTTCTGGGGGGAGAGGGGGAGGGTAAGGAGGGAGGTTCCCCCGCCCCCCGCCTCCGCCGCCCCCTACCTCTGCCGGCCGGGGAGCGAGGTAGGGGGCGGGGAGAGGTGGGCAGCCGGACCAGGCTGGTGGGGAAGGTAAGCGCCATGTTTGCGAGCACTTGGAGGAAAAGAAAGCCGGGAAGGGGGTGGGGGAGAGGAAGGGGGAGGAGGAGGAAAGTTGGCGCTCACCTTTTGGACTGGGTCTCGGAGGGGTTCCTGTCGCGCTGCCGGCGGTTCTTGAACCAGTTGCTGACCTGGGTGAGGGAGAGGCCGGTGATCTTGGCCAGGTGCCGCTTCTCGGCGGGCGAAGGGTAGCGATTCTGCTTGTAGAGCTCCTTGAGCGCGTTGCGCGACTTCTCCTTGAAACAATACACCGTCTCCTCGCCGTCCCAGATGGTGCGGGGCAGGGGGAATTTCCTGCGCAGCCGGTACTTGTCTACGGCTCCCAGCGGCCGGCCGCGGGCTCGCTCGGCCTCGGTGTAGCGCGCCTTGTACCAGAGCTGCTGCAGCAGCGGGTGGTTGGCCGACTCGAAGCTGTGGCTCTCGAGGATGCTGTAGAGCTCGGGGTAGATGCCCTGGTGGAAGGCCACGAGCGCCCGCGCCTTCAGCAGGCTCTCGTTGCCACGTAGCAGGTCGCTCTGGGGCAGGGACCACAGGAACCGGGCCAGGCGGTCCAGGTTGCCCCCCTGCTGCAGTGCCTCGCACACGCAGGCGACGTGGTCGGGCGAGAAGGCCAGCGGGGTCTGCGCGGCGGCGGCGGCGGCGTGGTGGTGCCTGCCCAGAAGTTCCGAGTGGAGTTGTACCTGATCCGCCGCCGCTCCGGCCGCCGCCGCCGCCACTGCCCCTTCCTCTCCGCTCACCCTGGCGGCAGCGGTCGCGGCGTCCCCCGGCTCCAGGGGAAAAGGGGCTGGAGCCGGGGGGCTCAGCCCTACCGCCGCGCCCCCCGCCACTTCTCGGTGCGCCTCCTGCCCTTCCGAGGCGCTTTCCATCCCATTCTCTTGCTTGATGTCCGCCGCACTTGCGATCTGCCCGGTGGGGGAGGAAGAGGACATTTTTTGTTGTTTATTTTCCTCCCTCCCTCACTCCCTCGCACTCTTTTCCTCTTTCTTTCCTCCTCTCTTACTCCTCCTCCTTCGTCTCCCTCCCTCCTCTCCCCCTCCGGAAAGCCCACTCCCTCCCTCCTGGTTTCGGCTGTATCTGGCCGATCAGGTTTCCCCCCGGCCACGCAGTCACCATTAAGATAGCTGTTAGAGCAAAGTAGTGTAAACGGATAGCTGCTTTCTGCCGTTCCCCCAACGTGACTCCTCCGGTTGCTGCATACTATATGGCAGTGGCGGCCGGGCCGGCCCGGCCTAGCCACCTCATTGGCTATTTCGCATTCAGAGGGAGGAGGAGACACAGTTTCTATCCCTGTCGATCACCCGCCTCCCACTCCACCCCTCGCCTTTCCCTCCCCTCCTGACCCCCAGGCACCTATACCTGAAGGAAAACACCGACATTCTTTCCAAGCCACGCTCCTGGGCGGGAAATTACCTAATGTGGCCTGAAAACTGGACAACTCTTTCAAACAGAGGCCCTACAATTCCAGAGGGAATATTAATTGTGTGGCCTTAAGGTCTGGATGGTTAAATTTTTAACAAAGAGACCACCCTCAGCATCTAGATGACAAAACTTCAGAGGACAATTCAGAAGCCCCCCAGTATGTCCCTGTTCCCCATTCTCCCTCTTTTTGGATGTCTTTATCAAGGATTTTGTATTCAAAACGGTCAAAAATAAAATGACACTAGGAAATGTTCTAAGGGGCAAGCATTTACAGTAAATTAAAATTCCAAAGAGGGAAAAATGCTTGAAAACCTTATAATTAGCAGCATAAATAGCACACTGAGAAGACAAAAACAAGAAGCCTTCAAAAAATGTACTTAACCTTAAGCCACGTGGAGGGCTGGCAACCCAACTGAGTTGAACATGGTATAATTAAACATGTAGAATATTAAACCATAAGTTTATCCTGGATGAGTCGTGTGGAAGAGATCTAAGCTTTAAATATGGAAATTTAAGTTTTCTACATGAACTTTTTAATGTAAGTATATGAGTATTTCTTTTTTAACGATGATAGGCTAGAAACACTGAATGTGCGGGTGTCATCCAGATCAGTGCAGGATCAGAAGCCCTTTTCCACAGCATAGACAGATTGCCCTCTGGTTTGATGCTGAAGTGGGGGTAGAGTCTTTTGTTGTTTGCAGTTGTGTCTCTTTCCTTTGTAATTTGCACAAGATCTTAATTCCAAAAGGGATGATCCATTTCTGCTTCTTTGATTACTGTAGGTCAGTTGGGTTTGCCTGCTGCTGCTCTTTCTCAAAATTCAACTTTTTTTCCCCCCGAGATGGAGTCTCGCTCTGTCGCCCAGGCTGGAGTGCAGTGGTGTGATCTCGGCTCACTGCAAGCTCCGCCTCCTGGGTTCACGCCATTCTCCTGCCTCAGCCTCCCGAGTAGCTGGGACTACAGGCGCCCGCCACCACGCCCAGCTAATTTTTTTTTTTTTTTTTTTTTTGTATTTTTTAGTAGAGACGGGGTTTCACCACGTTAGCCAGGATGGTCTCGATCTCCTGACCTCGTGATCCGTCCGCCTCGGCCTCTCAAAATTCAACATTTTAATGACATCATCCTAACCTTTGCTTCAGGGTGGCCTTGTATTGTGTATGCTTCCCAGCTACTCATAGCTGCCTACTTCAGCATATTACAAAGCAGCTGTCTAGGTCACCTGCCGTCATGATAAACTTGGTGAGATTTTCTTTTTTTTTGTAGACAGGCTTTATTTTATTGCTGGTCAATCAAGATGTCATTTGATGTAGGATTTAACTTGTTTTTGCATTACCCTAATGTGTTGACATCGCTGGTAGATTTAAAATTTATAACAACAGAAAAGGCCATATTATTTATTTGCTTATTTATTTATTTATTTATTTATTTATTTTTTGAGATGGAGTCTCACTCTGTTGCCCGGGCTGGAGTGCAGTGGCGTGATCTTGGCTCACTGCAACCTCTGCCTCCCGGGTTCAAGCGATTCTCCTGCCTCAGTCTCCTGAGTAGCTGGCACTACAGGCGCGTGCCACCATGCCCGACTAATTTTTTATATTTTTAGTAGAGATGGGGTTTCATCGTGTTAGCCAGGATGGTCTCGATCTCCTGACCTCGTGATCCGCCCGCCTCGATCTCCCAAAGTGCTGGGATTACAGGCGTGAGCCACCGCGCCCGGCCAAGACCATGTGTTTCTACTCCACTGGAAACATCCAGTTAGGTACCAAGCTTCAGGACAATAACTGAGATTCAGAACTTCCTTGAATTTTTGTTTGCTTGTTTGTTTTTGTTTGAGACAGGGTCTCTCTCTGATGCCCAGGCTGAAGTGCAGTGGCATGATCTCAGCTCACTGCAACCTGCCCCTCCTGGTTTCAAGTGATTCTCCTGCATCAGCCTCCCGAGTAGCTGGGATTACAGGCACCTGCCAACCACACCCAGCTAATTTTTGTATTTTTAGTAGAGATGGGGTTTCACCATGTTGGCCAGGCTGGTCTTAAATTCCTGACCTCAAGTGATCCGCCCACCTCAGTCTCCCAGAGTGCTGGGATTAGAGGCATGAGCCACCACACCTGGCCAAATTTTTTTAAAAATATATTTTTTATTTGGAATGCTTTTCATTTACAGAAAAGTTACCAAAATAGTAGAGTTTCCACTTACCTTTCACCTAGTTCCCTTTAATTTTAACATCTTACATGATAATGCTATATTTATCTAAACAAATTAACATTGGCGCATTTCTATTAACTAACCTCTAGACTTTATTTGGATTTCACCAGTTTTTTTTTTCATTAATGTCTGTTTTCTGTCCTATGATCCAATCCAGGAGACCATGTTGCATTTAATTCCTTGAAATTTTAAAGCACATTTCTCAGAACAAAGTAGACAGGATATGGTGTGGTTTAGTGGAAAGGATGTGGATTTGAGGATCAGATAGCTAGACACAGGTTTAATCCTAGCTCTTCCATTTATTAGCTACTTGACTATAAAAAGTCGACTAAGTTGTTGTGAGGATTAAATGAGATAAGATGTGCCAGAAAGCACCTGGTGAGTAATTAATCCTTGGTAAATGTTTGTTATCTTCTTCCTGATATTGCAAAGTAGGAGACTTTTTAGTTGTATATACCTAGTGAAAATTCCTTTGGCTATGTTTGGAGCCATCCCAAACCAGGTCACAGGAGTCTGCTTCAGAATTATTATCAATCAAATATAGTGCATTGACTTGGAAAACCACTTCTGCATGTCTTCTGTATATTTGCCTCTAGAGCATCAAGTTCAACAGATTATATAGAAGCAACAGTGGCTTTTTATGACATCTGTAGCCTGTAGCTAGCTACATTGCTATTCCATACCTCCAGTAGGACCAGCTGTGAAATCCACACCAAGATCCAGGTTCCTTTAGCCAGTTGACACTCAGAGCTCATTCTGCCAGCAATTCAAAGTAGACTCAAACATGGTCAGTTACATTGGAATGGAATACTAGACCTGAAGGTGTGTAGAGTTTATCCCAGAGCACTGGTTTTGCCAAATGTGTTGTAAAATTGATGAATACTTGCTTCTACTTCCTATGTGTGCCATGCTGTGAACATTGAGTCTGTTGTATTGATATGCTGTCTAAAACTGTGTTGCTCATGGAATACTACACAGCTATAAAAAAGAATGAAATCATGTCCTTTGTAGTAACATGGTTGCTGCTGGAAGCTGTTGTCTTAAGTGAATTAATCCAAAACAGAAAACCAAATACTGCATGTTATTTATAAGTGGGAGCTAGGCTGGGTGCAGTGGCTCATACCTGTAATCCCAGTGCTTTGGGAGGCCAATCTGGGAGGATAGCTTGAGGCTAGGAGTTTGTGAACAGCCTGGGCAACATAATGAGACCCTGTCTCTACAAAAAATAAAAAAAAAATAGCTGGGCATGGTGGTGAGCGTCTGTAGTTACAGCTACCTGGCAGACTGAAGTGGAAGGATTGCTTGTGTCCATGAGTTTGAGGCTGCTGCCTGGATGATAGGGGGGAAAAAAAAGTAGAAGCTAAACATTGGGTACATGTGGACATAAAAATGGGAACAACAGACACTGGGGACTCCAAAAGGGGTGGGAGGGACGAAGGGGATCAAGGGTTGAAAAACTACCTGTTGAGTACTATGTTCACTATTTGGTTGAAGGGTTCAATAGAAGCTTAAACCTCAACATCGTGCAATATATCCATGTAAGAAACCTACACGTGTACCCCCTGAATCTAAAATAAAAATAAAAATCAATCTGTGTTGTGATTTGGGAAAACAGGATTGAGGCTGGGATTGTGTGAGAGTGAAGAGCAAAAAACCAAGCTGCTTGTTCTGTGTCTTTTCCTTCCAGCTTGAAGACAGTGATGAGTGTAGGTAAAAATCTTTGGCCATTTTAGTATATTGAAGAAAATCAGGTGCAGCACAAAATTTTACACTTTGCTTGAATATATTTGATGGTTTTGCCATCAAGAATGGAGATTTCTTCATTCATCAGTGAGTTTGGGCTGGGTGTGGTGGCTCACACCTGTAATCCCAGCACTTTGGGAGGCCCAGGTGAATGGATCGCTTGAGTCCAGGAGTTTGAGACCATCCTGGGTTAACATGGTGAAACCCCATCTCTACAAAAAATACAAAAATTAGCTGGGTGTGGTGACACTCACCTGCAGTCCTAGCTACTTGTGAGGCTGAAGTGGGAGGATCACCTGAGCCAGGGCTCCAGTAAGCCATGATCATGCCACTGAGCTCTAGCCTGGACACAGAGCGAGACCCTGTCCCAGGGGGAAAAAAAGCATATGTACTGGTACTATTAGTGTATTAGAGAAATTAGGTTCTAAAGTTATCTCCCATCCATTATTATTTAGTGATGGTTGATGACATGTAGTGAATATTTCTGAAGGATCATTTATTTGCCAAACACTTACTGAGCCTTAAGTTCAAGGCACTGGGTTTGGTACCAAAGGATAGAAAGACGAATATATTGAGGTCTCTGTTCCTGAGGAGCTTAAAATTTTGTGGGGGAGATAAGACAAAGATAAGTAACAATATAGGATATGGGATTGGTGAGGATAAAGAGTCTGATTTTGAGAGGAGGAGGGCAATTGGGAGTGAATTTTTAGCTAGGTCTTTAAGGACAATAATTTTGAGAGGATAAGGATAAAGGTTAATGAGAAGCAGAGGAAACAGAATGAGAAAAGCATGGAGCTGTGAAGGTGTGTGGTATATTTTTGAAATAGTAATCCAGTGTGTCTGGAGTGTGGGTTGTATGTAAATGTGGGTTATTAGCTTAAAAGGCATGTTGGAGACAAATTATGGACTTTGAATGAAATGCTGTTTGCTGTGGGATATACAGTGGTGATGTCTGTGTGTCATATCATGGCCACCATTGATGACCCAAGATGGGCACTTGCCCCAAAACACTCAGAATCTTTTGCTGGGAGTTTTCAAACTTGTACTGGAAGAATTAAGGAAGACTAGTAGAGGGAATCTTAGAAATAATGCTTGGGAATTCTCAGTGATCAAGGTATCTGCATGTTTAGGACACTGATAAGCAGTAGGTGAGATGAAGAGTGACCTAGTGAGTCACATGGGCTACAGTGGAGAGAAGACATCCTGGCAGAGACTGAGTGCCAGATTCTAGTCATCTCCCAAGCATAGCAGCACTCTTACTTTTTTATGGTGATATGAATTTCCCCAGGATCCAGAGACCCCACTTGAACTGGCCTAGGGAAGAATTGTTCAAATTGGCAGTAAGGGAAAAGCAGCAGAGCCTCTTTGATGAAAATGTAAAATGTGAGCTTGGAGCTACTGGGAGCCATGTTTCTAAGGTTTTGGAGAAAGCTCCTTTGAAAACTAACCTGATGAGAAAGACAGAGGCAAGTGAAATGGGATAGCAGGTCTTCAAGTCCAGCCAGCTGCACTCCTGCTCTTCACATTGTTTGATATTGTGATCCAATAAATTCAACTTTTTGCCTAGGCCAGTTCAATCGGAGTTTCTGGTTCCTGAGGAAGTTCACAGCCAATAAAGGTGTCATGCCAACCCCTGTGCCAGGGGGCAGGCATTGTGATTAACAGACCTAGTAGAACCACATACATGTGGGGTGAGGGACTAAGGACTATTTCCCAAAAGAAGTGGAGTAGAGATGCTGTCCTTAGTAAAGGGAGAAAACAGTAAGTATCCTCTTCCGATGAGGAAAGCCCAACCTGGGTCCATAGCCTTGGGGCTGGAAAAGAAGGTCTGCATTTGAGAAACACTGTCCCATTCCCATAGAATCTACTGTTAACTGAGGTAGGAATGCTAGAGGATGAGCAGACTTGGGAAGAGAAATAAGGGCCTCAATTTTTCCACTTTTGGGATTCAGCTGTCTTCAGAAATGTATAGACCAATGGAACAGAACAGAGGCCTCAGAAATAACACCACACATCTACAACCATCTGATCTTTGACAAACCTGACAAAAACAAGAAATCGGGAAAGGATTCCCTATTTAATAAATGCTACTGGGAAAACTGGCTAGCCATATGTAGAAAGCTGAAACTTGATCCCTTCCTTACACCTTATACAAAAATTAATTCAAGATGGATTAAAGACTTAAATGTTAGACCTAAAATTATAAAAATCCTAGAAGAAAACCTAGGCAATATCATTCAGGACATAGGCATGGGCAAGGACTTCATGACTAAAACACCAAAAGCAATGGCAACAAAAGCTAAAATAGACAAATGGGATCTAATGAAACTAAAGAGCTTCTGCACAGCAAAAGAAACTACCATCAGAATGAACAGGCAACCTACAGACTGGGAGAAAATTTTTGGAATCTACTCATCTGACAAAGGGCTAATATCCAGAATCTACAAAGAACTTAAACAAATTTACAAGAAAAAAGTCAAACAACCCCATCAAAAAGTGGACAAAGGATATGAACAGACACTTTTCCAAAGAAGAGATTTATGCAGCCAACAGACACATGAAACAATGCTCATCATCACTGGTCATCAGAGAAATGCAAATCAAAACCACAATGAGATACCACCTCACACCAGTTAGAATGGTGATCATTAAAAAGTCAGGAAACAACAGGTGCTGGAGAGGATATGGAGAAATAGGAATGCTTTTACACTGTTCGTGGGAGTGTAAATAGTTCAGCCATTGTGGAAGACAGTGGGGCGATTCCTCAAAGATCTAGAACTAGAAATACCATTTGACCCAGCCATCCCATTACTGGGCATATACCCAAAGGATTATAAATCATGCTACTATAAAGACACATGCACATGTATGTTTATTGCAGCACTATTCACAATAGCAAAGACTTGGAACCAACCCAAATGTCCATCAGTGATAGACTGGATTAAGAAAATGTGGCACATATACACCATGGAATACTACGCAGCCATGAAAAAGGATGAGTTCATGTTCTTTGTAGCGACATGGATGAAACTGGAAACCATCATTCTGAGCAAACTATCACAAGGACAGAAAACCAAACACCGCATGTTCTCACTCATAGGTAGGAGTTGAACACTGAGAACACTTGGACATAGGGCAGGGAACATTACACACCGGGGCCTGACGTGGGGTGGGGAGATGGGGGAGGGATAGCATTAGGAGAAATACCTAATGTAAATGACGAGTTAATGGGTGCAGCAAACCAACACAACACATGTATACATATGTAACAAACCTGCATGTTGTGCACATGTACCCTATAACTTAAAGTATAATAATAAAAAACCTAAAAAAAATAAAGTAGTAAAACAAAAACAATACATAGGAAGCGTAAGTTTCATATGTATAGCATATAGAAAAATGCATAATTTTGAAGTTCAGAAAATGAAAAAAATTTGTTCTTAGTCAACAAAAATTCATAAAGAAAAAGAATTTGTAAACATATGAAGGTTCACCTTGGATGAACACGTTGGAAGGAACTTAAGCATGATTGAATTTTTGTGTTGAGACGAATGTGTTTTTAACCTTTCAAAATTATATGTTATGGTTGATAAATTATTTTCTCCTAAAAAAAAAAAGAAATGTAGGAAACTTGAGTTTGGTGGTTTTCTACATAGGCTGAGGTTCCATTTGAATTAGGAACCTGGTGCCGTCAGTGCTTTCCTCCTCAAAGCTCTCTGACCATTCCATGTTATTCATCCCCACCAGTGATAATGATGTACATTTCAGAGCTTCTGTAATGTATGAGGCATTGTATTAGGGCCTTTATGTATGTCTATGTCATGTAATTTAATCATTACAGCAATTTTATGAAGTGTATTATATGCAAGAAGGAAACAGGAACGGGAGGATTGGAAATTTGCTTCAAACACAGGTCTGACTGATGTAAAAGAAGGTTGGGCTCTTATTATTATATTGTCCCGCCTCTTTTAGATAATACTACTGCCAGTATCCTAATGCTACCATTAATAATGGCCAGCAGTTACTAAGCTCTTACTCTATGCTAGGTGTTTTAAATGAAGTATCTTTTATTCTTTACAAGTACTATCCTGAACTTAGAATTGGGAAAACTGAGGCTCAAGGTCATATAAATCATGTGATGAAGCCAGCACTTGAATTCAGCTCTCTTGGTACTAGAGACCAAATCTATAAGTGCTATTTTCTACTGTCTTTAGGTCCATAAGTAAAGCTTATCTGACAGATTTCCAAGTCAGCTGTTGCTACCATGCTTCCAAGTTAGTAGTTTCCCACCTAGGAAAAGGATAAAGCTTGTAGCATTGCTGCTTCTCACAATCTTTAGTGCTTTCTTTGCCTTAATCTTAAGTTTTGGGAGAAAGGAAAAGCAATTCACTTCGCAACGTGGTTGGGGTCTCATCTTCAAAGACGTAATTAAAACTGTCCTGGATAGCTGGGCATCATTACAGGCTCATGCCTGTAATCCCAGCACTTTGGGAGCCTGAGGTAGGAGGACTGCTTGAGCCCAGGAATTCAAGACCAGCCTGGGCAACATAGTGAGATCCCATTTCTTAAAAAAATAAAATAAAAAATTAGCTGGGACTGGTGGCTAGTGCCTGAGGTCCCAGCTACTTAGAAGGCTGAGGTGGGAGGATGACTTGAGCCCAGGAGTTCAAGGCTGCAATGAATTGTGATCGGGCCACTGCACTCTAGCCTGGGCAACAGAAGGAGATCCTGTTTCAAAACAAACAAACAAACACACAAAAATTGTCCTAGTGGCAATAAACTATAATGCCATCTGAGTGGATGACCTCAATGTAGTATTGGCTAAAAATTTTATTTGCACATATGACATATTCATTCTTTCACCAGAAGTTTCTTGTATGTTATCAGCTGAGCTTACATGACTATGCAGTTATAAAGAAGTATAAAGCACAGGCTATTAAATGGTCCAAAATATAAAGTACTAGAGTTGCCTTTGTTCTTGAAGAGCTTCACTCTGAATCATGTAACTGGTCTGGATGTGGTCTTTCAATAAGACAATAGCAGCAGCATAATAAGCCTCCGGGTCAGCATAGTAGCATAGTATTTGGTGTTACCTATTTTAGTAAGTTTATGTTTGGTTAACTCCTGTTGAGGAACAATATTATGATCAAAGAGATGATATGGTTTATTTATTAGATGAATCCTTGATGTCTTCATACTAATGTAAAGCTCTGTCACAGCCTGCTTTGATCTGCTGGTTCCTGGGTGTGGTATCCAGCTGTTTGTCAGCATCCCTCTCTATACCCATGGAAATCCCAACTGTATTTTTGGGTTTTGGGTTCCCTACCAGGTTCACTGTTTAAAAATGTGAATTGAATATTACTTTTTATTGAAAAGAACACAAGTTCTATGATGAGTTAAAATTACTATAAATGTTTATAGCTTATACTCATTGTATCAGATTATTTGAAAAATCTAGTTTGCATGTTCCCTTCTGATGGAGTTTGGGTCAGATGAAGGTGGTTACAAAAAATGTTTGACACTAAAAATTTTCACATTACACTATTGTTTGATAGTCATTCATTAATTCTTCACTTAGTCTACTTACTCATTAAGAATCAACAAATCTTTATTTTGGAGATGAATAAGATGTGTCCTTTACAGTGGGAAAGCTTATTATTTAATAGAGCTGTTTACAGACTTCAATTTGCCTTCTTGATAAATGTGATGAACATGGTTTACAATTTACAAAGATATTCAGGCTATCAGATCTTGGAATTGCAGAACTAAATTTTTCTGTATGTATTCTTATATGATTTTTTCCTAGGTATTTGGGGAAATAAATACTGTCTGATGGAGTAGATAGCTTTTTCATATTTTGTATCTGCGAATGCATATTATCAGCTGAGCTGACATGACTATGCAATTATAAAGAAGTATAAAGCACAGGCTATTAAATGGTCCAAAAGAAAGTAAGTACACCGCTCATAAATCTTTGAAATCATGGGAATGTTTCCAGACAGAACAAGATGGAATTTATCTTCCTAATTGTGACACAGTACCTTGAAAAATGCAACTGGGTGCGTGGAGATAAGGCTTTGTATAATTTGCCATTTTAAAAGTTCCCCTGTCAAATTCAAGGTATTAAGTTGCTTTATGGAAGGCTAAGACCAAGCCCTAGATGCAAGACCGGGGGAACTGACTGCCGGAACGTTTGTGTTGCAGCGCCTCGCCCCTTGCCGGTGCTCTTTCGCGAAGGGACCGTCTCTGCCAAGCGCCTGTTGGTAGGAACCTGCTTGGTCGCGTCTGAGGGGGCTTGTAGGTGGCTCTGGCTGAAACAGGCGCCTGCGAGAGTCTGTAGGAGGGAAACCGCCATGGACGATCAGGGTTGCCCTCGGTGTAAGACCACCAAATATCGGAACCCCTCCTTGAAGCTGATGGTGAATGTGTGCGGACACACTCTGTGAGTTGGGCGGCAGTGGATTCCCTGGGGGAGAGACGCGCTGGGTGGGAGGAGAGGACCGGGAGATGCTAGGCCTCGTCTTGGGAGCAAAGGGCGTTGTTAGTTTCAACACTGGGGAGGAAAATGGGAAAAGAAGGCGTTGTGACTTTAAATAGACTGTAGCCGCTAGCCCCGAGCGGCTCTGGCCTGCTTTGAACTGCGGGTTCTCAGTGTGGCATCCAGCAGTTTGTCAGGTTCCCCCTTCCATAGCCAATGAGTATCCCGACTGTATTTCCAGGCTTTGTGTTGTTTACTGGGCTCTGGACATCGCTGATTAAAAGCGTGGGGGATTGGAGTGTTTATTTCATATGAAATGTTTTTATTGAAAAAGTGCGAAAGTGCTATGAAAACTTAAAATTTGCTTGAGTATATACTGCTGCTATTTATTGTATGAGTTAATTAAAAAACCCTGTGTGTATGCCCACTTGTCCTGATGGAGTTCGGTTAGACTCCCATCACTAAAATGAAGAAAACCCGGACTGTAGGTAGTTAATTTTGAAGATATAATAATGGCTGGCATTTGAGTGCACATTTTGTGCCAGACAGTGTTCTAAGCGCCTTACCATGAATTATCTCAGTTCATTCCTACAACAGTCCCATGAAGTAGATACTGGTATTTCCATTTCACAGGGAAGGAAATCGAGACTGCTCAAGGTCCCTTATTAAGTGGGCCTTGAGAGAATTGGAACCCAGGAAGTCTGACTTTAGAACGCCCATTTTCAGGGGAAGGGGGCAGAAGGAGGGAGGTTGAGTTTGTGTATTTTGAAACAGGGATTGGTCAAAGTGTTTCTTGCCAGATTTCTTGTCAGATGTGGTTTAGTGAAGGTGGTTCTAGAAAGCACTTTGAGATAAAAAGGTGCCATGTAATGGCGAGCATATATTCCTGTAGTTTCTTTCAGGTTTATTGGAGGCAAAAAATAATGGATAATCTACAGTGTGTAGACAAGGTCTCCTCCCAACCCCCCAAGTGCTGACAAAAATGTAGAGCAATGACAGGGTCTTTAGGTAAGCATAAATTGCATGATTAGCTGTAGCTATAATTATTATATGGAATTTATTAGCTTACTTAACTTTTCTAATTGATCTTTATTTTCCTTTGCTTTACTCTGCAAAGAAGTATAGTAGAGCTGTGATTGAATGATTTAAGATTAGAAGTAAGGTAAAAGTAATCAAGAAGAATGCATGGAAAAGGGAATTCTACATGGAAAAACACTGTAGATAGACTGTTTTTAGAGAGATTTCGTTCAATTTCTCTCCATTTTTCTTTATCAGGTTTGTTATGGTGGAACAGGAAAGAGAGTTTGTTTTTTTTTTTGGGAAGGATACTAACTAAATGTAATTTACCAGAAGGATGCTAAATGTAATTTTCTGGCCTAGCAGCACTTAGCCATTCAGGGAAGATTATACGATTTCAGTAACATAAATGGCATTTTAATTGGGCAAGTATAAAATATTTATTTTAATTGAAATTGCTTTTGTTGTATCCTCAGCCCTTTTTGTTAAGATCTAAGAGTTAAGACTTTTGTCTAATTCATTCTGGTGTTGCATTTAATGTGGTTAATTTGCTAACCTGTTAGATAACAGGCTACATTTTACAGTCCTTTTTTGACTTGAAATGTGAACAAAATGAGTGAAAAGCTGTAGCGTATTGGCTGAGAGAACAAGCTTTGGAATGAGCCTGTCTGATTTCACATTCTTTACTCTTACCGGCTCTGTGGCCTTAGGGAAATGACTAACTCTTTGTTAGCCGTTCTTCTTGTTGGTACAATAGAGAAAATAGTGCTGCTTGTATCACGGTCCTTAAGTATTAAATAATATATGGAAAATATTTAGAGATATTTAGTATTCTGTCACATAATATTTGTTTACTATATATTGGCTATTTTATTATTATTATTCTTTGTGTGGCATGGGTGATAAGCAGAAATAAAATTAAAACAGGACTTATTTGGCCTGCTATGAAATACTTGCACAATAATGATTAGCTTTAAATGATTTCAGTACACTATGAAATGTGAAAATACAGCTTTAATTATAAGGACTCTGTTGTAATTTTCTTAATATGAACTCTTTAGCATGTTGTCTAATTAATCATCCTTTTAAAGAAGTACTTTAATCTAGGCTAACACACTGCTGTTTCTGAATGGAGGAGAGAACTCACTGATTTTTTTGGCAATCATTTAAAAAATTTAAAATTATATAAGCTATTAATAATAAAAGCAACGTAAGTTATTAAGTGAAAGGTAAAAATTTCTGTGGTTCACTTCTCCAGAGGTGACAACTTTTAGGTTGTTTGTGTATATTTTCGGATATTTTCTATGCATATACAAACATGGGTGTGTTTGGGTAGAAAACTTTTTCTTCCTTTAGCATAAACAGGAATATAGCATAAACATATATATATGTGTGTATATATATATATTTCCTTGCTTTTTTCATTATGTATATTGGATAATCTCTCTAGATCAATATGCATATGTTTTCCTCTTTTAACAATTTGATAGTAGTCCATTGTTCAAATATAATTTATTTACCCCAATTTTTAAAATTAATATTTAATTATCCAGTTTTTCCTTGGAGTAAGCATCCATAAATATGCATATATATGTACATATATGTCTTTGAGCATTTAGGCCAGTATATCATAAGATATAACAGGTAAAAATCACAAGGTAATGTCCAGTAGTAGAATTGTTGGGTCAGAGTTTGTGGCTTTTAAATTTGATAAATATGGCCCAGTTGTTCTCAAAAAAGATTATGTCAAGACAGGCATGGTTGTTCCTACCTGTAATCCTAGCTACTTGGGAGGCTGAGGAGGGAGGGTTCGAGACCAACTTGGACAACATAGGGAAACCCTATCCTTTTTTTTTTTTTTTGAGAAGGAGTCTCGCTCTGTCGCCCAGGCTAGAGTGCAGTGGCGCAATCTCGGCTCACTGCAAGCTCCGCCTCCCGGGTTCACGCCATTGTCCTGCCTCAGCCTCCCGAGTAGCTGGGACTACAGGCGCCCGCTACCACGCCCGGCTAATTTTTTTGTATTTTTAGTAGAGACGGGGTTTCAGCGTGTTAGCCAGGAGGGAAACCCTATCTTACAAAAAAAAAAAAAAAAAGATCTTGTCAATTATGTTACCAACAACTGTATGGAGATTCCTATTGCCACACAACTTTGCCTATATTGGCTAATATTATTTTTTAAAATCTTGCATTTTAAAAGATGTTTAAAAGCATCTTATCAGATGCTTTTCTGATAAGAAAAACATCTTGGATTTTTTTTTTTTTTTTTTTTGAGACGAAGTTTTGCTCTGTCACACAAGCTGGAGTGCCGTGGCATGATCTAGGCTCACTGCAACCTCCACCTCCCAGGTTCAAGTGATTCTCCTGCCTCAGACTCCCGAGTAGCTGGGACTACAGTCGCATGCCACCATGCCCGGCTAATTTTTGTATTTTTAGTAGAGACGGGGTTTCACTATGTTGGCCAGGCTGGTCTCGAACTACTGACTTCGTGATCCAGCCGCCTCGATCCTCCCAAAGTGCTGGGATTACAGGTGTGAGCCACTGCGCCCGGCCTGAGATGGAGTTTTGCTCTTGTTGCCCAGGCTGGAGTGCAATGGCGTGATAGCTCACCACAACCTCTGCCTCCCGGGTTCAAGCAGTTCTCCTGTCTCAGCCTTCCGAGTAGCTGGGATTACAGACATGCGCCACTACCTCTGGCTAATTTTGTAGTTTTAGTAGAGATGGGGTTTCTCCATGTTGGTCAGGCTGGTCTTGAACTCCCGACCTCAGGTGATCCACCCGCTTTGGCATCCCAAAGTGCTGAGATTACAGGCGTGAGCCACCGTGTCCAGCCTCATTTTGGCTCTTAATGAAAAATTTTTTGATAGTTTGTTGAGTTTTTATGGCATATATTTCATGGGATTGAATATAGGCATTTTTATAATATGCTTGTTAGTCTGAGAAGAGCAGGTATTATTTTGCTGAATGATTCTGGCTCGGTCTTAGGATGTTGTAATCAAGTTGTTGGCTAGGACTGCAGTCTAGATTTGACTGGGCCTGGAGTATCTGTTTCCAAGGTCACTCATGTGGCTCTTGTCAGGAGGCTTCAGTTCCTCCCCATGGACTCTTCCATAGGGCTACTTATGACGTGGCTTCTCCCAGAACTAGTGATATGAGCGGAGGTAAGGAAGATTGGAGAGATGGATGGGAGAAGAGAGAAAGGGAGGGAGGAAGGGAACTGGAAGCTGTAGAGCCTTTTAAAACCTAATGATAGAAGTGATATACCATCACCTCTGGTGTTTTGTAGTGTTATAATGTGGGAGAGTACACACAAGAGTGTGAATACCAAGAGTGTGAATATCATTGGGCTATCTTGAAGGCTGGCTTCCGCAGGATTTTATTAACTTATTTTTTTTTTTTTCATGTCCTCAAGTAGCAAAGACTTTTTGGAGGCAAGTGATAAAGTGAGTAGGAGTAGTGCTTCATAAAAGAGGAACTATAGGGTTATGGAAAAATTAACTAGGAGTTTTACTTATGGGAGAAAATACAGGAGCAGAGAGGAGAGAAAAGAGGTGAAACATTATTAAATACCTTTGTCTCTTAGCTGCTAGCAATTGAAGAAGCATATTTCCCTACTTATCAATTTAATCTAGCAAATGCACAAATGAATTGATTGTATGCATATAGAAGAAGATTGGATTTCATGTTCTTTTTTTAATTTTTTCTGTTCAAGGATGAACATTGTCTCAATTACAGAAAATGGTAATTTTTTTTCTTTATCAGGCCACCTATTTCAAGAAATGGGCCTTCCATTCTGAAGGCATATAGAATTAGATGGAGGCAGTGGTATCTAATTCTCATTTAACTACAGCCTTTAATAATTTAATTTCTGTCTGGGTGCAGTGGCTTACGCCTGTAATCCCAGCACTTTGGGAGGCTGAGGCGGGTGGATCACCTGAGGTCAGGAGTTCGAGACCATCCTGGCCAACATAGTGAAACCCCGTCTCTACTAAAAATACAATAATTAGCTGGGTGTGGTGGCATGGGCATGTAATCCCAGGTACTTGGGGAGGCTAAGGCAGGAGAATCACTTGAACCTGGGAGGCAGAGGTTGCAGTGAGCCGAGATCACACCACTGCACTCCAGCCTAGGCTACAGAGCAAGACTCCATCTTAAAAAAAAATTAATTTCTATCCCAACCATTCTTGGCAAAACCTGTCTCTGGAAATTTTATGTGCTAAATCTACTTTTTTCATCACGCACGAGACGCAAAGTACAAGATAAGCAAAATCAAGTACCTACCATCTTGATATATAAAGGCAATGTTTTGTGATAGTTACTTAACATCTTTCTCTTTCTTTTTTTCCCTTTTTTTTCTGTTCTCCTATTTCTCTCTCATTTACTGATGTTACTGGATAGTTTATCCTGAAGAGTCCGAATTTTGCTTATTGCATCTCTGTGATATTGTTAAATATGTTCTTCTGTTCTCAGTATTTCCTCTAAATTGTTAGTTATGTTTAAAAGTTTTATCAGATTAAGTTTGAATTTATTTGTTGATAAGAATAATAAGTGGTGTTAACTCATTTAATATACTGATCTTATTCAGTACCTTTGTGCAAATTGGGAAACAGAGCCCCCTCTGGGTAGAAAATTAGGAAAAGGCACTTATTTTAGGTGGAAGATTTAGAACAGGAACATTCTAGATATATTATTTTATAATTTTCTGTTGTGATAAGAGGATATACTCTATAAAATTTCAGTCTTTTGAAGTTTTCTGAAAGCTTGCTTATGGTCCAGCATATGGCCTGTCTTTGTGAACAATCAGTGTACATTTGAAAAGAATATACATTCTGTGGTTGTTGGGTGTAGTGTAGTATAAGTTATAAACGTGGTACATATTACCATACCCATCTTGGTTGATAGCATTACCAGATCTTCTGTATCTTTATTAATTTATTTTATCTACTCATCTTATGAATTACTCCACTATGATTATAGATTTGTCAGTTTTTCTTGTAAGTTTTGTCATACTTTATGCATTTTGGAACTCTCTTGTTGGGTACATATTTGGGATTGTTATGCCTTCCTAATACATTTCTCCTTTTATCATTATGAAATGGCCCTCTTTGTCTCTTGTAATATGCTTTTTCCTGAAGATTCTGTCTGATAATAATTTGGCACTGTCAGATTTCTTGTGCTTACTATTTGATAGTGTGCATTTTTCCGTTCATTTACTTTAAAAAAATTTTTTAACCCATGTAATATCAGTGGCACAATCATAAACTCCTGGGCTCAAATGATCCTCCTGCCTCATCCTCTTGAGTAGCTAGGACTACAGGTGCATGGCACCACACCTGGCTTATTTATTTATTTATGTATTTATTATTTTTATTTTTTGAGATGGAATCTCGCTCTGTTGCCCAGGCTGGAGTGCAGTGGCGCGATCTCAGCTCACGGCAAGCTCCGCCTCCCAGGTTCACACCATTCTCCTGCCTCAGCCTTCCGAGTAGCTGGGATTACAGGCACGGGCCACCACGTCTGGCTAATTTTTTGTATTTTTAATAGAGACAGGGTTTCACTGTGTTAGCCAGGATGGTCTCGATCTCCTGACCTCGTGATCCTCCTGCCTCGGCCTCCCAAAGTGCTGGGATTACAGGCGTGAGCCACTGCGCCTGGGGTTTTTTTTTTTTTTTTTTTTTTAATTTTTAGTAGAGATGGGGTCTTGCTATGTTTCCCAAGCTGGTCTCAAACGCCTGAGCGCAAGTGATCCTCCTGCCTGGGCCTCCCAAAATGTAGGTATTACAAGAGTGAGCTGCTGTACCTGGCCCCCATCCATTTACTTTCAACCAATTTGTGTCTGTCTCTGGGAGACTCTACTTCACTGGGTCTTGCCATTTTATCTGGATTGACAATCTCTGCCTTTTAATTGGTGTACTAGTCCATTATATCTAATTATTGATATCATTGGGTTTAAGTCTACATGTTTCCTTGTATTCCTTTGGTTTTTTTGTTGTTCTTTTGCTCCTTTCCTGCCTTATTTTGAAATAATTGGATTTTTTAAAGTATTGGCCTATTAGCCGGTAGCTTTTTATTTTTTATTTATTTTTATTTTTTTTTAAATAAGAGACAGGATCTCACTCTATCACCCAGGCTGGAGTGTGGTGGCTTTATCACAGGTCACTGCAACCTTGAACTCAGGGGTTCAAGGGATCCTTCCACTTCAGCCACCCCAGAATTTGGGACTACAGGTGTGCACTGCCACAGCCAGCTAATTTTTAATTTTTTTTTGTAGAGCTAGTCTCTGACTGTGTTGCCCAGGCTGGTCTCAAACTCCTGGCCTCAAGTGATCTACCCACCTCAGCCTCCCAAAGTTCTGGGATTACAGTCACCTTTTATGGCCAACAATTAACTCCTCATTGTTATTATTATTATTAGTGGTTTCTTTCAGCATATCTTTTATTTGTATTTGTGATTTGTTGTTATTTTTGCTTTAAACAGTCAGTTGTCTTTAAGGAAAGGTATGTTTTTAAAAAACTACTTCACTGAATATAATTCACGTACCATAAAATTCACACATTTAAAGTGTACGTTTCAATGGCTTTTAGTATATTCTCAGAGATGTACATATTACCCCACAAAGATACCTCTCACCACTTAGCCGTCACACTCCTCAACTCCCCCCTCCCATAGCACTAGGCAACCAGTTATCTACTTTCTGACTATGTAGATTTTCCTATTCTGGACCTTTCATATAAATGGAATCATACAGTATGTGGTTCTCTGGACTGGCTTCTTTTACATAGTGTAATATTTTCTAGGTTCATCCATGTTGTAGCATGTATGAGTACAACATTTCTTTTTATTGCTGAATATTATTCCATTGTATGGCTATACTACATTTTATCCATTCATCAGTTGAAGAACATTTGAGTCATTTCTACTTTTTGGCTGTTATGAATAATGCTGCTGTGAACATTCATGTACAAGTTTTCGTATGGACAAATGTTTTTGTTTCTCTCATGTATATATTTAGGAGTAGAATTATTGGATCATATGGTAACTCTTTGTTTAGTTTGTTTTCCAATGTGGCTGTACCATCTTATAGCAGTGAATGAGGGCTCTAGTCTCTCTATGTAGTTGCCAATGCTTGTTATAGTTGTCTTTTGATTATAGCCATTCTAGTGGGTATGAAGTGGTGAAATATAGTCTCTTATTTTCACCTATTTACTATCTTTGATATTGCCCTTCTTCCTTTGGATCTGATTTTATAGTCATATTGATTTCCATCTGCCTAAAGAACATTCTTTAGCATTTCTTTTTTTTTTTGAGACGGAGTCTTGCTCTGTCGCCCAGGCTGGAGTACAATGGCACAATCTCGGCTCACTGCAGCCTCCGCCTCCCAGGTTCAAGCGATTCTCCTGCCTCAGCCTCTTGAGTAACTGGGATTACAGGTGTGTGCCACCATGCCCGGCTAATTTTTGTATTTTCAGTAGAGATGGAGTTTCACCATGTTGGCCAGGCTGGCCTTGAACTCCTGACCTCAGGTGATTCGCCTGCCTCAGCCTCTCAAAGTGCTGAGATTACAGGCGTGAGCCACTGCGCCCAGCTCCTTAGCATTTCTTATAGTGTAGGTGTGTTGGTGAAGAATATACTCTGATTTTGTTTATAAGAAAGTGTTTTTATTTCACCCTAGTGTTTGAAGGATATTTTTGCTGAATATAGAATTATGGGTTGGCATTTCTTTGACCATACAAAAGATATCATTTCATTGTTCTCTAGTGTTTCTGTTGAGAAGTTAATTTTACTCATATCTCTTTCTCCCTGTTCTTTAGATTATATATTTTCTATTGATCTATCTTCAGGTTCACTGTTGCCTGTCTGCCATTTCTAATCTCATCCAATAGATTTTTCATTTCTTATTGTATTGTTTTGGTCGTAGAGTTTTCATTTTTATCTTTTTTATAGTTTTCATTTCTCTGATATTTCCCATCTATATACTCATCAAGAATATATTTTTCTTTAGTTCTTTGAATGCATTTTCCTTTAATTTTTTGAACATATTTTCCATTAATTCCTTTAAAATATTTATGATAGTCAATCTTAAGGTTTCTGTCTGTAAGAGTTAACTCCTTGGCTATCTCAGGGTTGGTTTCTTTTTTGTTTGTGTTTTTGAGAGAGCCTCACTCTGTTGCCCATGCTGGAGTGCAGTGGCATGATCTTGGCTCACTGCAACCTCCACCTCTTAGGTTCAAGTGATTCTCCTGCATCAGCCTCCCAAGTAGCTGGGATTACAGGTGCCTGCTACCATGCCTGGCTAATTTTTGTATTTTTAGTAGAGATGGGGTTTTGCCCTGTTGGCCAGGCTGGTCCCAAGCTCTTGACCTCAAGTGATCTGCGTGCCTCGGCCTCCCAAAGTGCGGGGATTACAGGTGTGAGCCATCACGCCCAGCCATCTCAGGGTTGGTTTCTATTGACTGCTTTTATTTGACTGTAGGTTACAGTTTTCTGCTTATTTATTTTTGCATGTTTACTACTTTTTAATTGTAGGTGGTATATTATAGAGATTCTGGATTTTGTATTTTTGTGAAAAGTGTTGATTTTAAAAATTCTTGCAGGTAGTTCAGTTACTGGCAGATAACTTTGAACTTGTGTAGGCTTGGTTTTACTCTTTGCTAGAATGATATGTGGAGAACCCATTGTTTCCTTACTTTAGTGTAACTCAACCTCACATTTTTAATCCCTTCAAAAACTTGTTGGGGCTTGATTTTAGTCTTTGTTAGGGTGCACCTAGAATATGCCTTATTCTAGGATGTGGTTCTTACTCTTAGTTGAGGCATTTTTGATATCTCAGCTGGATATCTGAGATGTTAATAAGGTGTTAATGTGATTTCTCTGCTCTGGCTGGTGGGAACTCTAGGTATACCCAGTACTCCTCAACTCTAGTGTATTTTCCTCTCTTAACCACTCTCTTTTAAGCCTTGATTGGTTTTGCCCTACACATGTGCAGCCTATTTCTTGGCCAAGGATTTATGGGGGAATCCTACATGTCTTCTAGCCTCTCTGCCTTGTGGATTTCAGCCACATCAACTACCCTGCATTCTGATCTCTGCCTATTTGGCTTAGCACAATCACTATTCCCTTGTTAAACTCTTGCTTGCTGGGCCATGGTTATGGCAATTGTTGCCATATAGAAAGCTGAGGTATTTGTAGGGCTCACCTTGTGAGTTTCCCATCTCTCAGGGATGTCCTGTCCTGCCTGTTGTCTAATGCCTGTAAACAGTTGTATTATGCACTTTATTTTATGGTTGCTCATGGTGGGAAGGCTAGTCTGGCATCAGTTACTCCATCATATTTGTTAGCAAAAGCTGGCCTTACTGTTGTTAAGCATTTACTTCCTCCTGTAGTCTTGCAGATTTTCTCAGTTCTATATGTACCTCTTGCTTTTCTTTTTTGTTTGAGACAGTCTCGCTCTGTTGCCTAGGTTGGAATGCAGTGGTGCGATCTTGGCTCATTGCAACCTTTGCCTCCCGGGTTCAAGCAATTCTCATGCCTCAGCCTCCTGAGTAGATGGGATTACAGGTGTGTACCACCACGCCTGGCTAATTTTTGTATTTTTAATAGAGATGGGGTTTGGCCATGTTGCCCAGGCTGGTCTTGAACTCCTGGACTCAAGAGATCTGCCCACCTTGGCCTCCCACCTTGGTCTCCCAAAGTGCTGGGATTACAGGTGTGAGCTGTTGCGCCCGGCCCCTGTTTATTTTCTTTGCCTCAAAATTGGCAGTACCCTGTTAACATTTTCTTTTTTGTTGTATAGTTCTGATTACTTTTTTGTTTTTACTACCTCAGCTCCTTCCCTAATATTTTTGTAAGCTTTC
Organism: Homo sapiens; assembly: GCF_000001405.40. Classification (NCBI taxonomy): domain Eukaryota; kingdom Metazoa; phylum Chordata; class Mammalia; order Primates; family Hominidae; genus Homo; species Homo sapiens. The sequence goes on from NC_000014.9 coordinate 60,745,856, forward strand.
TTTTCTTTTAATGGAGTGTTTTGAGGTTGATTAGCAGTATAGTGCTGCAGAACAGCGCTTAGAGAATTGGTGCCTCCTGTCTTCTGACTGGTAATTACAGTGAAGATCTCAAGATTCTTCTGAAGGGGAGGTAGTTTGTGCTTTCAAACATATGTAAGAGTTGGTGTTGTATGTATCTTAATTATCCAGAGACAGGTTGAGGAGTAGAAAGAACACCAAATCTCAAGTTAGAAAATCTAGGCTCTAGTTTCACCATAGACTAGCGAGTTATAGGCCAGCCATTTAACTTTGGTTTGTTCACTTGTTTATAATAGGTAACATCCAGCCCCCTGAAGCTCTTAAAATTTGTGTAATTTAATAGTTAATTAGAAAATTATTGGCTGGGTGCGGTAGCTCACACCTGTAATCCCAGCGCTTTGGGAGGCCGAGGCGGGTAGATTACGAGGTCAGGAGTTCGAGACCAGCCTGACCAACATGGTGAAACCCCATCTCTACTAAAAATACAAAAAATTAGCCAGGCGTGGTGGGTCATGCCTGTAATTCCAGCTACTCGGGAGGATGAGGCAGGAGAATCACTTGAACCTGGGAGGTGGAGGTTGCAGTGAGCCGAGACCGCACCACTGCACTCCAGCTTAGGTGACAGAGTGAGACTCTGTCTCAAAAAAAAAAAAAGAAGAAAAAATCAGTGTAGTCTGTAGTCTTTTCTTTGACCTTGCAACATTAATAAAACTATTCGTATTAGCTGTAATTTTTTTTTCCCAGTATGAGGGATGGTGCTGATCACTCTGCAGAATATGAATACTTCATTACGGATTGCTTATTATATGGCTCTAACATATATTTTTTGCTTGATCAAAAATGACTATTAGTGTACTTTAGTCTTTAAGATGCAGTGTGCTAATATACTTAGTTACTTACTGAGCGTAACTTATAGTTCTTTAAAACTATGTTTACAAGATATTTACTAATTATATTATTTGTAATGTTTCTACTCTCCTCTAATTCCCTTCTATACTGGGAATCCTTTTTAAAGATTCATTTCATATATATATATATATATATATATATACACACACACACACACACACACACACACACACACACACACACACACACACACACAAAATTATGTCTTTTTTTTTTTTTTTGAGACAGAGTCTCGCTCTGTCGCCCAGTCTGGAGTACAGTGGTGCGATCTCGGCTCACTGCAAGCTCTGCCTCCCAGGTTCACGCCATTCTTCTGCCTCAGCCTCCTGAGTAGCTGGACTACAGGTGCCCGCCACCACGCCCGGCTAATTTTTTGTATTTTTAGTAGAGATGGGGTTTCACCATGTTAGCCAGGATGGTCTTGATCTCCTGACCTTGTGATCTGCCCGCCCTGGCCTCCCAAAGTGCTAGGATTACAGGCGTGAGCCAATGCGCCCTGCCCAAAATTATGTCTTAATGATGGGTATCCATTCTGAGAAACTCATGTTAGGCAGTTTTACTGTGTGAACATCATACAGTGTGCTTATGGTGTAGTACCTGGTATAGTCTATTATATACCTAAGCTATAAGGTGTAGCTTATTGCTCCTAGGCTACAGGTCTGTATAGTGTGTTACTGTACGGAATGCCATAGGCAGCTGTAACACAATGGTAAGTTTTTGTGTATCTAATTATATATAAACACAGAAAAGTTACAGTAAAAAAGGATAAAAAATGATACGCCTATATAGGGCAGTTACCCTGAAAGGAGTTTGTGGGACTGGAAGTTGTTCTGGGTGAGTCAGTAAGTAGTGAGTGAATGTTAAGGCCTAGGATATTACTATACACTACTGTAGACATTATAAGCCCTGTACACTTAGGCTACACTAAATTTATAAAAAAATTTTCTTTCTTCAATAATAAACCCCAGCTTATGGTAACAATTTTACTTTATAAATTTTTATTTTCTTTTGAACTGTTTGACTGTTTTGTAATACCTAGCTTAAAACACAAATTATGCAGGTGTACAAAAGTATTTTATTTATGTCCTTATTCTATAAGACTTAAGCTTTTTTTCTATTGAAAACATTTTAAGGCCAGGCATGGTGGCTCACACCTGTAATCCTAGCACTATGGGAGGCCGAGGTCGGCGGATCATGAGGTCAGGAGATCGAGACCATCCTGGCTAACACAGTGAAACACCGTCTCTACTGAAAATACCAAAAATTAGCCGAGTGTGGTGGCACCCACCTGTAGTCCCAAGCTACTTGGGAGGCTGAGGCAGGAGAATCCCTTGAACCTGGGAGGCAGAGGTTGCAGTGAGCTAAAATTGCGCTACTGCACTCCAGCCTGGACAACAGAGCGAGACTCTGTCTCAGAAAAAAAAAAAAAGAAGAAAATATTTTAAATTTAGGTTTTCCTTTTTTTTGAGACAGGGTCTTGCTCTGTCACCCAGGCTGGAGTGCAGGGGCATGATCACGGCTCACTGCAGTCTTGACATCCCTGGCTTAAGCAATCCTTCAGCTGTAGCCTTCTGAATAGCTGCGACTCCAGGTTGGCGCCACTGTGCCCAGTTAGTTTTTTGATTTTTAGTAGGGATGAGGTATCATTATGTTGCCCAGGCTGGTCTTGAACTCCTGGGCTCAAGTGATCCTCTCGCCTTGGCCTCCCAAAGTGCTGGGATTGCAGGCGTGAGCCACTACACGTGGCCCTATTTTTGTTTTTACTTTTTAAGCTTTTTCATTAAAAATGAAGATACAAACCTACACATTAGCACATACATTAGCCTAGACCTACACAGGGTCAGGATCATCAATATCACTGTCTCCCCTCTCCACGTTTTTTCTCATTGGAGAGTCTTCGAGAGCAATAACATGCATGAAGTTGTCATCTTCTGTGATAACAATGCCTTCTTCTAGAATACTTCCGGAATGATCTGCTGAGGCTGTTTCACAATGAACTTTTTTTTTTATTAGTAGAAGGAGTACACTATAAAATAACAATTAAGAAGTCACAGTATCGTAAATGCATAAACCAGTATCGTAGTCATTTATTATCATTATTAACTATTATGCACTGTGCATAATTGCATATGCTATATTTTCATACGACTGGTGGTACAGTAGGTTTGTTTACCCCAGTATCACCACAAACAGGTGAGTAATGTGTTATGCTAAGATGTTAGGATGGCTACGAAGTCATTAGGTGATAGGAATTTTTCAGCTGTATTATAATCTTAAGGAACAGACATCATTGTATATGTGGTCTGTCTTTGACCAAAATGTCCTTGTGTAGTGCATGACTATATATAGTTTTGAATTTTGGAGGAAATCTATCCAGATTTGTACCTGCAGGTATCAGAAAGTTTCATAGCATCTTTGGCTTTGTGAACATTCTCTTTCCATGGAAGTTATGTTCTCAAACTTGTATTCCAAGAGTCAAACAGGTGAAGCTATCTATTGGACATTCAAACTTATTTGTTAAAATGCAAGTTATTTTATTCTGTAAGGATCTAAAGTAGTAGTTCATTAGTTTCCTTTAGGGATACAAATACAAATAGAAATGGAATTAATTTTTTCTCATTGCTTTTTTTCTGCTGTGGGCATAAAAATATTATGTCTAACAAATATATACTGACAGTATGATTGCCTGGGTTGGAATCCTAGGTTCGCTACTTATTATTAGCTATGAGATTTAGGGAAAATTACTGATTCTTATTAAAACTTTTTCTCATCTGTACAATGGGTTCACTAGTAGTGATACCTTACAGTTACTATGAAGATTAGATGAGGCACAGTTCGAGTAAATTTAAGAATTCAAGTAAATCTATGAATTCAAGTAAATTTACTCTATAAAGAGTTATTTTCAGTAGTCTATGTGCAAAAAATATATAGTTTTTCAGCTTAAGTTTCAGGAATCTTTTGGCAATTTATTTTCAGTTTACTTAGCAACTTGTTCCTGAGACAGCAAATAGAATGAGAATAATTGAGTGAAAATTAAATGAGATTTTAATGATTTTCTTCAGGTTTCAAATGTGTTAAGCCTATTTTCCAAGAAAAAAATAAGACAACAGTAATTTACTAGTTGTTGGTGTTTACTAATAAACGTATTTGCAGTCTTTCTCAGACACTCAATACATTTTCCAGGCCAGTGATTCCAAAACTTACCTCATCCTAAGAATCATCTGGGGTGCTTCTTTAAAGTACAGATTTCTGGGCCCTACCATAGTCTTTCGAGGTGGGGACCAGTATTTTATACTATCTAGGTAAATTTTGTGGTCTAAGAGGGTTGAAAACACAGTTCTGGGGAAACAACAGTGAATGTGGCAGACATGGTTTCTGCCCCCATTACTTTTATAGTGTCTTAGTTCTTCTTTTGAGTCATTAAAAATAAATTCGTTTTTCTTTCTTTCTTTTTTTTTTTTTGAGACGGAATCTCGTTCTGTCGCCCAGGCTGGAGTGCAGTGGCGCGATCTCGGCTCACTGCAAGCTTCGCCTCCTGGGTTCACGGCATTCTCCTGCCTCAGCCTCCCGAGTAGCTGGGACTACAGGCATCTGCCACCACGCCCGGCCAATCTTTTTTGTATTTTATTAGTAGAGATAGGGTTTCACCATGTTAGCCAGGATCGTCTCGATCTCCTGACCTCGTGATCCGCTTGCCTCGGCCTCCCAAAGTGCTGGGATTACAGGCGTGAGCCACTGCGCCCAGCCTTTTTTTTTTTTTTTTTTTTTTTGAAACAAGGAGGAAAAGGAAAGTTTATAGTTATAGAAATATTCTTTGTAGTTAAGATGTGAAAGTGGGCTTTATTGTTAAATAAGCTATTTTTTAAAAAAATTACTATTTGCTAAAGAAACATAAATCTGAAATCTTGCAGCCTGATTTTAGCTGTTCTGCTGATTTAGGAAAAGGTCCTTTGGGGAAGCAAATCATTTTGGTTGGTTGGGTACAGGTTTTGCAAAGTTAGCATCAGGGGAACAAAAATGTCTGGGTGATACCAAATATACAAATGTTGTACGTGGTTCCAAATATGGAAATGGTTTTGTCTAAAGCAGCCACTGAAGAGAAATTATCTAAATATTAGCCCCTTTAGGAAAGTGGAATGTGTTGTCTGATTTGGCTCTCAGGCTTAGTATGAAAGTTTGTGCAAAAGTACAGCTTACAAAATGCTATTTGTTTTATTAAAAGGATTGATAGGAAGTTGACATACTTAGTTAATTTAAATTTGGAAGGAGCTCAGCAAACATCTTTCTAGTTGTATTTTATGTCTCCCTCCACCTTCTTTTTTTTTTTTAATCAAATGGGGAAACTGAAGCCTAAGAAAGGATATATGGTTGCATAGCCCACCTGGACAGCTCCAGTCTCTTTTTTTGTGTGTAAATCCCATTCAGAAATTAAATTTCAAAATTAATTTTCAATTACATTTTGATTACCTGTTGACTAAATACATTTTTTTTTACTGTAATGCAACTGGGTTGTAACTCAAACTCATGCATAAGATGAAAAAACTACAATATTAAAAATCATTTTGATCTACTTAGAACAATTTTCTCTTTATATTTTATTTTCTAGGGTGCTAGCTTACGATAAAAAGCATCTTTGAATATTCAATAATGATATTTTTCCTGATATTGTATTTGCCACATCTTTATTTTTTATTGATGATATATAAGCAATGACATAGTATTTGGTTTTTGAGGTATAATCAGATGTCAACTAGGAAGCCTAAATGAATTGTATTGTTGATGCAGTGAAATGATTTGTAGGATAACTTATTTTATAGTATTTTTATTTTTCATATTTATTTTTAAAGAAATATAGATTATTTACATGTACAAACAAATATATATATTCTCTACAAAAAGATAAGAAAATTTAAAATTTAACAGACTTTATCAGAAATGTTTGGAGTGTTAGGTTTTCTTTTCATTTACTAAGTTGGAATATGTAAAAAAAAAAAGAATTTTGAGATGAGGACAAGTGATTGTATACCTCACTCAGTTTTTTTAGAACACAAATATGATAGTGGTTATATCATTGAAAATCAATGAAGCCTCCATCAATATGGTGCAGTGCCTCTGCACCACTGATTTATATATATTTAATGAACTTGCTGTTCTAATTTCAGGTAACTGAAGCAAACTGCATCTAGCACTAACTGGTTTACTTATAAACAATTCAGCTCATTAAAATATAAATATCTTGAAATTTACCAATATTAGATATAATTTCTTTATAAATAGTTCTACTGTGTTTACTTCCTGGTGTTAACTGACATGTTTCTAAAAAAATCATCATATTTTGGTACTGTTTCAGATAATGTTACCAAAATATGTTGTTTTATTTGATCTTATTTCTTGCTACTGATCTAGAATGGATTTGGAATAGAAGATATGGGACAAAAAAGCTTTCAAAAGTGATGGGATTTATGAAGTATGACATGCCAGATGCTGTATTTTTGAGATCTATTGGAGCATAAGTGAGGACCAGTTAAGGATCTATTTCTATATTCTTTGGGATTAGGAATATAGTTTTTAATATTTGCATTTTTTAAAAAATGTATTTTAAAATAGATTTATTTTAAGCATGTCTATTATGTTTTATTGAAAAAATGCCACAAGATAATATTAAAAAATGTTTTGACAAAAGAAAAAAATTATACATAATACTTTCACAGAGGAGTTCTTTTAATTTTTATCTTCTTATTTGTATGTGTGTGTGCTGTGTAGTCTCAGCTGCTCTGGAGGCTGGGGTAGGAGGATTGCTTGAGCCCAGGGGGTCAAGGCTGCAGTGAGCTATGAGTGTGCCACTATATTCCAGCCTGGGTGACAGAGTGAGGCTCTGTCTCAAAGCAAACAAACAAAAAACACTTTGGAGAATGCTGTTTTAAGTTTTGACTCAGTAACTAATTTTGTAAGAAATTTCATATTACTCTACCATTGTACTACTTATTATTATTATTTTTTGAGATGGAGTCTCACTCTGTTGCCCAGGCTAGAGTGCAGTGGTGTGATCTTGGCTCACTGCAACCTCTGCCTCCTGGGTTGGAGCAGTTCTCCTGCCTCAGCTTCCCGAGTAGCTGGGATTACAGGTACGCACCACCATGCCCGACTAATTTTTGTATTTTTAGTAGAGACAGGGTTTTGCCATGTTGGCCAGGCTAGTCTTGAACTCCTGACCTCAGGTGACCCACCCACCTTGGCCTCCCAGAGTGCTGGGATTACAGGCGTGAGCCACCGCACCTGGCTTGCACTAGTTATTTATTGCTGTCTAACAAATTATCCTAAAACTAAATGGCTTAAAATAACAAACATTTATTTTCTCACGGTTCTTGTGCATCAGGAATTTGGGCATGGCTGAGCTGGGTAGTTTTGGCTCAGGGTGTCTCATGAGATTGCAATCAAGTTTCAGCTGGGGCTCTATTCATTTGAAGGCTTGACTGGAGTTGGAGGATAAACAGTTGACCATTAAACAACATGAGTTTGAAGTGTGTGTCCACTTATATGTGGATTTCAAAAAACAAAACAAATAAGAATTGAAAATACAGTATTCACAGTATGCAAAACCCCATGTATATGGAGGGCTGACTGTATTAAGCTCACTCATGTGGTTTTTGTCAGGAGTCCTCAGTTCTTTACTGTTATTTTTTGGCTAGAGGTGTCAGTTCTTTGTCACATGGGCCTCTCCTAAGGATTTCTTCAGTGTTCGCACAACATAGTAGCTTTCTTCTCCTCAGGTGGATGATTCAAGAGAGAGACAAACAGAAGCCACGATGTCTTCTATGAACATCATTCAGACACCATCGTTTCTGCTGCATTCTGTTTGTTCAGAGTCCTAAATACAGCTCACATTCAGAGGAAGGGGAATTGGGCTTCCCCTTTTGATGAAAGAAGTATAAAGAATTTGTGGCCATATGTAAAACCACACCAACCACATATGTATATTTATCACTGGAATACCTTGAATCCAAGAGGGCTCCCAGTGATTTTTGTCTCCTACTTTTTATGTCCTTGCTTAGTTTCTCCCTGATTGTATCAGGGTTGCTTGTATAACCAATCGAATATGGTAGAAGTTTCTCATTTCCAAGGCTAGGTCTTTAACAAAGACTTTGTGGCTTTCCATGTGGTTACTCTCTATGTTCTTGGGCAACTTGCTGTCATGAAAGACAGTTTATGTGTCGTCAGCAGCCTTATGAAGTTCCGTGTGGTTAAGAACTGAGACCTTCTACTAACCGCCAAGTCAGTGAGCCATCTTAGTCTTCAGTCCCAGTCCTGTCTTCAGATGACTGCAGCCCCAGCTGATATCTTGACAAATAAGCTGCTCCTGGATTCCTGACACTGAGAAATTTTGTGAGATAATAAATTGTTTATTGTTTTAAGCTGTCAAGCTTGGTGGTGTTTTGTTATGCAGCAACAGATAACTAATAGAATCCCTTCATCTTTATTAAAACAAAAGGCACATTGCCAAAAGCTGTACACATATTAGGGATTTTATTTTTTTTTTAATAATAGGGAGAAATTTCTTCTTTTTTTTTTTTTTTTTTGAGACCGAGTCTCGCTCTGTCGCCCAAGCTGGAGTTGGAGTGCAGTGGCACGATCTTGGCTCACTGCAACCTCCGCCTCCCAGGTTCAAGCGATTCTGCTGTCTCGCTCTCCTGAGTAGCTGGGACTACAGGCGTGTGCCACCACACCTGGTTGATTTTTTTTTTATTTTTAGTAGAGACGGGGTTTCACCGTGTTAGCCACGATGGTCTCGATCTCCTGACCTTGTGATCTGCCCGCCTCGGCCTCCCAAAGTGCTGGGATTATAGGCGTGAGCCACCGCGCCTGGCAATAGGGAGAAATTTCTAAGGGCGCATGTTCAACAAGCCATTGTCATTAGAGAAGTGGCTTTTGTTCAGAGGCATATGAACTACTTTTATTCAGAAGTAATCAAGGGGGAATCTAGTAGTATTGTAAAGGTAAACATTTTAATATCATGTAAGATGTGATAATAATTTAGTGTTTTTAGTGAGAATCCTGTAAGCTTCCTGTCATTGACTAAGGTCTGGATTACATTCTATAACGCATGAAGTAGCAATTTGAGAAACTAATTCTTTATAAAAATACTTTCACCTTGTTAATAGATTTGTTTCTGTAAGTAAGAAATACAGTGGAGTTGAATCTTATGTGGAATTTGTATATACGTATTTTTTTTTTCCAGAGACAAAATCTCACTCTGTTGCCTGGGCTAGAGTGCAGTGGCATGATCACGGCTCACTGTAACTTCAAACCTCTGGGCTCAGGAACCCTTCTGCCTCAACCTCCCAAGTAGCTAGGACTATAGGTGTGTGCCACCATGCCTACCTAATTTTTTTTTTTTTAGTTGCCCAGGCTGGAATGCAGTGAAGTGATCTCAGCTCACTGCAACCTCTGCCTCCCAGGTTCAAGTGATTCTTCTGCCTCAGCCTCCAGAATAGCTGGGACTGCAGGCACGTGCCACCACACCTGGCTACTTTTTGTATTTTTAGTGGAGACGGGGTTTCACCATGTTGGCCAGGATGTTCTTGATCTCCTGACCTCATGATCCACCCGCCCTGGCCTCCCAAAGTGCTGGTATTACAGGCGTGAGCCACTGTGCCTGGCCTAATTTTTTATTTTTTGTAGAGACAGGGTCAGGCTTTGTTGTCCATACTGGTCTTGAACTCTTAGGCTCAAGCCATCCTCCTGCCTCGTCCTCCCAAAGTGTTGGGATTGTAGGCTAGTCACTGCACACAGCCTGGAATTTGTATTCTAAAGTCATGTAAAGCAGAAAATATAGTGAAGATTACCCTTAATATTAAGGATCAGAAATTGTCCATATGGGTAAATAATTTTTCATTAAACCTAGCGCAGCCAGTTTTCCTTCCAGCATAGTAATAAATCAGTATTCCTCACCTGAACAGCAGATGAAGTAATTGGCTCTTGTTTTGGCATTATACTGAAAAGACTTACCTTTAAACACTGTCATATATAGTCCAATAAGATGCTTGTCCTAGGAGAGGCATTGAAACTGAGTGCAACAGAGGGAACAGCAGAGTGACATCTCTCATTTTATGATTACTCTGGGGTATAGAGATAGTCACTGAGAGGAGAGGCTGGGGAAATGGGACCGCTTTCTAAAAATGTATCTCTGTCTCTTTTTGCTGAACATATATAAGTGAATTTGTGTAAGTATGCACATGATGTGATGCCATTGTGTAATGCTTCTGAAACGTAAATACTTGTCTTTTTTTGGGAAATGTAGACTTTTTATTTCTTTCATTATGATGCTTAGATTATTTGATAGCCTATTTAATGGACTATGGGATAAGAAAGATTGAGTTTTGTTAACTTACATATAGCACAATGTGGGAACCTCTGTTCATAACGAGCTGTCTATGTCATTAAGGAAAGTTTCAGTGATAGTACACAACCATACACATTTGTTGAACATATGCATTAAAGACAGAGTTATATTGAAAAAAGTTTAGAATAGAACTTCTGCATTTTGGAGTATGCTACACTTGTCTGGAAAAGTTACTGTCAGATAATGTTTTGTTACTCTTGGAACATGCGTTATTGTACATGAAATTCTGAACTTTTATAGAGTATGAGCTAAGAAGTGCTTTTCCCATTACTAAGGAGGCTGAATATTCAAGAGTGATCATGGAAGAATTTTAAAAAATAGTATATTTTTATACTTCACAGTGTCTTATGGATTGCTTACCATTTAACAGTTAAGCTGGAGGATGGAAAAATCTTGATGTAAGTGGTAGGAACTTCTGCCAACTGGAAATCAATTAAAATGAAAATAAAGCAAGTATAAAGTTTTAGTGTTACTGGGAAGATACCATTTGACTCACAAAGGTGTCATTCATGTGCTCTTTCTGGCTATATACCTGTGGCCTAAAGCTGTGGTCTTTTGGGGATTTAATTATTAATACAGAAATGTGTTTTACAAAATAGAGCCATGTCTATTTTGATGCCATATAGTTTCTTTTTAAAATGTATAAATGCCCTTGCGTTTTTTTGGGCAAAATCAATCATGCTGTCTTGTATTTGGAGGTAAATGACAACAGGATATTCACTTCCAGTTTAAGTAGTAGCCTACAGTTTCTCTTGAATTTAGTTTTTGGCTTGGTTAAACCATTAGTGTATTTGACCTGGACTAGAACTTGATTTTAAGATGTCATCAGCTGTGAGTTCCCAAGTGACTGGCTCTCACATTTCACTGAGAGAGAACAGGCTATTTGACTTGTTAGTTTGAAGAAATCATATGCAACTTTCTGGTACTGCAGAAGTTGTTCAGAAACATAACACAGAGTACTAAGAAGCTAAAAATTTCCTGTTTAAAACTAACGGTGTATGGAGTAATTTATTTTGTGGAATCTGGAGGGATTGGTGTTTGAGATGGAAATACATACTGATCTGACAGTTTCTTACTCTTATTTACCTCTTTCCTCAGTTTTTGGTGATAATTCCAAGTTATATTAATATATAGACTGTATCAAGCCACTATGAAAATTTTATCTAAATGCAGTTCCAGATTTTGCAGTATTTTAGTGCATTTTTTTTTATTGTCCACACACACCCACACACAGGCTAGAATGTTTGACATTTTCTGGTCATCAATTGAGACACTGAAATGTCTTGTTTGATAAAGTTATATTTTGTTTCAAAGATATTTTTAATAGACTGTTCCTAAGCATTTGAACCAAACAGCAGCTATGAGCTTAGGGCTTTAGGGCAAGATTTCCTAGAATATCATTCATGTTACTCCTAGTTTACATCAGAATATAGGAGACAAACTATAATTTAGTTTCAGTTAATACTTTCCAAATTTTTACCCCTGTGGCATTTGTCTGAGAAATACTGATGAGTCACAGAGATTCCCTTTCTGTCCTTAACTAGAACATATGTAGAATAGGAAATAGGAGAAAACTGTTCATGCATTTCCGTGCTTTTAGGTTTTTTTCTGCTCTTGGCAGTGTATTGATTCTGATGCTTTACTTATTTTGTAATTTTTATTTTATGACTTCCTGTGTACAAGGAGTTGATGATGCAAAGTTGAATCAGAGGTAATTTTTGCCCTGAGGTCTCATTGCTAAGTATGGAAGATAGACAAACAAAATGTTACAATACACTACAATAATTGTTATGATGAGTGTTGTTGGAACCATCTAAGGAGCATAATTTAGATGGTAGAGGGCAGTGGGACCAACAAATATACCAGATATTCAAATAAGAAATCTGAGGTCATACTATATGTACTAGGCTTATTTCTAAGCCCTACGAAGTTGTGCCCATAACTGTCTCCTTAATAACTTCCAAATTACAGATTTTATCCTATTCCCCTTGTAGTCTATGTCTTCCTTATCTCTACTTGGACTTTTTTTTTTTTTTCTTTTTGAGGTAGGGTTTTGCTTTGTTGCCCAGGTGAGAGTGCAGTGGCAAGATCATGGCTTCTTGCAGCCTTGACTTCAGGGCTCAAGCAATCCTCTCATGTCAGCCTCCTCAGTAGCAGGAACTACAAGTGTGTGCCACTACACCTGGCTAATTTATCTTTTTGTAGAGACAGAGTCTTACTGTGTTGCCCAGGTTGGTCTCGAACTCCTGGGCTCAAGTGATCCTCCCACCTCAGCCTCCCAAAGTGCTGGGATTACAGGTGTGAGCCACGTTGCCTGGTCCACTTGGACTATTTCAACTGTCTCCTGGCCGAGGACTGCTTCAAGCTTAATTAACATGGATACTGCTTACTACCGCCCACTCCTCCCAACCCTCCAAAAAAAAACCCCCAAATTCAGAAAACAAAACAAAAAATAGTCTTCCCCTTTTAACCATGATACTTCCTGCTTAAACTTCTTTGGTGGTTTCTTGTGTCTTCCACCAATGCTTCTCACATTTTAAAAAGTAACATTAACAATGGAGGAAAACAAATTTGTACCCCTAGTTTGTCTGGAGGTGCAACTAGAAGTGTCGCTTTGAAAGCCCCTTTGAAGTTTTGGTTGACCTTAAAAATGCATGTAAGATTTTAATTTTTTAATATTTTCTGTTAGTATTAAAACAAAAAGTATATGCCTTCCTAATTTTTTATCTCATACCCCTAACCTTTGCATAAAATTGATGTTTTAGGAAGACGCACCACGTTTTCCTCTGGCTTTATGTAATCCCTGACACACAGACCCCACATCATCCTGTAGTTCAGTATTTTCAAACTGTGTTGCCTGAGAGATTTCAAACTGAAACTCTGAGAGATTGTTTGAGGCAGCTGCTCATTGTCATCCCTTAAACTAGAGCAGTCTCCATTTATCTGTTTACATATTAGGTTTCTGGGTAACATTTAGTATGAAGAAAGAGTTCTGTTATTAAAGAAATATAAGCCTGAAAAATGCTACTGTAATATATGCTAAAAATCCAAATTCCTTAGCTTATCATGTAAAGATTTTTCTGGTCTGGTCTCTGCCTATTTTACTTTTCTTTCTTCTCTCTCTCCTCAGCTTCCAGCACCTTTCCTAGAGATTGAAACTTGAAACCTGAGGGTGAAATTAATTTTGTTTGGCCCTGGAGTGTTGGCTTGCACAGCATTTAAATTAAAACAAAACAAAAAATGAATTAGTTGCCAACATGTAAAAATGAGGAGACATCATGTAAAAATTTGGATCTCTCAGTTTTGTTGAAAAACTGCTAGATCTGGTAACATTTTGGCTCCATATTCTCAACAGCATGGAGTTGATGAGTAGCCATCATTAACATGAGATGCATTCTTTAGTTGGCCAGTTTGATGAATGTTGGAAATTGTTGATGCTTTGAATAGAAGGTATACCAATAACCTTCTCAAAAGGAGACTTTTCCTGTTGTTGTTTAAAAAGTAACTTTCTACATGCCATACTATTTATTGCAGGTATACTGTACTTAATCTTTGCTTTGTAAGTGTTAGTTAGGCCTAAGTTAAAGAAATTAGACTTATAAGTAAAACTGCTTTATGCATAATATTTCTCTAGTGGATGATTTGTTAATAAAATCATATCTAGCCTTAGGTCAAATATTTATAATCATTCTATTATTTAAAAGAAATTTTTTTAAATTATAAGAACAGTTTTTACTTATTTAAAGTTCTGTTCTGCCCAGAGAGCATAGTATAATATGGAAGTAGGTCTTCTGATTAGAATTTATTTAAGTAGTAGAAAATTCAAGCCAGCTTGGGTAGGGAGAATATGAAGTGAGAGAAACTGAAATGTGAAAGATTAAAGTTGCAAACAGTTTTGGTACAATTAAATATATCTATTCCAAGTGGACAATATAAACTTATGCATTAATGAAATGATATGGTCATATTATTTGAAATTTGCAGAAATGGAATCATACTATACCTTTACCTTTTTTTTTCAGTTAGTGGTAGATTTTGAGTATCAGCATATGCTTTACCTCCTTTTTAGCAGGTAATATTTCTTTATATGGATATTGCTTCTGTTGATGGAAATTTAGAAATATGAAATTTTGATAGCTCTTTCTAATTTTTTTTTAAAGTGCACTGGTTAATTCCCTGCAACAGTGTACAAAAGTGCCTTTCCCCCACCACACTTGCGTAACATGCAGGATTTCATAAAGGCTCTATTAGTTTTAACTCACTGGGGTTACAATTAACACCTCACTGCCTTTCATATTTGTGTTTAGCAGCAAGTCTCCAATATGATTGTAAGAATACAGACATAAAGCATTTTTTTTCTTAATGTTTGTGCTTTAAGCAAACACACAGGTTAAAGTTTTCATTTAACATTATTTAACTTTCTGAGCAATAAAAGTCTGAAAGAAAATTTAGAAATACAATTGTATGAAATAGCTATTGTTTGTAAGCACTTTATCCACCTCTTATTTCTGTAAAAGAGTCATATTACAATTACTATGAGATCTATTCTTTGGGCAGCTGGAAAGCAGGACAAGGAAAAATCGTTCTCCTCTTGTCTGGTAGAAAGTACATTGTGCCCTCTGGTACCAGACTTGGGCTTATTCAAAGGCTAATGGATTCCACACAGGTGAGTCAGTCTTTTGTGTTCTTACCAGGTGCATTATTGATTTTCATGATGGTAGCCTAGGTGTTCTCATTCAACAGCAGCTTTAGCAAAGTCTCCAAAATATCACAAAGAAAACCAAAGATTTTGCACATTTTGGGTGCAAGAAAATGAATTTTTCTCAACTCTTTTGGCCATTGTACTTTTTTTCTTGCTAGACGCTTATGAATAACTCCTTTGGAAAATGTATTAATATGTAATGTGTTTACTTCTTTGTTTTTGGGCATGGATTGTGTGTCATGATCTATTTATTTAATTTAGAGTGTGAAGCAACGTGTACTGGCTTGTGGTACTTTTTTTTGCCCACAGACTGAGTTAAGTTAGGGTTGGAAGGGTTCCCTGTTGTAGAAGGTTATCCACATACCAGATTCTAGGAATAGTCAAGTTCAGATAGTCATCTGGGGTCACCAATCATTTGATATTCACTTGGCCCTTAAATCACAATACCACAATACATTTGAGTTTTAACTAAGACAAACATTTCAGGGTAACCTTCAAGTAGGAACTCTTTGAACAGTGTTCTCTAAGTGAAAACTATAATTTACCTGAGAGCCCTTAATAATTGAGGAGAAGAAAGTGACTTTTAAAGTTTGGGATTATCTAATTTTCAGGTTTTCAAATTGTTTATTTTTCAATCCTTAGCACTAAGGTAGTAGCTTAAACTATGACAGCACTGAAAAATTTATGTTGATGCTTATTAAATTTAGATATTTTCAAAAAGTTGCAAAGCAGCTCTCTTTGTTTAGGTTATATTTCCTTTATTGCATGTTTCTTTTTAGGGTTATGTTTTCCTTTTACAGTCTTCACTGCTGCTTTTATTCAACAAATATTTGGGTAAGACTATGTGCCAAACATATTCATAGTTACAGAATGATCTTATCTTTTGCCCTAGTAATTAGGTTTCTTTCCTTATCAAGTGTAACACTAATTAAATGTGTTATGAGCTGCTTTCCCTTTCTTATATCTTGTTTTGTAAATAATGGTTTTGTTTAAATGTGTTATTTAGTTATTTAACCTATTTTGTGTGGTTTGACAGTTTTTAGCATATATAAATTAATGTCCCGGCTGTAAGTGGGATCAAACTATCTAGATCTGTGAACTGGTACGTTCTAATTCTAGTGCTTTATACATTGCAACATTAAAAAATCAGATATTCATTTTTTCTTTTTCCCATGTTTTACTGATTCTATTTTTCTTCAAGTTTCTTCCTTCTTTTCCTATTACATCAATCATCTGCTCTTTTAACACAGCAAATTGCTGCTTTGATTTGAGTCAGTGACTTGAAGTTTGGGACACCATAATCATCTCTCTTTGTTTAGAAATCTCATCCCAAAATCTCAGGAGGAAAAAACCCTAAAGAATTATTTGATGTATTTATTGCTTTCTGGGCAAGACTCAGCTTCATGAAAAAATTTTTAGGGAATTCTTTTCTGTAATATCTTATGATGGATTATAGGTGGTTTCAAATAGATTATCAGGAGAGTGAATGATGGGAAGTATGTAAAGACACTGTGGCCAGGCACAGTGGCTCACACCTGTAATCCCAGCAATTTAGGAGGTGGAGGTGGGAGGATCACCTGAGGTTAGGAGTTCGAGACCAGCCTGGCCCACTAATGTCATCTCTACTAAATGACATCTCTACTAAATGTCATCTCTACTAAAAATACAAAAATTAGCCAGGCATGGTGGTGGATGCCTGTAATTCCAGCTACCCGGGAGGCTGAGGCAGGAGAATCGCTTGAACTTGGGAGGCGGAGGCTGCAGTGAGCAGAGATCACACCTCTGCACTCCATTCTGGGCAACAGAGCGAGACTCTGTCTCAAAAAAAAAAAAAAAAAAAAGACATTGTGTGGTAAAATGATTATGATATTCTTTTTTTTTCCTTCCCTTACATTATGGTATTTTGTCAGTAATTTTTCTATATGCTAAACCAAAAACTAAATTGTGACTACCACTTGGCCGGAAATTTTTACTGAGCTCAGTGGTAAATTTATATAAACAAAATAAAGAAAACATAATTTCTTGTAGCTCAGTTTGCAGTTTGGTTTATCAGTTGTTGTACAGAGATAGCTTATTATCATGTATGGACTTTAAAGCCAAAAGGAACCTTATAAATCATCTAGTACAACTTCTTAATTTTAATAGATAAAAGAATATATTTTTCTTTTAAAGCTGTTTCAGCATTGAAACACTGCAGATTCATACCTGGCTTTTTCTCCAGTTAAACTAAATTAGGGAAGTTAAGAAAAAAGTCATGCGTAGGGAGTTAATTTACACAATTTTCATTGGTGCTAATGGAAATTTCTTACTGAGATTCAAAATGATCACACTTATCTTTATCATTTATCTTTAATTAATTTATAGATGAAATGGCCATTGCTGCATTGCTGGTTAGGACTTTTTAATAAATGCAGCAGCTACAACCTATATCATTTTAAATGAATAATTAAAGTGGAGTGGTTTATTATTTTCCAGCATAGGTACATATAATAATTCCTTTGAATCATATGCTCTTTATGCTGGAAGAGATCTCAGAGAATATCTAGTCCATATTTTTATTTTATAGATGAATAAAATAGGGTACAGAGTGATTAAGTGACTTGTCTAATTTTCCCTGACTAAAGCATTTTATGTATTGGACTCCATTGTAATTTAGTAAGGTTAGAGACCTTAATGTTCTTTCAGTTCAATTTTCACTCGGTTAAATCCCAGTTTATGAATGTGCTGTGTGTATCGTCTGCCTTCCTACTCTAGTGTAAGTCATCAAGCAGTGAAAACTCAGAATTTTTGGTGAGTAATAATTGAGCACAATTATTTCTCTAAACCTATCATTATCTTTAATTTGGAACTACAATGACCAGGAAGCAGTGTTAGTCTAAGCATAATTTAATAAATCCATATTAATCCACCTGGCGGAGTATAACATTTTAACATACCTTTTAGATCCACAGTGATGGAAAAATGATTAAATTACTTATTGTCAAAACAAAGGGCTGCTTTAGATATGGTTATTTAATAAACTGTTTTGCTTCATGTAAACTAGTTTTGCTTAAGCTTCAGAGATATAGTCACATGGATTTATCTTTCCATGACAATTGCTTACTGTCTGGGTTTATGTTTAATGCAGGTATTGGTGACAGTTTGTAATTCTTGAGTCATTGCCTAGCATGGAAAATAGTTGATTTTGCTAGCTATACACAGTACTGTCTTTTAATGATCACTTTTTAATGCGGTTAAGCCTGACTTAATTGTTCTCTTTTTAGAGTGTTATGTAATATTTGTTAGTGGTATGATATATCTGTTAAACTACTTATATATGTAAAGTGAAAAGTTTATGTGTACATGTTATTTTCTGCAATAATGTTGAAGCTCAAAAATAAAAGGGGTTATATACTTATGTACTTAAAATACATAATCCTGGTGTAGCCCTCTTTTTCTGGAAGATCAATGCCATTTTTCTTCAGTACATTCTTTCTTTTCTCTTGTTTATGATTTTGTGTCTGCTATACCAGTGACTGTTTTTGTCTATCAGATAGTGAAGCTAATTGTCTTAAAGCTTATCACAAACAGCCAGAAGTTAATGGGCTATTTGGGTTGGAACCCATACTTTTGGTCCCTTGTTTTACCTTAAGTATGAAGAAGACATTAAAGCATTAGAGTTGAATTGAAGAAAGTAGGGAAGATTTGAGACAGATTTAGATGGTAAATTGAGAGGATTTGGTGATTCTGTGGCTGTGAGGGTAAGAAGAAGCGGTCTAAGATAATTCTCACATTCTGGATTTTGATGCCCAAGTGAAGAATGTAATTTTCAAGATTCAGTGAAATCTCTTCTGGAACAAGGCAAGGAATGTGTATACGTAAATAAATAGGCAAATAAATAAATTAGCAAATGGTAGTAGCTGAAATGGTAGGTCTTTGGAGTCTGGCCTGATTATAAAAGGAAGTGTAAGTAGGAGTAAGCTGTAATTAGGAGAAAAAGGAAATATAAAGGATTGGAGATCTGGATGAGATCAAAGGGGCAGTGTGTATAATGAGGGACTGAGAGCTCCCAGTTCAGAAGGTTGTGACCAGAGTTTGGAATATAGGCCAGGCGCGGTTGCTCATGCTTGTAATCCCAGCACTTTGGGAGGCTGAGGCGGGTGGATCACCTGAGGTCAGGAGTTCGAGACCAGCCCGGCCAACATGGTGAAACCCCCGTTTCTACTAAAAATACAAAAATTAGCTGGGCTTGCGGCGCATGCCTGTAATTCCAGCTACTTGGGAGGCTGAGACATGAGAATCACTTGAACCTGGGAGGCGGAGGTTGCAGTGAGCCAAGATCGTGCCACTGCACTCCAGCTTGGGCAAGTGAGCCAAGATCGTGCCACTGCACTCCAGCTTGGGCAACAGAGACTCCATCTCAAACAAACGTCTCACTCATAAGTGGGAGTTGAATAATGAGAACACATGGACACAGGGAGGGAAACATCACACACTGGGGCCTGTCGGTGGGTTGGGGGCTAGTTGAGGGATAGCATTAGGAGAAATACCTGATGTAGATGACAGGTTGATGGGTGCAGCAAACCACCATGGCATGTGTATACTTATGTAACAAACCTGCACGTTCTGCACATGTATCCCAGAACTTAAAGTATAATTTAAAAAATTAAAAACAAAGTTTGGAATATAACTAAACAGTCTGATGCTATGTCTAGTGCTGGAGAAGCTAGTGACAAGAAAGCTGTATAACACACACAAAACATGTTTGGAAAATTAAAAAACAATAGAGCTTTCATAAGATTAAAATAATCATTGGAAAACAGAGGCCTACCCAGACTAGATTATTGATGATGGCTTCTATTTATGGTTAGACTGAATATAAAAATCTTATACCTCTAGGCAATCTAAGACATACAGTACTGTGTTAAAAATTTTGAGCTTTTATTTGTCATATGGTTGTGACTCTAGCAGAGGTTGGATATATTCTTTATTAAAGTGTAGAATCCTCAAAATCTGCCTCTATAAATTTAAAACCTATAATCTTAGAAATATATAAAATCTTGACTTATAAAATTAAATGTATAACTTAAAAATGATTAATTCTTTTAAAATGAAAATTTTAACTTTCTAATTTCTCTTTTAAGTGATTTTTAAGAAGATGATTTAGATAATGTAAAAGGATTGCATCTGTTAAATAACAAACTCCACTGGGTGCAGTGGCTTACACCTGTAATCTCAGCACTTTGGAGGCCTAGGCGGGTAGATCACAAGGTCAGGAGTTTGAGACCGGCTTGGCCAAGGTGGTGAAACCCTGTCTCTACTAAAAATACAAAAATTAGCCAGGCTTGGTGGTGGGCGCCCATAATCCCAGCTACTTGGGAGGCGTAGACAGAGAATTGCTTGAACCCGGGAGGCGGAGGTTATAATGAGTTGAGATAAAGCCACTGCACTCCAGCCTGGGTGACAGAGCGAGACTCTGTCAAAAAAAAAAAAAGAAAAAAAAGAAATACAAATTACTCCCCCTTACTCCTTTTTTGGGTATTCGTCTTGTTTTAAAAATCTTTTTGTGGCCTGGCGTGGTGGCTCAGGCCTGTAATCCCAGCACTTTGGGAGGCCAAGGCCGGTGGATCATGACGTCAGGAGATCGAGACCATCCTGGCCAACATGGTGAAACTCCATTTCTATTAAAAATACAAAAATTAGCTGGGTGTGGTGGCGCATGCCTGTAATCCCAGCTACTCGGGAGGCTGAGGCACGAGAATTGCTTGAACCCGGGAGGCAGAGGTTGCAGTGAGCTGATCGCGCCACTGCACTCCAGCCTGGCGACAGAGCAAGACTCCGTCTCAAAAAAAACAAAAATCTTTTTGAGAAACTTTTAGATATGGGACAATTAATGAATATCTAATACTATTCATTGTATGACTAGATTTCATTTTGGGGAGGCTTATTAATATAATTTAATTATTTTGAACAACAAGATGAATTGGGTAGGTGTTTGTTAGAACTTCAAATACATTATAGTTGAAAACTTGAAACAGTAATACAAATGCAAGAATAAATATTCTTTTAGAAATAGGAAATGGTTTCAGATAATATGGAGAAAATATAAGGAAACAATTCAATAATAAAAACTATTGTTTGTAAGTAAATCAAGTTTGAGAGTTTCTGCTTTAATAAGTTGTTAAGGTTTGGATTCAGAGATCTGTTTCTCTTATAGTAAACATTTTTAATATAGGAACAGCTCAGGGAAATGGTTTCCATATGCTTCTTGAGGTGTTAACAATACACTTTTGGATTGGAAATGCAATATAAACCTAAACTACATTCTGGAAGGCAAAGTGGAGGAGCATTTCAATGGTAATATGTACAAGAAACCCTTGTGCTTTGTAGATTTGTGACTTATGGTTTTGTGAGTTCCTGGAACATTCAGGTTACTCTGCAAACCTGTAGTCTAACATACCTTGCTTTGTCTGGCCAGCTTACTGCCTTAGTCTGGCTCAGTATTTCTTTTTACTACAGTTTGTCCATCTGGGATCTTTTTTGGATACTCTACACTTGTGGGGAGAATTGAGGCCAGTTTTGGGGCCTATTTTAAGGGACTTAAGATACATAGAGGATGGCTGAAGAAAGTAAATAAAATCCAAGTGGTAATTATATCTGTGAGACCCTTCCGGGTTTTCTAATTGATCTTGGAGGCAAGAACAGTTCAGTTTTTTTTTTAATTTAAATTTAAATTTTATTTATTTATTTATTTTGAGACGGAGACTTGCTCTGTTGCCCAGGCAAGAGTGCAATGGTGTGATCTTGGCTCATCGCAACCTCTGCCTGCTAGGTTCAAGTGATTCTTCTGCCTCAGCCTCCTGAGTAGCTGGGATTACAGGCGCATGCCACCACACTTGGCTATTTTTTTTGTTTGTTTTGAGATGGAGTCTCACTCTGTCGCCAGGCTGGAGAGTAGTGGCACAATCTCAGCTCACTGCAACCTCCGCTCCCTGGTTCAAGTGATTCCCTTGCCTCAGCCTCCCAAGTAGCTGGGACTATAGGCACACGCCACCACACCCAGCTAATTTTTTTTGTGTTTTAGTAGAGACGGGGTTTCACCATGTTGGTCAGATTGGTCTCGATCTCCTGAACTTATGATCTGCCTGCCTCGGCCTCCCAAAGTGCTGGGATTACAGGCGTGAGCCACCATGACTGGCCTTATTTTTTGTATTTTTAGTACAGTCAGTGTTTCGCCACATTGGCCAGGATGGTTTCGAACTCCTGACCTCAGGTGATCCACCTGCTTCGACCTCCCAAAGTGCTGGGTTTATAGGCGTGAGCCACCGCGCCTGGCCCAGTTTAGTTTTTTGAATTATGGCTAACTTCATTCCTGCTTGAGGTTGAGTGTATAATATTATTGTATTACTCATTTATTAAGAGCTCCGGAATGTGTCTGCTCATAAATAGGTGGTTGTCTTCAATAGTATTTGCAATTTTGAAGAGTTACATGTTTAATAACTTTCTCCCTGGTTGACTTTTAAAGGTCTTGGTTGACTTCTTAAAAGTTTTGTTTTGGTTTTAAATGATATGTTCTACAGAAACACAAGGACAAATTACAAAGGTTTTAGGAGTTATATCTCTGAACAGGATTTTTCTAACCTTTCTTTCAGGTAATATCAAAATCTTTCAAATGGAGGTGGAGAAGAGGGAGATGAGAATAACCTGGGAGGGTTTTAAAAATTACTACTACTTATACAGAAATGTTTACTGTGTCCTAGGCATAATGCTGAATGCTCTTTATTCGTTATCTCATTTAATCTTTATAATAACTCTAATTGGTAGGTATTGTAAATATCCACTTTTTATGGATGAGGGAATTGAGGCTTAGAGATTCTAAGTAACTTGCCTAAGGAAACAAACTAGTAAATGGCTCAGCCTAGATTCAGCTAGGCCTCATTGATGACAAACCTTTGCTTCTGAATCACCATGCCATAATACACTTTGTATAAACCCTTTTTGTTTTTCTCCTTTATATCAGAATGTGGATGATGGCAACGCTATGTGCATTTTCAAAAAGTTACCCTACTCCTAAGATTATAATGTTGAGTTTACATTTTTAAGTTATTTTTTTGCATACAAAAAGTGTATATATAATATGTATAGTTTAATGAATAATGAAAACAAATCAAATGCTTGTGCACTAACCCCCTGGGTTGAGAAATAGGGTATTACTGGTAAGTTTGAACCCTCTATCTTTTTTCTATTATATTTTCTCCTCCTCCCATAGAAATGACTACTTCTTTGAATTTTGTCATTCTTTTTCTTTTCTTCATAGATTGGCCAGATATTGTTGGATCTCTAAACAGTATACTATTTAGTTGTGGATTCTATATAAGTGTATACATTATATATTTGTGTTCTTTTTTAAGATATATTTTAAAAAATTTGAAACAGGATCTTGCTGTTACCCAGGGTAGAGTGCAGTGGGACAACATAACTCACTGCAACTTTGTTCTCCTGGGCTCAAGTGATCTTCCTGCCTCAGCCTCCCATGTAGCTGGGACCACAGGCATATGCCATCAGGCCTGGCCAATTTTTTTATTTTATTTTATTTTTTTTCAGATATGGCGGTCTAACTTTGTTGCACAGGCTGATCTTGAACTCCTGGGCTCAAGTGAGCCTTCTGCTTTGACCTCCCTAAGTGTTGCGATTATAGGTGTGAGCCACTGCACCTGGCTAAGAATTATTTTACTGTGGTAAAAAACACACAACATGAAATTTACCATTTTAACTGCTTTAAAAATTAAAAAAAAAATTTGTTTTTTTTAGAGACAGGGCCTTACTCCGTTGCCCGACTGGAGTGCAGTGGCACCATCAAGGCTCACTGCAACCTTGAATTCCTGGGGTCAAATGATCCTCCCGTCTCAGCCTTCTGAGTAGCTAGGACTGCAGGCACATACATGGCTAGTTTTTAAAATGTGTTTTTAAAATGTTTTTTTTGTAGAGACAGAGTCTTGATATGTTGCCCAGGCTAGTCTTGAACTCCTGAGGTCAAGCAATCCTCCTTCCTTGGCCTCCCAAAGCACTGGGGTTATAGGAGTGAGGCACCATTCCTGGCCACCATCTTTACCTTTATTTTTAAGTGTATAGTTCAGTAGTAAGTATATTTACATTGTTGTGCAATGAATCTCTAGAACTTTTTCATCTTGTAAAACTGAAATTCTATACCCATTAAACTAATTTTCCCTTCTTTTCTGCCCTTTGCCTTTGACAATCACTTTTTAACTTTCTGTTTCTGTGATTTTGACTGGATACTTCATACAAGTGGAATTATGTAGTATTTGTCTTTTTGTGACTGCCTTATTCACTTTGCATAATATTCTTGAGGTTCATCCATGTTTTAGCATGTGACAGGATTTCCTTTTTTAAAAGGTGCATAATATTTCATTATATATATATAGTATCCTTATCTATTCATCCATCAGTGGATATTTGGGTTGCTTCTGCCTCTTGACTGTTGTGTTAATGCTCCAATGAACATGGGTATGCAAATATCTCTTTGAGATCCTGCTTTGAATTCTTTGGAATATTTACCCAGAGGTGCTGGATCATATGGTAGTTTTATTTTAAAGTTTTTTTTAGGAATCTTTACACTGTTTTCCATAATGATTGCACCATTTTATATTCCCACCAAAATGCACAAGAGTTCTTAATTTATATATTTGTTATTTTCATATATTCTGTTCCTTTCACATATTCTTTTCAAATATTCTGTTCTGCTCAAATATGTTTTGAAATATTAACCCAGCAGTGGGATTGTGGGATCATATGGTAGTTTTATTTTCAATTTTTTTAGGAATCTTCATACTGCTTTCCAAAATGGTTGCGTTATTTTATATTTCTACCAAAAGGCACAAGGGTTCTTAATTTGTATATTTGTTCTTTTCAACTTACTTTGTTCATTCAGCATTGTGTTTATGAGTTATATTTTTGATATTCACAATGTTAATGCACATAGTTGTAATTTGTTCATTTCCACTGTTATATAGTATTCCATTGTAGGACTGTACTGCATTTTATTTATCCATTCTGCTGTTAATGGACATAGGTATTGTTTCCAAATTTCTTTTTTGCTATAGGAAATTATACTGCTGTAACATTCTTGTATATGTCCACTGGTGTATATGAGTTATGGTTTCTCTAGTATATATACGTAGAATAAAACTATTAGGTAATAAGGCATGTCCATTTTTAACTTTACTAGGAAATGCCGTTTTGTTCTTTAAAGAGGTTGTACAGTTTACACTCCTATCAGCAGTATGGAGGGTTTTTTTGTTTGTTTGTTTTGTTTTTTACATCTTTGCCAGCATTTGGTATTGTCAGACTTTAAAATTAAAAAAAAAATTCAGATGTGAAGTGGCATTTTACTGTGGTTTTAAAATGCATTTCCCTGATTGTTTCCCCTTTTCATGCTTTTTGGTAGTTTCTGTTTCCTCTTCTGTTAATGCCTGTATAAGGTGAGAATTTGTCCACTTTTTACTCTCCCTTCTGTTACTTCTTTTTCACGAATTTATGGTAGTGGCTCATACATTAGTTTGCCTGCTTTTGCCTTTGTCCCTATAGTCTGCTTTCACACACAGTGGCCAAGAATGAGCCTTAAAATAAGTAATTTATGTTCTGCCACTTCTGTATTCTAAACTCTGTAGTGGCTCCTCATTTCATGCAGAGTAGAAGCCAAAGTCCTTATAGCGTCCCTTCTGTCTTACATGATCATTCTCCAGCTTCTCTGATCTTATTACAATCCTTGCCTACCTCACTCTCTCTACTATCCTGAGCACTTTTCACCCTGCCCTACATTTTCTTCTTTCCCTAGCTCTTCTCTTCTAACACTACGTAATTTATCTGTCCATGTTAGTATATAGGCTCTATGAGGGCAGGGATCATTGTTTTGCTTATTGAAGTATTCCTAATGCCTCAAACAGTGCCTGCTACATGATGGGCACCTAATGAATATTTATTGAATTGCTTTGAATTCGGTGAAAAAGTGTCCATTTTCTATGATGGGTAAATTTTCTTTGAAGGTATTTTAGTTCTCTGAATAATAGGAGTTTTCTGTAAAACTAAACAATAATGGAGAGCAATTTTATGCTTGCTTTCAGTTGTACTGGAAGGTTTCATTTTCCCTTGTTGAACACTTGTTTAGATGAATTAAAGAGCGCATTTTTAAGGGCTCTAAGATTATTTTTGATTATGAGTTTTATTACAGGGTAATCACTAGGGAATTTAAAATTAAGATCAAAACCATACTCAGGAGGCTGAGGCAGGAGCATTGCTTGAGGCTAGGAGCTCAAGGCTGCATTGTGCTCTGATTGCACCACTGCCTCCAGACTGGGCAACGGAGTGAGACCCCCACATCTCTAAAGAAATTGACATAAATAAATTAAAAGATGATGAATTGGCCGGGTGCGGTGGCTTATGCCTGTAATCCCAGCACTTTGGGAGGCGGAGGCAGGTGGATCACCTGAGGTCAGGAGTTTGAGACCAGCCTGACCAACATGGTAAAACCCTGTCTCTACTAAAAATACATAAATTAGCCCGGTGTGGTGGCAGGTGCCTGTACTCTACTACTGTAATCAGCTACTCTGGAGGCTGACACAGGAGAATTGCTTGAACCAGGAGGCGGAGGTTACAGTGAGCCAAGATTTGTGCCATTGCACACCAGCCTGGACAAGAGTGAAACTCCCCATTTCAAAAAAAAAAAAAAGCCAATTCTTGGCTTTCCAAAAAAAAATCAAAATCAGATATTTAGATTAGAAACTCAGGTTGCATTAGTGGTTTCATCACAGGATAACCTCATTTCTTGTTAATCACAAAGTATATAATCTTATACGTCTAAAAGTAAAAAGCTAGTCTGAGATTTCTTGATTGTGTTGTAGTGAAAGAGGAAGAGTTCCAGAGTGCTAGGTAGAAATGAAGAGTAATCCCAAGGCTTTGAGGTGTCTGAATAAGCAAATGAAGTAAGGAAGGCAAAGTCCAAGAGCTGCTGTTTTTTTTTTTTAATTTTTTAAAACATTTATTTATTTATTTATTTATTTATTTATTTATTTGAGACAGAGTCTCTCTCTGTCGCCGGGTTGGAGTGCAGTGGCGTGATCTCGGCTCACTGACTGCAACCTCTGACTCCCTGGTTCAAGCGATTCTCCTACCTCAGCCTCCTGAGTAGCTGGGATTACAGGCACACGCCACCACATCCAGCTAATTTTTGTATTTTTAGTAGAGATGGGGGTTTCACCATGTTGGCCAGGATGGTCTCGATCTCCTAACCTCGTGACCTGCCCGCCTTTGCCTCCCAAAGTGTTGGGATTACAGGCGTGAGCCACCACGCCTGGCCTGTTTTTTATTTTAATAAGTTGAAATTGTGATAGACTGTAGAGAAACTTTGAGAGTTGGAGTTGTTATGTTTGATGTAGTGAGTGGAAGTATTTTACTAAGGTGTTACATTCATTCAACCACTATTTGCACCAAAACACAGGGCTTGAGATACCAATAATGAGCATAACAAATGTGATCACTGTGTTCATGGAATAATATATTTGGGGAGACAGATATTAAACACAAAAATTAAGAAATATAAGATTCTTGATTTTGATAAGTGGGCCATAAAAAGCAGGATATATATCAATTGGGGTTTGGTCAGGAAAGCAAAAACCACCCTAGATATTTCAAGCCATGAAGAATTTACTTCAGGCAATTACAGGCTTACAAACCTGTTAGGAAGGGCTAGACAGTAATGTAAGAGAAACTGCCCCATTCAGAAAGTCAGAAAGAACAGGAATTGTTGAAAAACTGCTGCTGCTGATTCCACTTGTCTCTTATGTTTGAAGCAGGTGGTTCACAGAAGAGTACCTGAAAGCTGTGAGTGAAACCTAATGTGTCATATGCTGATGCCCATGTGCTGTCCTTTGCTGTTGAAGGAACAGTAATGCTTCTGTTGTCTTTTTGCCTTCCAAAGCTTTTCAGATGTTTCTCAAGATGTTCTCAAGAGGTAGAAGCAAAACTGGAGCTTTGGTCTTAGGGATTTTGGAAAATGAATGTAGTTTCCAGATTTCTAGTCCCTGGGAAGAGCACAGAATGATGAAAATGGTTTTAAGTTGCCAAGAGACAATCTGGCATAATTAGCTATGAGAGAAAATAACAGGGTCATCAATTTTAGATTGGATGGTAAAAAAGTCCTCTTTAAGGAGGAGATATTGTCTGATGGATAAGATCTTTTAAAAGACAGATCAATTTCTAACAAGAATTTTGGCTGTTTTGTGGCACAAGTGGAGGAAGACTTAGGAGTAGGGATAATTTTTCCAGTAAGAGTCTTTCTAAAGAGGTGACATTTGATTTGATACTTGAGTGATGAGAGGAGGCAGCCATGGGAAGATTGGGAAGAACAGAATGTATGGCTGAGAAGACAAATGCAGTTGCCCTAAGGCTTGAATAACCTTGGCATGTTGGAAGGAAAGAAAGAAGAGAGGGGTAGAATGATAGGAATGAAGCTGAAGAGTTAGGTAGGGGTCAGGTCATGTAGTATCTTCAATGGTGTGGTAAGTCATTTGTATTTTATGCTATTTAATATGAGACACCATTGGGTCATGAACAAGGGTGAGAAATGAGCTAATTTTCATTTTAAAGATACGATTTTGGCTGTTCTGTAGAGACTACATTTGGAGGAAGAAGGTGGGTAAGTGTTGGGGATAAGTAGTCGAAGTAAGGAGAACAGTTGGGAAATCTTAGCAGTACTTCAAGTAATAAGTGATAGTGGCATATAACAGTGCAAATGGCCAAAAGCAGATGTATTTTAGATTGTATTTTAGATGTAGAGTCATCAGTCTTGGTATTAATTAGATGTGGGTAATTAGGAAGTGGAAAAATCAAGGAAGCCTCCTAGGTTTTTGGCATTAGCAACTATGTGGATTGTGTGACATTTAGTGAAATAGGAATAACTGGGGGAGGAGCAGATAGAGCAGTATGAAATAATCAAGTATTCTGCTTTGGACTTGTTATGTTTTGTCATTGTTTAGGAGTCAAAACTTGTCATGTTTTGTCATTGATTAGGAGTCATTGATTAGGTGGTTGGTTGAGCTGAGGGATGAGATCAGGGCCGTAATCAGATTTGGGAGGCACATTTACAGCTGTTTAGACTGGATATGATCATTTGTAGGGGGAGAAGAATGCCCACGACATAACTCTGGAACACTTCAACTTTTAGGTGGTTTACAGAGGAGAAGCAGCCAGAAAAAGAAACAGAGAAAGAGAGACAGGTAATAGGAAAACTAGTTAAGTGTGAGGTCACAGAAGTCTAGAGAATAAAGTGTTCCCAGATGGAGGAAGTGGTCAGTTAATGCTGCTAAGAGGTGGTATTGGATGAGGACAGAAAATTCTTCTCTGTTAATTAACTATTGGCTTTGGCAAGATTGAGGATATTGGTAAAATTCATGAGAATTGTTTCAGTGGAAAGTCAGGAATAAAAGACTAATCAGAATGAGTTAAAGAGAATGGGACATAGCAGTATAGACAACTCTTGTTTCAGGAATTTTGCTGTGAATGGGAATGGGGAAATTGGGTAGTAGCTGCAAAGGAATGTAGAGTCAATTTAAAAAAATGGTTGTTGATATTAAGGTATGCTTGCATTCCAATAAGAATGATTCAGAAGAGGAAGAAACTCATAATGCAGGAGAAGGGGGAGATAATTATAAAAGTAAAATACTTGAGTAGGGATTAGGAAGTGGGATATAGAGCATAACTGGAGGGGAGGTATTGACTTGTAGATAACAACAGAGATATTTTTTTCATTTTAACCTGAAGGAATGCAGTTAATATGGTTATAGAAACAGGTAGATTGATGGCATTGGTGTTTAGAAATGAGATTATTTTTGTCTCTATAGTATGAGGCTAGGTCACTAGCTATGATTGAGGTGAGAATGGGAAATGTGAGAAGTCTGAGGAGAGAGAAGAAAGTATGAAATGGTTCATTCAGGGAATGGGAAAATGACTTTAATTAAAAATTGTAGAAGGAATGTCTGGCAGTGTTGAGTCTTCATCTGAGATCTGTGGTGTTAATTTTAGTGTGAATAATTTTAGTGTGAACTTCAGTAAGGTTATGAGATGTTTTTCTTCAGCAAAATTTAGCTGCTCAGATACAGTCATGGACTGGTAGATAGATGGCTTCAACCATAGATGGATCAGGTGGAACAACAGTGGAGAGGAGCAAGTGAGTTAAATGCATTTGCAAAGGATTGGTTTTAATTCTAGATGCTGTAATGTATGCTTGTGTAAGGATGAGGTTAGGACCTTGAGAGGGGTGATAAATAGGGAAAAGTAGTAGTGTCAGTGGATGGGAGCTCCTTGTGAGGTCAAAGGATAGAGTAGTGGTATTTAATGCAAGTCATCTGAAAGGAGAGGGAAAGGTGTTCAGAGAGTGAGATGCTAGAAACAGACAACCCAGCAGAGAGATATATATATATTGATAATGACAAGATTGCAGGCTGAAGGTATGAGGGTGAGTGACTTAAGTGGGATGGGGCAAGAGATCATTGGAGTGAGGCAGTCCAAGGAATTAAATGTCTAGGATAATGCCTGGCTTATTTATGAGGATGTTCAAGTTGCCAAAAATGATGATAGGTATAGTGGTGAACAGGGAGACCAGACCATATAAGCCAGATGCTGAAAACTGTCCTGGGGGGGGAGGAGCAGATACTTTTAGGGGAGGCCATAACTGAGGATAAAGATGGTGGGATTCCAGAACTAGTATCACTGATTGAAGTGTCTGCAATATGAGTATGTATTACGTATTGAGAATACTTTGGATCATATTCACTATAAGTGGTTCCAGAGGGTGATGGGGAGGACATGAGAATACAGTGATTGTGATCATGGCAGGAAAAAGGTGTACAACATTTAAATTTAAATGGACTTGTATAGTGTTGTGGTTTTTTTTGTTGTTGTTTGTTTGTTTTGGTTTTTGTTTTTTTGAGACAGAGTCTCACTCTCTTTGCCTAGGCTGGAGTGCAGTGGCATGATCATTGCCTGATGCAGCCTTGACTTCCCGGGCTCAGGTGTTTCTCCTACCCCAGCCTCCTGAGTAGCTGGGATTACAGGTGCACACCACCACTCCCGGCTAATTTTTTTGTATTTTTAGTAGAGACAAGGTTTCGCCATGTTGCCCAGGTTGGTATGGAACTCCTGGGCTCAAGCAATCCACCTGCCTCAGCCTCCTAAAGTCCTGGGATTACAGGCGTGAGCCACCATGCCCAGCCTTTGAATAGTGTTTTAGGAAGTTAATTTGAGTAGTTGGGAGAAGGGGAAATATGCTTAAATAGCTTTAGGAAACTAGCTCTCTAGGTAAGGTATGTGTTTCTCTTTGTATAATCCCATTATTGACACTCTACTACATATAAGATTTTGTTTTTGGATGGGTGCAGTGGCTCATGCCTGTAATCTCAGCATTTTGGGAGGCTGAGTTGGGAGGATCGCTTAAGGCCAGGAATCTGAGACCAGCTTGGACAACACAGCAAGACCTCGTCTTTACTTGTACCCCACCTCTCCCCCCCCAAAATTTTTGTTTTTCAGTCTATTTTAAAATTTTGATGTAGCATAAGCAGTCCAAATAAAGGTATTTGATTTAATCTCATGTATTTTCTGCATACTTTTAAATTTACAATTGTTTTCTTTACCTTCATATTGGATGTTTTTTTAATTGCTTGTATGGCTAGCCTGTTGAGGTCCTCTTTTTGCTTAGTCCCCCCATTCTCATTCCATAATACATATTGGGAAAAGATTATAATAAATATTGGGAAAAGGTTATCTCTACACTGATACCTTTCATGTTTACATCTTTGTTTACCATAGAGTCTGCTCTTGTGCCATCAAAGTATCTAACTGAATATAAAACATAGCATTAGGAGTATCTATCTTCTATAGATGCTATCTATAGAAGCATCTTCTAGTGGAAAGATTAGGATGAGAACAAAGTAGACCATAACAAGTATAATAGCCATACAAATAGCTAGATGGTTATGCTTAGTTGGCTGAATTTAATAGGCTGGGTTCTGGAGCAAACCAGAGCAGTCTGAGAATTCATTTCTATTGGCAACAACTGAAGGAATGCCAGGCAGACTTTGAAATCTGTGCTGGGTCTAACTTGGTGATAGTGGGTTTGTTTTGATTCTTTTAAGATTCTGAGTCACTATTCAGCCCAGTTACTACTTGATGCTTGCTCTGCTAGTCATCTTCAGTGATTCAGTTTTGGCTGCAAACCTATGAAGAATTATTGGTCAGAGTGAAATGACATTGAAATCTGGGGACCTAAAGTGCTATGACCTACTCTTGTTAGAATGGGGAGGGGTGTATGAGACTCAGATAATTATAATAAATAGAGTTCTGGCCCAGATTTAACTCACAGTGTGTCTCTGTTATCAGAGTCCTTTCTCTGGTTCCTAGTTTTGTAATTGGAATCAACATACATGGTAGTTGGCAGAATTCTCAACTTGGCTCCTTGACCAGTTTGGTTAAGTGCTTTCCTAGTGGGGGAAGATCAAGTGGAAGCCTCTAAAACTGTACCTTCCCTCACCTTGGAAGGGACAGCATTTCTTCTAGTTTGGGATTAACACATATTCTGGGTCCACATGTTTGCTTTTTCTGCCCATAAGTCCACAGCCAGCACCACTATCTGAGGACTTACAGAGTGTTTGATCCACTAATACGGGATCTTGAGTAATATTGTCTCTTACCAAGAGTCGCACTTTACAGGAAAGATGTGTAGCAGTGGGCCAAAGTTCATGAATCCACTGGTCTTAACTCATACTGCTCCACCTATAATCCTCTGGATTGATAGAACAGTTGTAATGGGCTCATAAAGGTACAACTGAGATGCCAGATTGGAGGTGATCCTCTACAAGGATGGGTTTCATCCCTCCAGAATGCTTGGCCATCATATGGATATTCATTATATTAAGTATCCTCAACAGGTAATATGTACACGGGTTCAACAACCAAGGGATGGAATAGGAGTGGTCTCATTTACTATCATACCCAATCCTTACTTGAGGAATTTATGCTTTCCATTCATATAGCTTTAGACCCTGTGGGCTTAGAGGTTCTTGTCTCCAGAAGTAGAAATGCCCTACTAGGGAACAGACACAATGAGAGTTCCATTAAATTTTAAGCCATGCCTGCTGTCTGGTCACTTTGGGCTCCTCTTGCCAAAATCACTAGGGAAGAAAAGGAGTCACCATCCTGGTAAGGGTAATTGACTCTGATCATTATCACGGTATGGACAGAGAAGAATATGTCTGGCATTCAGGGGATCCGCTGATATGTCTCATGGTGTTCCTAAGCCCATTATTTTAATAAATGTACAAATACAGTAGCCATTGCCTAAAAAGGGCATGGTAACCAGAGTTTCAAACCTCTTAGATAAAAGGATCTGGATCGCTCTACTGGCAAGCTGCTTACACCAGCATAAGTGCTAGCAGAGGATGAGGGGACTCTAAAGAGGGATGATGATCTGTTATGGCCAGGAAATCAACTACAGCATTGGGACTATAGTTTGTCTTCTTCTCTTGAAAGTTTCCCGTGGAAACAAAATAAGTAGAATCCTTAAGAAGCTGTTTCCGGCTGGGCGCGGTGGCCCACACCTGTAATCCCACCATTTTGGGAGGCCGAGCAGGAGGATCATGAGGTCAGGAGATCAAGACCATCCTGACCAACATGGTGAGACCCCGTCTCCACTAAAATACAAAAAATTAGCTGGGTGTGGTGGTGCACGCCTGTAATCCCAGCTACTCAGGAGGCTGAGGCAGGGGAATCGCTTGAACCCGGGAGGTGGAGATTGCAGTGAGCCGAGATCGCACCACTGCACTCCAGCCTGGCAACAAAGTGAGACTCCGTCTCAAAGAAAAAAAAAGAAAAAAAGAAAAAAAAAAGAAGCTGTTTCCTGCTAGAGTGAACTTACTCTAAGAAGCAAGTGGATGGTCTTTACTTTTGAAACTCTTGGCGGGGAAGTGCTGTTGGAGCCGCTGTGGTTGCTGTCCGTGTAGTGAAAGCGCGTGCCTTTGTTTGTGTCCCTGGCCATGTGTCCCTGGCCATGGCGCTGCAGCTCTCCCGGGAGCAGGGAATCACCCTGCGTGGGAGTGCCGAAATCGTGGACGAGTTCTTCTCATTCGGCATCAACAGCATTTTATATCAGCGTGGCATTTATCCATCTGAAATCTTTACTCGAGTGCAGAAATACGGACTCACCTTGCTTGTAACTACTGATCTTGAGCTCATAAAATACCTAAATAATGTGGTGGAACAACTAAAAGATTGGTTATACAAGTGTTCAGTTCAGAAACTGGTTGTAGTTATCTCAAATATTGAAAGTGGTGAGGTCCTGGAAAGATGACAGTTTGATATTGAGTGTGATAAGACTGCAAAAGATGACAGTGCACCCAGAGAAAAGTCTCAGAAAGCTATTCAGGATGAAATCCGTTCAGTCATCAGACAGATCACAGCTACAGTGACATTTCTGCCACTGTTGGAAGTTTCTTGTTCATTTGATCTGCTGATTTACACAGACAAAGATTTGGTTGTACCTGAAAAATGGGAAGAGTCGGGACCACAGTTTATTACCAATTCTGAGGAAGTCTGCCTTTGTTCATTTACTACTACAATCCACAAAGTAAATAGCATGGTGGCCTACAAAATTCCTGTCAATGACTGAAGATGACATGAGGAAATAATGTAATTGTAATTTTGAAATGTGGTTTTCCTGAAATCAAGTCATCTATAGTTGATATGTTTTATTTCATTGGTTAATTTATACATGGAGAAAACCAAAATGATACTTACTGAACTGTGTGTAATTGTTCCTTTTGTTTTTTTGGTACCTATTTGACTCACCATGGAGTTAACATCATGAATTTATTGTGCATTATTCAAAAGGAACCAGGAGGTTTTTTTTTTGTCAACATTGTGATGTATATTCCTTTGAAGATAGTAACTGTAGATGGAAAAACTTGTGCTATAAAGCTAAGTGCTTTCCTAAATCAGATGTTTTGGTCAAGTAGCTTGACTCAGTATAGGTAGGGAGATATTTAATTATAAAATACAGCAAAGGAAGTCTAAATATTCAGAATCTTTGTTAAAGTCCTGAAAGTAACTAATAATCTATAAACAATGAAATATTGCTGTGTAGCTCCTTTTGACCTTCATTTCATGCATAATTTTCCCTATCGAATCAGTTTCCAATTATTTGACTTTAATTTATGTAACTTGAACCTGTGAAGGGATGGATATTTGTACTGCTTGATGTTCTGTGATACAGAACTCTTAAAAATTTTTTTTTGTGTTTTATAAAATCAAGTTTTAAGTGAGGAAATAAGTTTGTTAAAAACAAAAAAAGAAGCAAGTGGATTTGTGTGGTGTAATTTGCCTGCTCATATAATCCACTCATTTTTCTATAGCATCATTTATTGATTTGTAGAACCTCTTTATATAGTATGAATATTATCTTTTATGTATGATGAAAAAATTGTTTTCTAGTTTGTGGCAAGTCTTTTAATAGTATTGTGTTTCCCCTCCCACTTATGAAAAGTTTTAAATTTAAAATTGTTGTTTTTAGAGATGATGGGGTCTTGCTGATCTCAAACTCCTGACCTCAAGTGCTTCTTCAGCCTTGGCCCCCACAAAGTGCTGGGACTACAGATGTGAGCCACCACACCTGGCCTTAAATTTTGATAAAATGAAATTTATCAATCTCCTTTACATGGTTTAAATTTTTTTAGTTACTTTTAGGAAATTTCTGCCCTGATCTCGTAATTATATTCTCCTATAATTTGATAAAAGTTTAAAGTTTTCTCTTTGATCTTTAGTCATTTGTTCATAGGGGATTTCTTTTTGTGTATAGGGTGAAAGATAGGGATCTAGTTTTTTTCTCTCCTTATCTAGAAGCATCTCTCCTTATCTAGAAAGCATTTATTTAGTGTCTCAAGTATTTATTTAGTAGTCATTTATTTCCACATTGATTTGTAATACTACCTCTTTCCTATGCCGTATTTCCATGTATGCATGGATTTTGTTTGTGTGTGTGTGTGTGTGTGATTTTTTTTTTTTTTTTAACAGAAGTATACTTGTTCCTTACAGTGTGCTGTTATGTTGGTGGTACATGAATCCATAGACATCTTCCTGGAATGTCAATTTTACCTAAAGAATATGAAAAAGATTGAGTAATTGAATAACTGGTAACTATTTGAGGACATTTTTCAATGAAATAAGGCTGTTTGAATTATGGAGTCAAATAGAACTTTCATGAAGTTTTAGCTTTTTAAGCTAAAACGTGATACAATTTGAAGACATGTTGAGCTTATGGGGGACCATTTGAGGCCATTTCCCCAATTTTCCAGGAAGTTCATTCTTTATCATTTAAGAATACTGTGGTAGAAAAGGGTGAGAAGGACTACCTTACATGGACTGTTTTTATTTTTTGTCAAAACGTTGTGTTTATTGTTCCATGTATACACTGTGTGTATTGATACCTTTATTTTTTTTGTGATCTCTGCCTGGAATGTCATCCTTCTTTCATATTTCAAGGCCAGCACATTTTTCATGGCCCAGCTCAATTCAACCTATTTCTTGAATCCTTTAACAGTTGTAATCCTTGTTACTGGCTCCTTTGAAATCTGGTCCTTACTGGGTATTCCTTGTATTAAGTAATATTTCTAATGGCTAATGTTTATTGAGAGTGTACTATGTGTCTGGTATATTTCTAAGCATTTTACCTGTATTAACTAATGTAAATCTCATCAGCTCTGAAAGCTAGGTTTTTACCCCTATGTAGGTATTCTTTTTATTTCTCACAAGGAAGGAAACAGAGGCACAGAGAGGTTTAATAATTTAAATAAGGAAAAGCAGGCAAACTGGCTTCAGAGTCTGTGCCCTTAACCAGTATGCTCTGCTCCCTCTCAGTTGCTCAATAAATAATTGCTCAGGAATGAATTTACCACTTATATTAACACTTAGCAGACATAACTTTGTTCTGTTGTTTTATGGGTGTGTTCTTTCCTAACTATATAATACATCCCTGAAGGCAGGGATAAAATCTTATACTTCTTTATAGTATGGCTTTATATTTCATACTTCATTAGACGGATTTACTACTTATAACAAATCCCTAGTAGATGTTCGTAGGTGATGATAATGAATTTGGTATGACCTTTAGATTTGCCATAGAGTAACATAAACCTAATCATTCATTGTCAAGTGGGTCTAAGCTTTCTAATAAGACCTGTTGGTTTGAATACTCCAGAACCACAGATAAATAACACTATGAGATCTCCTGGTTCTGAAGCTGTGGGGTTTGGCTAGACCTGTAACATTCTATTCAGTTGGTAGAGAGATCCCCAGAGATTAGGTGACAGATTTCTGGCCTGCACTTAAACTATGACCTGGACAGGTCATTTTGTCTTGCTATCTGTAAAAGGAGAAAATCATATTTAGTGCAGCTTTTATTTTTAAATCATGGTCTTTATGTAGACCATGCTTTTTAGAAGCAAAGTTATGTACCTTCAAAGTAGCATATTCTCTTACTTTGTTATAATAATACATACCATTATGTTGGTACAAATTTGGAAGAATGTATTATTACCAGCAAAGCTGTGCTCTAGCCCAGGCTGGAGTGCAGTGGTGTGATCTTGGCTCACTGCAAGCTCTGCCTCCCAGGTTCACGCCATTCTCCTGCCTCAGGCTCCCGAGTAGCTGGGACTACAGGCACCTGCCACCACGCCCAGCTAATTTTTTGTATTTTCAGTAGAGACAGGGTTTCACCGTGTTAGCCAGGACGGTCTCGATCTCCTGACCTCGTGATCTGCCTTCCTTGGCCTCGACCTCCCAAAGTGCTGGGATTACAGGCGTGAGCCACCGCGCCCGGCCTTTAGTTTTACTTTTAAATAAAGAGCAAAATATTTACGTATTTTTTGAGATAGGGTCTTACTCTGTCACCCAGGGTGTAATGCAGTGGTGCGATCACAGCTAACTGTATCTCCAACTTCCTGGGCTCAAGCGATCCTTGCACTTCA
This sequence comes from Homo sapiens, assembly GCF_000001405.40. Classification (NCBI taxonomy): domain Eukaryota; kingdom Metazoa; phylum Chordata; class Mammalia; order Primates; family Hominidae; genus Homo; species Homo sapiens. Next base: position 60,783,948 of record NC_000014.9, read on the forward strand.
GCCTCCCAAGTAGCTGGGACTACAGGCCACTATGCCCAGCTAATTTACTTTTATTTTTTATTTTATTTATTTAATTTGAGATGGAGTCTTGCTCTGTCGCCCAAGCTGGAGTGCAGTGACACAATCTCGGCTCACTGCAACCTCCGCCTCCGCCTCCTGGGTTCAAGCCGTTCTCCTGCCTCAGCCTCCCTAGTAGCTGGGATTACAGATACGTGCCACCATGCCTGGCTAATTTTTTTTTTTTTTTTTTTTTTTTAGTAGAGGCGAGGTTTTGCCATGTTGGCCAGGCTGGTCTCAAACTCCTGACCTCAGGTGATCCACCCGCCTCTGCCTCCCAAAGTCCTGGGATTACAGGCATGAGCCACTGCGCCCAGCCACCCAGCTAACTAAAAACATTTTTTTTTTTTTTAAATAGAGATGAGGGTCTTGCTGTGTTGCTCAGGCTGGTCTTGAACCCCTGGACTTAAATGATCCTCCTGCTGCGGCCTTCCAAAGTGTTGGGATTATAGATGTGAGCCACTACACAAGGCTGAAAATATTTTTTCCCCCGCAAGACAGAGTCTTGCCCTGTCACCCAGGCTGGAGTGCAGTGGTGTGATCTCAGCTCACTGCAACCTCCGCCTCCCGGGTTCAAGCAGGTCTCCTGCCCCAGCCTTCTGGGATTACAGTTGCCCGCCACTGTGCCTGGCTAATTTTTAGTAGAGATGGGGTTTCTACATGTTGGCCAGGCTAGTCTCGAACTCCTGACTTTGTGATCCGCCCACCTCGGCTTCCCAAAGTGCTGGGATTACAGGCATGAGCCACCGTGCCAGGCAACGAAAATACTCTTTTTACAGTTAGTTTCTGGAAAGTGTAAGAATTCTTTGGTCAAGTGGAAAGGACTTGATAAATGTGTAGCTATAGCTAACACTTTTTTTTTTTTGAGAACGAGTCTCAACTCTGTTGCCTAGGCTGCAGTGCAGTGGTGTGATCTCAGCTCACTGCAACCTCTGGCTCCCAGGTTCAAGCAATTCTTGTGTCTCAGCCTCCTGAGTAGCTGGGACTACAGGTGTGTACCACCATGCCCAGCTAATTTTTGTATTTTTAGTAGAGATGGGATTTCACTATGTTGGACAGGCTGGTCTCAAACCCCTGACCTCAGGAGGCCTCAGCCTCCCAAAATGCTGGGATTATAGGCATGAGCCACCACGCCCAGCCAGCTAGCACTCAGTGAACATTTACTATGTATCAGGAATTGATTTAAGTTCTTTTACCTATAATAACTCATTTAATTAAGTTGATTGTTGGGTGGCCATTTGATTTTTTAAAAGGTTTCCATTTCCCCCTCTTTATTAGTGTAATTCAAAAATAGTTGTCAATACTAATCAGAAAAATAAAAAATTACAAATATAAAATATAACTTAGGTTTTGAAACAATCTGGGGAACGGGTCTCAAACTTGTCTGTTATTTTATTAATTGATTTTCCCTAGTGTTTATTAGGGATTTAAATGATTAATTGAAAATGTTAGCAAATGTTGAGCAAACATTGATATACTTTGCTTTCAAGAAAACAAAAATGAGAACATTGTATTTTTAGAACTATTTCACCTTGAGTTAAGCATTGCTTGTCATAAACCAAATACAGTTCTTGCCTTCATAGCCCCACATTCTCTGTATGGATCTTCTGGAATTTTCTGTTGTTGAGGTAGGAGATGATAGTTTATTCTCACACATCTGCTTTATATAGCTTATATAATTTAGTCTATAATTATTTGCTAGTATCAACTGTTTTTAATTGATTCACAAGAATGTATATTCTTGTACTCATCAAACATTTGAGGGTTCAGCTTTGCATTTGACAAGGCACCTGGCATAGTACTGAGAGGATAGCCAACTGTTTAGCTTAAATATTTGAGGACCTAATGAATAGAAATAGCATCTTGACTAGTTGTTATATTTTATTCTATTTAAAAGGTCATAATAATGGATGCTTGATAAATATTGACCTAGAAGAAATAGTTTAAAAAATGAATTATATATATTTTTTCATGGCCTCTTAAAAATAGTAGAAAAGTACAAACTGTTGTGGATATGAAGAGTGAAATAATGAAAATAAACCCAGTGTTAAACTCTAAGAAATAGAAACAAAATATAATTAAGAAAAATTGAATAAAATAAATAATAGAAAAGTAGAAATTAGTAAATTGGAAAACACACAAAAAATTGTGAAATTCAAGTTTCTTTATAGTGATTCTTTAAAAGGGCCTTTATACAACTTAGACAAACATGTAGCATTTCTAATCAAGAGAAAGAGGTAGAAAAACAAAATAAGAAGTGAAGAGAGAGCTAGAACAATAGTAACAGTGGAAAATTTAAAAAATATTTTAGTACTAATAAATGAGAAAATCTTAATGGCTTGGGTAGTTTGGGGAACACTTAAATTATGATTGCATTCCTTTGAGTTCATTTGTTCATTATAAGCAATCTTTTATTGGTCACATGTAACAGTGGTTCTCAGACTTTTTGGTGTTAGTAACTTTTATAATTTTAAAAGTTATTGATGACCCTCAAGACCTCTTATTTATGAAAGTTATATCTGTTAACATTTATCATATTAGGAATTAAAATTTGGAAACTTTGAAATGTTCATTTATTCATCAAAAATTATAAACCTATTACATGTTACCACAATGTATTTTTATGAAACATAACTATATTTTCCAAAACAAAAAAATTTTGTGAGATGAGTAGCATTGTTTTACATTTTTGCAAATCTTTTAAAAATGCTTGGCTTAAGAGAAGAAAACTAGATTCTCACATCTGCTTCTGTGTTGAGTCTGTTGTATGTTTTGGTTGAAATAAATGAAGACTATCTGGCATCTATAGATACCTATTTGGAAAAGGGATAAGCATTTTAATAATAGCCTTTTCAGGTAATTGCTGACATTGTTTTTGGACATACTTAGTTACATGTATTTTTAACTCCTTTGAATCATGGTGGAAGTAAAGACATACCTTATTTAGTGCAGTGGCATTAATGGAAATCAGAGTATTAGTTGAATTTGCCCTTCCTTTCCCCGAAGTAGAATTATAGTAAAGGTCTGTATGCAAATGCTAGCTTGGTTTAGTGGGACATCGTTCTTTCAAGTCTCCAAAGTCCTGAATGCTCCTGTGGCCATGGTGCTTTCCCTTATTACTCGTATGCAGACATACCTCAGACATATTGCTGGTTTGGTTTCTGACCACCACAGTAAAGCAAATATCATAATACAACAAATAGCACAATAAAGTGACTAGCACAATAAAGTGTGTCACACAAACTTTTTGATTTCTTAGTGTGTATGAAAGTTATGTTTACACTATACTGTAGTATATTAAGTGTACAATATCAATATGACTAAAAAACAGTGTGCATACCTTAATTAAAATATACTTTACTGCTAAAAATTGCTAACAATCATCTGAGCCTTCGAAAGTGACTATAATCTTTGTGCTAGTAGAAGGTCTTGCCCAGATGTTGATGGCTCCTGACTGATCAGGATGGTGATTGCTGAAGGTTGGGGTGGCCTTGGTGATTTCTTAAAATGAGACAACAATGAAGTTCGTTGCATTTATTGACTCTTCCTTTCATGAAAGATTTCCCTGGAGCATGTGATGCTGTTTGATAACATTTACTTACTGGAAAATTCCTCGCAAAATTGGAATCAATTCTCAAACCTTGCCACAGCTTTATCAACTAACTGTATATGTTATTTCTGAATCTCTTGTCATTTCAACAGTGTTCACAGCATCTTCACCAGGAGTAGATTCCATATCAAGAATCATCCCTAAGAAGCCCAAACTCCTCATTTGTTCAAGTTTGATCATGAGATTGCAGCAATTCAGTCACATCTTCAGGCTCCACTTCTAATTCTAGTTCTCTCGCTGTTTCTGCCATATCTGCAGTTATTTTCTCCACTGAAGTCAGACCCTGAAAGTCATCTGTGAGGATTGGAATCAACTTCTTCCAAATGCCTTTTAATGTTAATATTTTTTATCTTTTCACATGAATCACACATGTTCTTAATGGCATCTAGAATGGTGAATCCTTTCAAAAAGGTTTTGAATTTGCTTTGCCCAGATCTATCAGAGGAATCATTGTCTGTAGCAGCTACAGCATTATGACATGTATTACTTAAATAACAAGACTTCAATGTCAGAATTACTCCTTGACCCATGGGCTTTTGAATGGATGTTGTGTTAGCAGGCATGAAAACAACATTCATGTCCTTGCACATATCCATCAGAGGTCTTAGGTGACCAGATTCATTGTCAATGGGCAGTAACATTTTGGAAGGAATCTTTTTTTCCGAGCAATAGGTCTCAACAGTGGGTTCAAATATTAAGCAAACCATGCTGTAAATAGATGCGCCATCATTCAGGCTTTATTCTTCCATTTATAGAGCACAGGCAGTATAGATTTAGCATAATATTTAAGGGCTTTATGATTTTTCAAAATGACAAATGAACATTGGTTTCAATTTAGTCATCAGCTGCACTATCTCCTGAAAAGACACCCTTGCCTTTGAAGCTTTGAAACCAGGCATTGGCTTCTCCTCTGTAGCTATGGAAGTCCTAGACGGCATCTTCCAATAGAAGGATGTTTCATCTGCATTGAAAAGTCTGTTTTTCAGTGTAGCCACCTTCATCATTATCTTAGATAGATATTATGGATAACTTGCTGAAGCCTCCATATCAGCACTTGCTGCTTCACCTTGCACTTTTATGTTATGGAAACAGCATCTTTCCTTGAATTTCATGAACCAACCTCTGCTAGCTTCAGACTTTTCTTCTGCAACTTCCTCACCTTTCTCAACCTTTATAGGATTGAAGAGAGTTAGGTATTAGGATCTGGATTAGGTTTTGGTTTAAGGGAATGTTGTGGCTGGTTTGATCTTTTATCCAGACCACTGAAACTTTCTCTGTATAAATGATAAGACTGTTTTGCTTTCTTAACATTGTGTGTCATTGGCGCAGTGCTTTTAATTTCCTTCGAGGACTTTTCCTTTGCATTCATGACTTGGCTAACTGGTGCAGTTGGCCTAGCTTTTGGGCTATCTCAGCTTATGATACACCCTCCTCAGGAAGCTTGGTCATTTCTGTCTTTTGATTTAAAGTGAGAAACCTGTGATTGTTTTTTTCACCTGAACACCTAAGAGTCCATTGTAGGGTTATTAATTGGCCTAATTTAAATATTGTTGTGTCTCAAGGAATGGGAGGTCTGAGAAGAGGGAGAGAGTTGGAGGAACAGTCAGTTGGTGAAGCAGTTGGAGTACATACAACATTTATTAAGTTTGCTGTCTTATATGGGTGCTTTTCATGGTGCCCTGAAACAATTAAAATGGTAACACCAAAGATCACTGATCACATAACACCATGTCAGATATAACGATAATGAAAATGTTTGAAATATTGTGAGAATTACCAAAATGTGAAACAGAGACGTGAAGTAAGCATATGCTGTTGGAAAAATGGTGCCGATAGACTCATTCCATGGCAGCGTTGCCACAAATCTTGAATTTGTAAAAAATGAAATATCTGCAAAGCCCAATAAGGCAATTCGCAATAAAATGAGGCATGCCTGTAATTGTCAGTTCTCCCAGTCTGCAGTATTATTTCTGAAGCCCTTCATAAAGTTAGACAGACTTTTCCCTCCAATTTCTAGCTTTTACCTTGTTTCCTCAACCATATCCCTGAAGGGGCTTTGAGCCTCTAATGTCTTAAATCTTAACATCCAGCACTATCACATGCACACCCTTTTTAGCTATCAGGATGAAACTGTTCATCAGTGGCAGAAAGAATGGCTACAGAATAGTCCACATATTTCAGAAAATGTTCTTGGCTTAGAGCATTTGGAATATGATGTGTTATTAACACATGCTGGCTAGGAGTATGTAGTATAATTTGTTGAGCTGTTGCTCATTGGCTGAAAGCTTACGATAGTATTCAAAGTATGCTTTTGTAATAGAGTTACTTTTTCTTTCTTTTTTTTTCTATTTTCACCATAGTATATGAATGTTTATGCACAAAGTTGGTGTATCTGACACAGACAGAAGAATATTGGTTTTGAGTATGTTGAGTTTGAGGTAACTTGTGGGATATCAAAGAGTAATTGTGCAATGGGCAGTGTGTAATAGGAATTTAGGAGAGATTTTTAGGCTAGAAATAGATACTTAGGATGATTATTTTCATAGGTCATTGTAAAAATTGTAAGAATAAGATAGAAGGAGAAAGTGTAGAGTATGAAGAGGACTGTAAAAGGGAAATAAATCTTGGGACCCCCAAAATCACTAAGCTAAAGGGAAAAGTCAAGCTGGGAACTGCTTAGTGCAAACCTGCCTCCCATTCTATTGAAAGTCATTCCTCTGAGGCTCATCTGAGACAAATGAATCTCTGATTGCTTCCTCTGCCCTATTGTTTATGTAAAAATGCAGATTCACTGAGCCAGACTAAATTGTGTATTCAGTGGAAGGCTGATCAAGGACTCAAAATAATCCAACCTTTTGTCTCTCATCTACTTCTAACCTGGAAGCCCCCACTTCGACTTGTCCCACCTTACTGGACCAAACCGATGTACATCTTACACATATTGATTATTAATATAAAATGTATGTCATGATTATCAATATAAAATGTATAAAAGCAAGCTGTACTCGACCACTTTGGGAACATGTCATCAGGACCTCCTGAGGGTGTGTCCTTAACTTTGGCAAAATAAACTTCCTAAATTGACTGAGTCCTGTCTCAGAAATATGGGATTCACAGGGTAATGGTGAATTCTTACTAGTTATATGATTTTAAGCCAGTTATTTGACTTCTCCATGCTTAGTGCCCTCATCTATGTAGTAAGGAAAATAATATCTACATCATATCGCAAAAGCCCTAATTAATGTTATTTTCTTTCTATGTTCCTTCATATATTTCCAACCTCTTTCTAGAAAATATTTATAGTGTTATTCCATAAAGGATTTAAATTTGGCTTAGGAGTTTTCTGGCAAAGGGGCAAAAAGGAAAACTGGATAGATTCCATGGTCCTTGCTGTCTGTCAGGAGGATACAAACCCATTTTTTTGAAAGTGAGTTTTTCTGGCACAGCTTTATTTAATTATTAACTCTTTCCTTTTCCCTTGAGTACAAATATTTGTTTTTACACAGCTCCGTTTTTCTGGCTCAGAATGGACTTAAATATACTATTTGAATTTGTACCTTATATTATTTGCTTGTTAGTTGAAAATTGCTATGCTAAATGATAATAGCCAACAGAAGATTGATTAGACATTAATTTTGAGTTCTAAGATAATGAAAAAATGGGTAAACATGCTTTTTTAAATTTTGAGGGCAATATCTTTTCTTCTGAAAGTCTACTATCTCTTCATAATGTTTTAATACCTGCTCCCAGGCCATCACTTCTCTACCTGTGGATGAATTCTTTTGCTTCATATTCCAAAAGCACTTTGTTGAGGTAGTTTATATAAATTTTTTCTCAGGATTTGGAATACATAGATTCTGAGTTCCCTTTTAGGTATCAAGTGATTCATAGCAATTTAGCCTAAAGGTATGAAAGGACTGATGAGGAAATTTAACAGCAAATATTCCAAAGTTTAAATTGAGAATGCCACATAAGTAAATGTAACACATTCCTATTTTAGTTGCTGAGATAAATGAGAAATGATTATCGTAGACAAAGTTAACTGGATCCCGTGGCTAATTGGCTTGAAATCCATGTATGCAAATAAGTAAGTCTCTACTTTTATTAAGATTGTATACCCCTTCTATCAAAAGTTATTCATTTTGAGGTCATAAGTTTTTTAAAATTACAAATATCTGGGCTTTAAGAAAATGTGAAACCTTTTTAAGGTGAAGATTCAATTGGTTACTTTCTGGGGACTAAAACTTGTAGAATATTCTTTTAAAATTCCAGTTTAATTCCCACTTGAAAGCTGATATCATCAACTCATGGTGACGGTTAGGAAGGAGAGAAAAATAAGAAAAGAAAATGTCTAATATTTTGTTCATCTTCTTTGGGCCAGTTTAGTTGAAAACCCTAACCATCACATATAAATAGTTTATTTGGGAAAAATGTATTTTGAGTTCCAAGTAGCTAATTTGTAAGCAAACTATTGGAACAAAGTCTATTTGTAAATTGACTGCCTTTTCTAAAATGCACCAGGTGTTATTTTTTTCATGTGTTTTCCATGAATCCTTAAACGCATTTCATTATTGGATGTTGATAATATTTTAATTAACTGGTGATCATTTAGGTCATTTCTACCTCTAAAATTTCTATGATTCGGTTAGAGCAGAGATTTTTGGCAAATGATTTAGTTGAATTAAGGTTTCTAAAGTTTTAATGTTCAAAGATATGGCACTTCAATCAATATTTTCTTGTATAGACAAGTTAGGTTTATTTTGGGAGGAAATTTTTTAAAAAATAATATCCTGCTTCTTTCTTACAGAATTTAGTACACATGGGCTTAAGGAAGAATTTATTGTAAAAATAAAATTTTTCTTTTACAATGTTATTACTTGTTTTTTAGCTTTCAAGACCATAGGTTTCTGTTTCATTTTTAAAAGCCAAGGAGCTAACGAAGAATGGAAAGTGCTGATAAAACTAGGTTACTTCACAGAAAGTCTTAAGTATAGAGTTTTTGACAAACTATGAATATTTCTTTTAGGCCAGTATGTTTTAATAATATTTGAAATTTGACATGGAATATAGTTGCTCTTTAAAAAGTAAAGTGAACAATTGACTAAAATTTTGACGAGAATATTCTTGATAAAATAAAATCTGCTAAAAATATGTCATTCAGAGAGAAAAAGGATGTCATTCTGATTTTTAAAAACAAAAACCATAAAAATATTTTTGGAAATGGATAATGACTGAAAATTTGGGCTTCTTCAGCAGATTTTTCTGTTTTCTGCAGAATGTAAAGTTTTATTTGAAAAAATTCCTAGCACTCCTAGAGGCAAAAGATTGCCCATATACTGCTGTTTTGGTTGCTCTGTTGCCAGATAAAATGAACTAGCAATTATCAACTACTACTTCTTCTTCTTCTTCTTTTTTTTTTTTTGAAACAGGGTCTTGCTCTGTCGCCCAGACTGGAGTTCACTGGTATGATCACAGCACACTGCAGCCTCCTGAGTAGCTCCCATCTCAGCCTCCTGAGTAGCTGGGACGCAAGCGTGTGCCACCATGCCCGGCTAATTTGTTGGTGTTGTTGTTGTTGTTTTTTGCTTGTTTGTTTGTTTGTTTTTTTGTAGGAATGAGGTTTTGCCATGTTGCCCAGGCCAGTCTCAAACTCCTGGGCCCAAGTGACCTGCCTGCCTTGGCCTCCCAAAGTGATGGGATTACATGTGTGAGCCACTGCACCCAGCCTATTTTTCCTGTTATTTTATTTATTTATTTATTTATTTTTGGATATAGGTCTTGCTTTGTCACGCAGGCTGGAGTGCAGTGGCTAATCACAGCTGACAGTAACCTTGAACTCCTGGGCTCAAGTGATTGTCCTGCCTCAGCCTCCTGAGTAGCTAGGACTACAGGCATGCACCACCACATCTAGCTAATTTTTTTTAAATTTTTATATTTTGTAGAGGGAGGGATCTAGCCATGTTGTCTAGGCTGGTCTTATATTCTTGGCCTCAAGCTATCTTCCTGCTTTGCCCTCCCAAAGCACTGGGATTATAGGCGTAAGCAACTAGGCCTGGCCTGTTCTTTTTTTTAATGATTAGTTTTTATATATGTATTTTGTAAATATGTAGAAAAAGATGTGGCCACACAAACACTAAACTCAACAGTAGCATATTACCCGTGGGAAGTGAGATACAGAACACAATGAAGTAGAACTTTGAGTTATTTTTCTATATAATTCTATATTTTATAAGCTTTAAAGAAAAAATATTCTTTTCACAGTTAAAATTAGAAATGGAAAATGTTACGTAGGAAAATAAACTGCAATAAAAAATTTTAATACTATTTAAATTATTATGACAAGGCAGATTATAAAAAGTGGAGATGTACAACTGATTTTGGAAACAATATATTATGTCTAATATACAATATAACGTTTAGAAATATTAATGTTCTATATTACCTTGCTGACTAAACTATTGATTGAGTCTAATCTCCAAGACCTTGAGATATATTAATGTTATTTGTGGCTCTGTAATTTTGACTATTTTGGATAGATGCTTACTTATAAATATCTTTAGTTAGTATAGTTGTAAAGTTTGCCTGTTTTCACCTTCCATGGATGGGTTTAATTTCCTCTAACCACAAAGAATAGTGAAAATGCACCACTCTGAAACTTCCTAAGTCCAGAGTGGTTTATCTGGGGTTTAGTTGATCTTGCTAATGACACTATGATCTTTGGAATTTTTCCCTGTTATTTTTTAGTGACACTATTAAGATAGAAATATAGGCCAGGAGTGGTGGCTCATGCCTATAATCCCAGAACCTTGGGAGGTCAAGGCAGGAGGATCGCTTGAGCCCAGGAGTTCGAGACCAGCCTGAGCAACATGGGGAGTCCCAGTCTCTACAAAAAAATAAAAAAATTAGCAGAGCGTGACAGTGTGTGCTTGTTATCCCAGCTACTGAGGAGCCTGATGTAGGACGATTGCCTGAATCTGGGAGGGCAAGGCTGCAGAGAGCTGTGACAACTTCACTGCATTCTCAAAAAAAAAAAAAAAAAAAAAAAAATATATATATATATATATAAAATAGGTATATATATACATATGTGTGTATATATATGTCTGTGTGTGTATGTATATATTTAAAGATCAATGTTAGTATTTTACTAATAACCTTAAAAATTCTTATTTTTCTTATTACTTTTCTTATTTAGCTTATTCTGTAAGTTAAATACACACTTGGAAGAAATCAACTCTTCCCTATTCATTAGAATTTCTCTTTTTCCCTTTGTCTTGTATTCATTTTTTTGTTTTGTGAAGTTTACTTAGTGAGTACTTAGCGTTAGGCACTGCGGATAGAGAACAAGATAGGCAACATTCTGTCTTTATGAAATATACTGTACTTCCTTGTCTAGGAGACAGAACACAGAAATAAATAAGATGATGTCAGATATTGCCAACAAAAGGAGTGATTAGGACTGTGTGGTCCTAACACATATGGAATTGGGCAAGATTACACCTGGAGGACTACAAATGTTTAAATATTTATCAAAACATTCGAATATTTAAAAGTTATAAATCAAGCCACATCCTTGGCCCAGCCTGATTTCCTACACAGCATGTTGAGTTGCCAGCAGCCTATACCCTCAAGACTCAGAGGCTAAAGGAACTGCTCTCTCCTCCCATCCATCTTTGTAACCTGCCTGACTGAGTGGTAGTATGGATCTGTTGGGGTAGGGCAGGGATGATTGGGGTGGTACCTAGACCCATCTAAAACAGTATATTAACAGATCCCACCAAGTCCCCAGGAATCTGGTTATAGAGAGGTTTGCCTCTCCAGTTCATTGTTTTTTCAACTCAAGTCTTCTAGGAAGTTGTAAGCCCTTCTTAATGTTGCACTACCAGAAAAGGGGATGCAGGTATCTGGGAAACCTGGCTTGCCTGGGAATTCGGTTTGCTTTATTTGGGGCAACGAACTTTAACCGAATAAAGCTTTTATAAGCAGCCACTCTTTCTGGGATTTCTCATGGCAGAAGTTGTGTTCATTTTCTCCCTCACACATACTGGAGCGCTCAAAGTTCTTTATCCTCTGGCCAGTGAGGCCTCATTCAGCTAGCACCTCTTTCTTGTAATTGTCATTTGCTCAGTTGATTACTGAACTTTCAAAAGACATTCTTACAAGGAAAGGAAGAAAAAAACATCTGTTTTAGTGCTTGGGGTATATAGGGCTCTCTAAAGAGCAGGCCCCTGGCAGAGGCTTCTCTTGCCCAGGTCTATGGATGATATTGGGACTGGGGATGGAGGTGACCATACAGTAGCCTTTTACATGCTCTTTGACTTCTCCCTATCCTGCTCTTCTTCCTAGTCTCTCACTCAATTTGTTTTAATTTATAAATTTGTTTGATCTGTAAAACTAAACTGGTATCACTTGGGATACCTATATCTGAAAAGTAAGCTCCAAATGAAAAAGAACATTTTCCAGAAAGTTTTTTGGTAAGATTTTAAATAGAAGTGACTAGTTTTCAAGTCTCACTCTCCTTATCCCATAGGGGCAAACTATTCAGATGTGTTGTAGATTTGAACATTGGCTTAAATGTTATGTTTTATTTCTGTCCTTACAGCTGTGAAAGTTGTGTAGATTTACTGTTTGTGAGAGGAGCTGGAAACTGCCCTGAGTGTGGTACTCCACTCAGAAAGAGCAACTTCAGGGTACAACTCTTTGAAGATCCCACTGTTGACAAGGAGGTTGAGATCAGGAAAAAAGTGCTAAAGATGTAAGTATTCCTGCTCGAATGATTCAGTCAACAAAGAGGACTTTAACAATTATGTCAGTAATTGATTATTATTTGCTCATAAATGTGGACAGATTAGCAAGTAAATAACTATAAATTCATTTAAGTTCTTAGAGAACTGAGTAATATTATTTATCTTTGTTAAAGAAGAGCCTCTTGATTGATGGCTTCATTATTCATTTGTATTTATTCTTTGATTAATAAACATGTATTGAGTACCTACTATGTATTGAGTACCTACTATGTGTAAACACTACTATGTGTAAACATGTTATGCATGTTAAGCAGTAGTTATGAAGTGATGAGTAAAACAGCTATGAACTCTGTCCTCATGAGACTTACCATACAGTAGCATAGGATAGCAAAAAGACAAAAAAACAAGTAAACCAAAACAAATGTTATTTATTATAGATTGAGAATAGTGCTATATAGTTAGTGACTCAGTGTTGCTGTGGTCAATGATGTCAGGTGTGGGCAGAGGAGGTAACATTAAGTTGAAGTTTGAAGGCTATTAGAGAAAATTACGTGTTAGCTATAGTTTATTTTGGTATGTGTATTTTTGTGTATATAGATATACACACATGGGCATAGTAAATATATGTGTGTATATATGTATATATATACCTATATATTATTAATCTGTCTTTTTCATTTACAATTTAGGCTTTACTCTTTACTCTTTGTTAATAGTTTTGGGTTTCCTTTTATCTGTTATTATGAGAAATAATTGATATGTTTATTTTTATTTTTGGTGGTATACATTTCAACCCAGGTAACCAGTGTTTTAGCAGCATCTTTCTAGGTACATAACCAATAATACTTTATCAATCCGCCTAGCGGCTCTTTTATTGTTTGTATAACTTCTGCAAGGTAGTCTCTTAGATTTTGATCTTTCATTGGTAATTCCTTGCAATTTACTGATTCTTTACAGGTACATTACAATATATACAGATTTTCTTGATCCAGTATTTTTTAGACTATGTCATGAAAAATGGAGGAGTCGCTTCAATTTTTTGTGTTTTGGAAATTAGTGAATCCCTTAGAAGTAAATAATACCATAATTTCCAATGTTATGTCTTGCTTAAGCTCATTTCCCAATCTTTCAAGCTCCCAATTTATCTTTCCCTGAAGTCTTAACAAGGATTTTGCATATTGTACCATTTTCTCCTGATCCTACTTCTTCTCCGTAGTCATAAGAATTTAAGAATTGCATTTTTGGTCTGGTTACAAACCTGGTGTCAAGAAAAACAGTGTTTTAGGCTGGGCGCGGTGGCTCATGCTTGTAATCCCAGCACTTTGGGAGGCCGAGGTGGTGGATCACTTGAGATCAGAGTTTGAGACCAGCCTGGCCAACATGGTGAAGTCCCATCTCTACTAAATACAAAAAACATTAAGTGGATATGGTGGTGTGCGCCTGTAATAATCCCAGCTATTCGGGGGGCTGAGGCAGCAGAATTGCTTGAACCAGAGAGATGGAGGTAGCAGTGAGCCAAGATTGTGCCACTGCACTCCAGCCTGGACAACAGAGCAAGACTCCATCTCAAAAAATAAAAATAAAAAAATAGAGAACGATGTTTTACACAGTAAGCAATTCTTTTCCATGTATCATATATGAATTAGGTCAGAACAAGCAAACCAGTTAGATAATATTAAAAGCAATGATATGTAATATGTAGATTTCTTTTTTCTTTTCTTAAAGATACAATAAAAGGGAAGAAGATTTTCCTAGTCTAAGAGAATACAATGATTTCTTGGAAGAAGTGGAAGAAATTGGTACGTTTTTAATTTGATGTATGCTAGCCTATAAGACCATGTGCTTTTATCTTTTAAATGCTTAGGAGAACATCTCACATAAAAACCTCTTAACAGGTTTTGTTGTGATAGCTAACATTTACCTAATTACTTTCTTTTGCACTTGAGTCATGTTTGTCAAATTGAAGGCATACTTAAGTAAAGAACCTATTTAATATTGTCTTTTAGGAAAAATATGTTTAATAGAGATAGTAACACTTCATAGCTGGGGAGGAAGACTATATGGGTACATGCATCTGTGTGTTGATAACATATTAGAGTAGTTTAAATGAATGGAAAACATATTCTGATTTTTCAAAAATGGGGTTCCTATTAACCATATTTATAGTGACTAAAGCCATATGTTTATCATTATTTGTGCTTCTGTGGATATAGTAGTCTTAAAGTACTTTGAAGCAGTTGACTGTTGAAGTGGCATTCTATTAATCAGTATTATTCTGGAATCAGAGGTTGGAGTAATCTTTGTGCCTTTTCTTTCTGATGTGTTTAGTCAAAAGGAAGATTTTATCAAGAAAAAATGATTTCAGTTTTCTTAAATAAAATTTCAGAGATGTTAAAAACTTTGGAAGTTGTTATATGTTGATTTAAAAAATAATGCTGCTTTTTAAACTTGCAGTAATTATTACTAAGTGCGGGTTTGGAAATGACACAAAGGTTATATACTGTGAACATTAGAATGAGACTATGAGGATCAAACAGCAATCATTTTTATTCTTTCAAACTTAATAGGTAACTGTACTCAATATTTACTATTAAAAATAAGATTATAATAAAATGGATCATTCTTTAGAAGATTTATATATGATAAACTTAACAATTCAGATTCCTGAGGAATAATAAATATTCTAATTCCTTTAATTTCTTTACTAGAAAATCCAGAAAATCTTTTTGTTTCAACTGTTACCTGAAACTTTTCTCATATGTCTAAGTTCATTTGTTATGCCATAGCAAAAGCATGTGGAAAACATAATTTAGGGTTTCTCTGGGATCTTTCAGTGCCATAAGAGCCACTGCTTTTCCATTCTGCATGTACTCATTGCACTTTGTATGTTATCTTAGCAATCATGAGTGACTATGGATTTTAGCTGAAAAGATGGTAGAATTGGGAGTGACAAGGCAAAGTGGAAAAGTTAGAATGTAGACTGAGAAGAAAAACCAGAAAGAAATCTACAAGAACTGGGCAAGTATGAAGGTATGTAGAAATCTGGCTCTATATAGATACTAAGTATAGGACAAGCTGTTGGATAGCAATTGGGAAGAAAAGTAGCTTACATATATTCTAAAGGTAATGTGATTAGTCAAAAGTCTGGTCAAGCAATAAAGGGAAAGGAAATTATAGGTGTTGCAGTACAAGTTGAATACATGGTCACAATTACAAGCAGGCAGTCAGGATAACTAAAAGAAACATATACAGAGAAGGTGAGGAATAGGTTTAGGGGATGAACTACAAGGAGATCTTGATTCTGGGATTAAGATTCTGACTGAGCTATGATTAAAAAAATATATATATATATATACACACACACACTGCATATATATGTGTGTGTGTGTGTGTTGCTCCAAGATAAAGTAATTTGAAGGTGTGGACAACATGGGGCCCATAATTGGTACTAGAATTGATAGGCAAGAGCAAGTCTGGATATTGGGGGTATACAACATGTAATGCTTTCTTTACCAAAATATAGAAGCTGTGGCTCAGACCATTTAATTTGAAAGTGATTCTGCTATTATGTGTATTCATGAAGGACTGTCTTCAGTTGCAGTATCGGGAAACTCTCTTAAGCAACCTCCACTTAATTGTCTCATTGAAGTAACTGTCATTCCCCAGTTCTTCCATAAAAGGTACTCACTGATACCCACAGCATAATGAATGCATTGTGAATGCCATCAACCTTCTTATGCCAGTTGTACTTGTTATTGTAGTTATGTAGTTATGTAATTAAATACATATTTAATATTATATGTAATTTAAATATTTAAAGTGTGTAAGGTTGGGGAAAAAATTGTAAAACTCTAGAAGGATTCTGTTTCTCAGGTTTTTAAGTCACTTCTTAAAAAATGGAAATTGGCCAGGTGCAGTGACTCGCGCCTGTAATCACAGCACTTTGGGAGGCCAAGGCAAGAGGATTGCTTGAGCCCAGGAGTTTGAGATCAGCCTGGACAACATAATGAGATCTATACCAAAATTTTAAAAAGTAGCTGGGTGTAGTGGCACACGTTTGTAGTCCCAGCTACTTGGGAGGCTGAGGTGGATCTCTGAAGTCTAGGAGTCCAAGGCTACAGTGAACCATGGTTGCGCCACTGCACTCCAACCTAGGCAACAGAGCATGCCCATGTCTCAAAAAACCAGAAAACAGAAAAGGAAACTGAACAATATAGATGACAGTTATGGCCTATATAAGGAAGAAGCAAAACTCTAAAATCTAGAATTTGCTCTATGTCATTAAGTTAGAGAATGACTATATACTTCCTATATATGTTTTAAGTTAAAGTATTTGAAGAGAGAGACAGGTGTATGTGTGTGTTTCTCTCCTTTAACAAACTTATTTAAATGTTCAACTATAAATCCTCATTGTGTTTATTAAAGAGTGGTTCTACTCTATTTAAAGATATTGATGATTTTTGGGAAGTAACCTCTTGGATTTATAGTTTATTTTCTGAACTTCAGTTCAATTCAGCAAGTTTTTAAATTATGTTATGTGAACTGCTTTATGGATGGGGATATGTGGTATTTGCCCTCAATAAGCTCAGACTCTAAAGGGGGAGATAATTATGTTAACTAATAACTATAATGTAATGTGATAAGTCTTATAAATAGGCATTTATAAAATGCTATGGGAATACAGATAAAGCAATTAACCTAGCACTGGGAAATAGAGATGTGGTTTGGTGACATTCAGAGAAGAGATGACATGTGAGTTTGATCTTAAAAGAAGAAGAAGAGTTAACCAGATAGAAAGGGCTTGGAAAAACATTTGTAACAAAAGAAAAAGGCACCGAGATAGAAAAATGTTGAGCATGTTGGAGAATGAGCAAGTAGTCTGTTATAGGTGGGTAAAACATGAGGGATGACTAAAAATGGGGCCTGAAAAACAGGCTGGATTAAGGAGGCCTTAGTACCATAGACAACAAAAGCAAAAATAGACAAATGGGATTGTATCAAACTAAAATACTTCCTCACAACAAAGGAAACAACAGAGTGAAGAAGTAATCTACAGAGTGGGAGAGAATATTTGCAAGCCAGAAATCTGATAAAGGGTTAATCTCCAAAATATATAAGGAAGTCAACTCAGTAGCAAGAAAATACTTGATTAGAAAATGGGCAAAGGACCTGAATAGACATTTCTCAAAAGAAGACATACGTATGGTATATGAAAATGTGCTAAACACCACTAATCATCAGAGAAATGCAAATTAAAATCACAATGAGATATCATTTCACATCTGTTAGAATGGGTATTATCAAAAAGATGAGATAAGTGTTGATGAGGATATGGAGAAAAGGGAATCCTTGTATGCTGTTGGTGGGAATGTGAATTAGTACAGCCATTTTGGAGAACAGTATGGAAGTTCCTCAAATACTAAAAACAGAACTACCATATGATCCAGTAATCCCACTTCTGGGTCTATAACCTATAGCCCTATTCACAGTAGCTAAGATATGGAATCAACCTAAGTGTCCATCATTGGATGAATAGATAAAGAAAATGTGGTACATATGCACCATGGAATACTTCAGCCTTAAAAAAGAAGGTAATTCTGTAATATGCAACAACGTGGATCAACCTGGAGGACATTATGCTAAGTGAAATAAGTCAGTCACAGAAAGACAAATATGGCATGGTCTCACTTATATCTGGAATCTAAAAAAGTTGAACTTAGAGAAGTAAAGAGTAGAATGGTGGCTACCAGAGGCTGTGGGATGGATGGTGGGTGGGGAAAGGGGAGCTGTATGGAGTTAATCAGGTAAACATTGGAGAATAGGCAGTATTTTTTATTATTTTGTTGCCTAAGGATATGAAATTTCAATTAGACAGGAGGAATAAGTTTTTGAGGTCTATTGCACAGCATGGTGACCATAATTAATAATAATGTATTGTATATTTCAAAATTGCTAAAAGAGTAGATTTTCAATGTCCTTGCTACAAAAAAATAAGCATGTCAGGTGATGGATATGTTAATTAATTAGATAAAATAGTTCCACAGTGAATACATATATCAAAACATCACATTGTACCCCATAGATATATACAATTATTATTTGTCAACTGAAAAAAAAAGAGGGCTTTGTAAACTGGGCTGTCAGTTAAGATTTTATCTTGTGGCTAAGAGGAGATACTAAAGAGTGAGAAATGACTTTTCAAGGGGCCATTACAGTAATTTGGATGAGAAATAATGAGGGCTTGGAGTAGATAGTCACAGTGGGGATAGATAAAGAGGATATTTTAGACATAGAATATTCAAGTGGTTGATTTGATGTAGGAAGTGTGTTAGAGTAGGCAAAGATAAATTCAAATATTATGACCTGACCCCATGCAGTTGTATGGTGTTAATCAGGTAAACCCGGGAGAATAGGCAGTATTTTCTATTATTTTGTTTTGTTGGGTGAAGCGTTTGCAGAAATGAGAGATAAAGTGAAAACTTTAGTTTTAGACCTTTTAAGTTTTGTTAGAGTGTGGCTCCACCACTTAGTTGTATGGCATTGTTCGGTTTGTCATCATATAAATAAAACTTTTTTTTTTTTTTTTTTTGAGACGGAGTTTCGCTCTGTCGCCCAGGCTGGAGTGTAGTGGCACGATCTCGGCTCACTGCATCCTCCGCCTCCCGGGTTTAAGCAATTATCTGCCTCAGCCTCCCGAGTAGCTGGGATTACAGGCGCCCACCACCATGCCTGGCTAATTTTTTTTTTGTATTTTTAGTAGAAACGGGATTTCACCATCTTGGCCAGGCTGATCTTGAACTCCTGACCTTGTGATCCACCCACCTTGGCCTCCCAAAGTGCTGGGATTACAGGCGTGAGCCACCGCACCCAGCGAAAACTTCCTGTAAAAATCTTGTTTCAATAGCTTTCTATTTTGTGTTGTATTCATATTTTTAAAGATAGTTAGATGTCTGTGATATCTGTATTATTTGTGTTAATCAGAAGTATAAAATGTTAATTTAATGGACATTTACTAAGTACCAGACTGAGCTGTACACACATTATCTCATAATTTTTGAAACTCTAAGAGACAGGCATTTTTATTCCTATTTTGCATCTGGAGAAGAGGCACAGAGAGCTTAAGTATTGTGCCCAAGACTGCATTGCTAGTAAAGAATGGAGCCAAATTGTAAATATAGGATTTTCTTACTTTCTGAGTCTAGAACATGGAGTTCTATGGAATTATTAGAGATGAGAGAAAAAAAGTAGTTTGGGGCCATATTTTGAAGGATATTAAAGACATTTGAACTCGATCTTATAGGTAGAAGGGTGCTGTTGAAGATAAACGTTTAAATCTGGAGTAAGAAAACTAGAATTATTAGGGTGCCTCAGAGGGTCAGTGTTTGAGGATTCATAAATTGGAGATTGAAGTAATTTTGTTGTATAAATTTCATTATGAATCTTTTGAATATGAATATAAAAATGAAAACATTATAATTTTAATAATAGCATCAAACATTTTCAATAGAAGGGGCACACATGAAGATGGACTTTCTTATGGCATTAACAATAGACTCTTTTCTGTGGTTATGACAATCTATACATAAAATTCTTGTTCCTTATGGCTCCAGAGATTATCTCAAAGGTTTATTCTTAGTTTCATAATGAACAGATTATTCTTTTGGTGCAAAACAGATTATTCTTTTGGTGCAGAGAATACTTATCTTAAAAGGGTGAGAAAGTCCTAAGGGCTTTAATTATAAATTCTGGATGTCAAAAAGACTTCAAAATTGTACGTGAATAACATTAAATCTTTCAGAAAATACAATAGGCTTTTTGTTTGCTTTTAATACTTGACTAAAGGCAGGTCAACATCTAAGCTAAACCAGTAAACAGATAAAGGGTCAAATGATTGTTATAGCAAATTAGCTTCTATTCCTTTTTCTTCACGGCTATTGTACCAACCTGATTCATTGGGTATGAATGAGACCTGCTTCATCTGAAAACTTTTAAAATAGTAATTCGCTTTTATGGTTCTTTTCTTACTTTTTAAAGGAAGAGACTTGTATTATCTGATTATGATTTGCATTTATTATTGCTGTTACCTTTGCTTCTAAATTAAAATCTGAAACAAATTATTTTACTTTTTTTGGAATTCATAAAGTTTTCTTTTTTAAATTTTTATTTATTCATTTATTTTTTAGAGATAGGGTCTCACTCTGTCTCCCAGGCTAAAGTGCAGTGGTACTATCATAGCTCGCTGTAGCTTGAAACTCCTGGGCTCAAATGATCCTCCTGCCTCTACCTCCCAAGTAGCTAGGACTACAGGTGTGTACCACCACACTTGGTTAATTTAATTTTAAAAGTTTTTAATTTTATTTTTTTGGTAGAGATGGGGCCTCATGTTGACCAGGCTGGTCTCAAACTCCTGGCCTCAAGTGATCCAGAACTCATAAAGTTTTTGATAAGCATAAAAGAAATTGCTTATATAAAAACAGATTAATTTCACTTAGGATTTAAGTTTGCCTATTTCTGGGCTCTATTTAATGGAAAAGTTAAAATCAGTAGTAAACTGTCTAGTTTGCTAATAAACAGTGTTTTTTAAACTGTTTTGAACATACTAGTAGAGCTCTACATGGGATATCAATTTGACCGCTTACTTTTCAGTAGATTCATACCATAAGAAACCAAGATAATTTAGTCCTGTCCTTTTGAACCTTCCTCCTTTGCCATGTTCAAATCAGTAATTATAAAGGTTATTTTAGTTAAATCTATAATTATAAAAGTAATTATAAATGTTGGGTATTAGTTTATTTTTTCTCTCATGATAATTCAACAAGTATTTCTTGAGCCCTTACCAGATGAGAAGTTTTTTCTTTTTTCTTTTTTTTTAAAAGTAGACTTTTTTTTAGTGAAGTTTCAGATTCACAGCAAAATTGAGCAAAAAGTATAGAGAATTCCTATATATCTCTTCCCTCTACATGTGCACAGTGCACAGCCTCCCCCATTATTAACATCCTGCACCAGAGTGGTACATTGTTACAATCAATGAACCTACATTGAGATATCATTATCACACAAAGTCTGTAGTTTACACTAGGATTCATTTTTGGTGCTGTATACCCTATGAGTTTTGACAAACGTATAATAATGTGTATCTACCATTATATCATACAGAGTCATTTTAACTGTCCTAAAAATCCTTTGTGTTTTTCTGTGTGTTTATTCCTCCCTACCCCAACCCCTGACAAACACTGTTCTTTTTAGTTTTTATAGTTTTGACTTTTCCAGAATGTTATATAGTTGGAATCATACAGTATGTAGCCTTTTCAGATTGGCTTCTTTCACTTAGCAATATGCATTTAAAGCTCCTCTGTGTCTTGGCTTTATAGCTGATTTCTTTTTAGTGCTGAATAATATTACATTTTTTTAAATCTGCTGAAGGATGTCTTGGTTGCTTCCAAGTTTTGGCAATGATTAATAAAGCTGCTGTTACCATTCATGTGTGGGTTTTTGTGTGAACATGTGTTTTCAATTCATTTGGATAAATACCTAGGTGCTTGATTGCCAGATTATATGATAGAGTATGTTTAGTTTTGTTAGAAACTAGGAAGCTGTCTTCCAAAGTGGCTATACCATTTCACATTCCCACCAGCAAGGAATGAGAGTCCCTGTTGCTCCAGATCTGCACCAGCATTTTATGTTGTCATTGGAGTTTTGCCATTCTAATAGGAGTGCCTTAGAAGTAGTGGAAGTGATAATAAAGATGAATCAGACCTAGAAACTGCCCTCAAGGAACATTCTAATAGGTCAGACAAGATGTGCACATTGAAAATAATTATACAGGGTAGGAAGTGGGTAAATGCCAGCAGAGCGATATTAGACAATGTATTGTAAGCATTCAGGGATGGAGAGATTGTAACTGCAAAGTGTCTCATAAGGAGGAGCTGGTCATTAAAATGGGTATAGAAGGGTGAGTCATATGTGGATATTCACTGTTGTTCTGGGTTGAGGTTGGTACTGAGATGAGCCCTATGGGTAGGGAACAGTTTAATCACAGGTATGGAAATGGGAAAGTGTAGGGGCATACAAATGCAGAGGACTGCTAGGTAGCAGTGGTTTTCAGGCATTGAGAGAAATGACACAACTAGTTTTGTAGGCATTGTAGATAAAAGTTCAGGTTTGGAATCAGATAGCCTAGGTTAATGGCTGGGCATGGTGGCTCACGCCAGTAATCCCAGCACTTTGGGAGGCCAACGCGGGTGGATCACTTGAGGCCAGGAGTTCAAGACCAGCCTGGCCAACATGGTGAAGCCCTGTCTCTACTGAAATATACAAAAATTAGCCAGGCATGGTGGTGCATGTCTGTAATCCAAGCTACTTGGGAGGCTGAGGTTGGATCTGGTAGATGTTGAGGATGGTGAGAGTTGTGAAAGATCATTGGATTTGGTTGCTTAGAGGATGGCCTATTAAATACAAGAGGTAGATTTTGAGTGGTTGGTAAAGATAGTGGAATCACCATTTTAACTAAGGATCAGAGGTAACTTTTTGAGAGTGCTGCTTGTCTGGAGCCTCCCTCTGACTGTTTTGTGTCAGGACTAGAGTGTGATTTATGAAGATTGTCCCACATTGCATCCTAGCCAGATTCCCTGACTTATTTTCTTTCCCACTTTATGTTAAAAAACTGGAGAAGTTGCTAGAGGATAATTGCTTCTCATTTTCTCTCAATTCTTCCAGATTTAAAATTGCGTATGATAAAACTGAATAGACTTTTGCCTTTATACCTAAATGAGCCTGGATTTTCAACAGTGATTATGATAAATTGATGTTCTGAAATAAGTTGGCCTTTTGAGAAGAAAAAAATGAAATTATAGATCAAACTGGTCATTTGAGTCTGTTTGATGGCTTTACTCAACAAAACAAGCAACTCTGTGTTGGTCCTCCGGTGTTACTTTTCAACTCTTATAAGCTATTAAAGGAAAGAGTGAGATGGGGAAGCAATCTGTAGAAACCCAAGGGATAGAGCAGAGTTATTTAGGGTAGATCCGTCTTGTTTGTAGGGCAAGAAGCAGGAAGCAGTGGTAAGTAATTGGAGAAGGGGTGGAAGGGCTAATAATGGATGTAGAAAGATTACAAGGGAAGCTAAAGGAGGCTTGAATTGAATTATGGAACAGGAGAGTCTTACTGATATGGATTCCTCCATATGAGTTTATATATAGCAAGAAGGTCTTTTTTTAATTGTTCAGAGTATTATAGTAACTTTGATTTACATATGGAAAATTAGAAGGGAATATGGCATTCATAATTCAAATTATTTTGAGTTGGAATTATAAAAAGAGAGTTGTAATTTACAGAAAATTTAGTAGTATCTAAACATGTCTCAGTGGTTCTCTTAAGAAATTCTTTTACTTTAAGTTTTGGTGCCAGTTTATCCTTTATTTTTCTTCTTAAGTTCCAACTCCTTTATTTCATACGTTTCTAGAGCTAGACTACAAGGGAAGTAATTCAAGCCTGTGTCTACTCATGTTGGAGACAATTGGAATGGGGATAAAACCTGTTTTTTGTTTGATATAAATTATAAAAATATATGATTTTTTAACTCTTTTTTTAAAATTCTGATTCTTGTAGTAGATTCCAGACTTACTCTTTATATTAAAAAAATTTAAACAATTTTTTTATGCTTTTAAAGCTAGAGAGGGGACTATAAAAATCAGATCTAAGCACATATCTTAGGTTTTCTGGAGTGATCCTGACATTTAGGTATTTTGTGCGAGTCAGACAGTCTGTCCTTGTGTTTGGCTTGGAAAACATGTTTGCCGTAACTAGAGCTAGTCTCTAAAATAGGTAGCTGATTAAAAGGTCACAAATAGAGCTATAAAGAATGACAACCTAACAAATGAGTCACTGTGGTATTTGTTTTTTATTGTCTACTCAAGATTTATATTAAAAATATTTTTCATGTCATCGTTTCCTTTCTAATGCAGTTTTCAACTTGACCAACAATGTGGATTTGGACAACACCAAAAAGAAAATGGAGATATACCAAAAGGAAAACAAAGATGTTATTCAGAAAAATAAATTAAAGCTGGTCGGTTGCTAAGTATTTTCTTCTTATTTTGTCTTAGAAACAAATGTTTCCACATGATACTTTAAAAAGCCATCTTCCTTTAAACCAGTTACATTTATAGAAAATTTAGCTGAAATTTAGACCAGAAATATGAATATATGCTGTATAGGTATGTAGGTAGGCAGGCACACATTACTGTAGCAAAAACCACTTTGACAGCATTATGTTAGACTGTGCTTTCTTAAGGAAGTGGATCCGTAAGATAGGTGATTGTTAACGCTAGTTTTATCTGCCTGTATAATCTTCTGGTAAGTGAGCATTTGGACAGTGGTCACAAAACACTGGAGGCTCATTTTTATCCTTGGACATTAATTTCTCTAAAGGAGAGAGAAAACCCAGACAGACGGTGATGGAGCTACCAAGAGGGAGATAAAACAAAAACACTATTTATTAGAAACTAAAATGAATTCATGATTAGATCAGAGGAACACATTTGTAAACTAAGGTTAACTTTGGTTTCTCAATTAGTTACCTTTTTTGTTTTACCGAAAGAGTAACATTGCTAGATATAAATATGATTTTGGTTTGTTTTAGTTGATCTCATGTTGAAGTTTGTTTTGAAAATATCTCAGGAGTCATTATTATTATATGTATTAGAATGTATTCTATAAAGAAAAAATTGTATGCATGCAAAGGAGCAATTGTCTAATTTATACACTTTAGCTATCATTTCTATAGTACAGTTTGGCTTTCTAGTTGTAGGGGAAAGCAGAGGTAATTACGTTTGAGATACTTTATCAGGATTTTGTAATAATCAGTGAAAAGGATACAAGTATATTTGGATCACATAGCTTATATTTTCATTTTGTATTTAGAAGAGACTTCCTCCTTGTAGTCTTATAGTGTTTTATATCAGCATTTCTTTCCTGCTGTAAAACTCTCAATGAATTGATACTACATTTTCATTCCATTCATAGCTAGCCTAGCTTTCTTTTAAAAGTATCTTATTTCTGAGAGCATCAGTATGTCATTAATGTTACTCTCTTTGCCTAGTAACCTTCTCTGGGAACATCAGAAGATACATGCAAAATAGGTATGCGTAGGTAAAATGTTTCATTAACCCCAGGTGTTGGTATTACAGATGTGAGCCACCACTTTTATCATGAAAGGGCGTTACATTTTATCAAAGCCTTTTCCTGCATGTATTGATATGATTATGTGATTTTAATTCTTTATTTTGTTAATGTATATTAATTGATTTTGTATGTCAAACCATCTTTCCATCCCAAGGATAATTCCTGCTTGGTTATGTTGTATGATCCTTTTAATGTGCAGTTGGATTCAGTTTATAAGTATTTTGTTGAGAATTTTTGCATTTTTGTTCATCAGGGATATTGGCTCACAGTTTTCTTTCCTTGTGGTACCTTTGTCTGGTTTTAGTATCAGGGTAATAATGCTGGCTTCATAAAATGAGTTTGGAAGTGTCTCCCTCTTCAATTTTTTAGAAAGGTTTGAGAAGGATTGATATTAATTCTTCTTTAAATGTTTGGCAGAATTCACCACTGCCGCTTTTTCTCTGTTAGGAGGTGTGATTACTGATTCAGTGTCCATACTAGTTCTAGGTCTTTTCAGATTTCCTGTTTCTTCATAATTTGGTCTTGGTAGGTTGTATGTTTCTAGGAATTTGTCCATTTCTTCTAGATTAACTGAAGCGTAATATAATTAAGTGTTGGTGTATAATTGTTCATAGTAGTCTCTTATGATCCTTTTATTTCTGTGGCATCAGTTGTAATGTCTCCTCTTTCATTTCTGATTTTGAGTCTTCTCTCTCTTTCATAGTCTTGCAAAGAGTTTGTCAATTTTATATTTTGAAAAAACTTAATTTTGTTAATTTTTTCTGTTCTTTTTCTGTTTTCTATTTCATTTATTTTTGCTCTAATGTTTGTTATTTATTTTAATCCTTTGTTCTGCTTACTTTGAGCTCAGTTTGTTATTAAATTTCTAGCTCCTTGAGATGTAAAGCCAGGTTGTTATTTGAGATCTTTCTTCTCTTTTAAAGTAGGTGTTTATCACAAGAAACTTCCTTCTTAGTACTGCTTTTTTGTATCCCTCAAGTTTTGGTATGCTATGTTTTTGTTTTTGTTTGTCCTGAGGTATTTTCTAATTTCCTTTTTGATTTCTTCTTTGACCCAATGATTATTTGAGTGTATTGTTTAATTTTCACATATGTGCATATTTGTGAATTTTCCAGTTTTCCTTCTGCTATTGATTCCTGGTTTTATTCCATTGTGGTCAGGAAAGATACTTGGTATGATTTCAGTCTTCTTAAATTTGTTAAGACTTGTTTTGTGACCTAACTTGTGACCTATCCTGTAGAAAGTTCTGTGTGTGCTTGGGAAGATCGTGTATTCCGCTGCTGTTGAGTAGAATGTTCTGTATATTTCTGTTAGTTGTTATAACAGAAATATACAGAATTATAAAGTTGTTTAAGACTCCTATTTCCTTACTGATCTTCTTTCTGAAAGTTCCATCCATTACTGAATGTGAGTTAAGTCTCCTACTGTTACTATATTGCTGTCTATCTCTCCCTTCAGTTGTCAATGTTTGCTTTACATATTTAGTTGTTTATAATTGTTATATCTTTCTATATGTTGATCCTTTTATCATTATATAATGTTCTTTGTCTCTTTTGACAGTTTTTTAATTAAAGTCTATTTTGTCTCTTATTATGCTCTTTGTTTCAGTGAATGGTGCCAGCATTCATCCAAGTGTTCAATCCATATTTGGTCAGTCTTTATATTCTGTTGATGATCACTCCTTATCATTTTTAAGCCTCATCCCCACTCTAATTAGATTATT
Organism: Homo sapiens; assembly: GCF_000001405.40. Classification (NCBI taxonomy): domain Eukaryota; kingdom Metazoa; phylum Chordata; class Mammalia; order Primates; family Hominidae; genus Homo; species Homo sapiens. The sequence goes on from NC_000014.9 coordinate 60,811,267, forward strand.
ACTTTATTTAGGGCTCTTATTTCTATTCTTTCTTTTTTTTTTTTTTTTTTTTTTGAGATGGAACCTCGCCCTGTTGCCCAGGCTGGAGTGTAATGGTGTGAACTTGGCTCACTGCAACCTTCATTTCCTGGGTTCAAGCGATTCTCCTGCCTCAGCCTCCCGAGTAGCTGGGATTACAGGCATGTGCCACCATGCCTGACTAATTTTTTGTATCTTTAGTAGAGACAGGGTTTCACCATGTTGGCCAAGCTGGTCTCGAACTCCTGACCTTGTGATCCACCCGCCGTGGCCTCCCAAAGTGCTGGGATTACAGGTGTGAGCCGCTGCGTAGGGCTCTTATTTCTTATCTGGGTTATTTGAATATACTTCTAACTAGTCCTCCTATTGTCAGTCTTGAACCCAATTGATCTTTATGTATACCTTACTGCCTCTAGTCATCTTTCTAAACTCATCCCTCAAATTCCCTTAATATGTTCCCAGTGGCCTTAGTATAGCAAAATTCCACTAGTATGGTATAACAGAATAGTTGTTTTATTTAATAGTAACGTGTCTACATGAAATAAAGTAAATTCTATTTTCTTCAATATGGAATTGCTACATTATTAAATAATAAGTGACTAGTGTGTTTTATGCTTCCAATAAAGAAAGTATTAGAGTGTGGTATATGATTGCTCTTGGCTCCTAAATTTATTCCACGCCATATATAAATTTTTGTTTTAGACTCGAGAACAGGAAGAACTGGAAGAAGCTTTAGAAGTGGAACGACAGGAAAATGAACAAAGAAGATTATTTATACAAAAAGAAGAACAACTGCAGCAGATTCTAAAAAGGAAGAATAAGCAGGCTTTTTTAGATGAGCTGGTATGTATTAATGCTAATTGTGATTGTAAAAAACATTCTTCAGGATTTACCTTTCCTAGTAGGCTGGATGATGGCATTTAAAGGGCTTTTCCACAGTGTTTGTAATCTGGTTCACCTTTAGTTTTGTTGGTTATGTATTGATATCAGTGTATTTATTGCTGAATAAGAGGTTGCCCTCCATCCACACTGAACAATATGTTTTTATGCTCACAATTCTGTGGGTTAGGAATTTAAGTGGTTCTTTTGGGCTTTTCTGCTTCCCTAATGTATTCTCAGGACACCTCTCCATGTGGTTTTGATAGCGACAGGAGGCAGCCAAATGCCTAGGCAGATAGGGACGGGTACCCAGAGAAACCCCATCTCCATGTTGAAGACAGTTTAAAACCTGAAAGCCAAGCTACAAGTTAAATCCTTGGACCAGATTGAGAACTTGTCCTCCTGTTTGGTGTGCTTTCCTCTGATTGATCCCCACTCTTCACCTATTTTATGTATATCTACCCTTTCCTAATTGGTTTTCTACACTGTCATGCCCATCTTTGAGTAGTGTCTTCACTTCAACCTTTTTTGCTTACTCATAAGCTAATTCAGCACATTCTCCTCATCCTGTGCCTATAAAGACCCCAGACTCAGTAAGTAGAGGAAGAGACAACCTGACTTCGGGGAAGACGACTTGCTCTTCCTGTCCCCTCTCCAGCTCCCCTCTCTGCTAAGAGCTGTTTTCATCGCTCAATAAAATTATCACCTTCGCCATCTTTTAACCATCCCTGTGACCTCATTCTTCTTGGATGCCAGACAAGAGCTTGGGACCCACCAAGTGTGGGTACCCAGAAAGGCTGTCACACTGGCACTTTGCCCTTCCTGGTGGAGAGCAGCTGCCCTAGGTGACAAGGCCAGAAGCCAACTGAGCTGCCAACACACTGTTGTCTGATGGCAGAACTAAAGGAGCACTGTAACACTTCCCCTGGGGCTTTGGGGTTGTGGGCCCCCTCACCTGGGCACTGCCATGTTCCCCTTGAGGCAACATGCCTGGTCTGGCTGTGGGCCCCACGTAGAGTTTGCTTCTGTGTCCGTGCCTGGGGCGGATGGCTGGGTCCTGCACTTGCTTGCTTGTGTCTGGTCTGACTGCGGGCCCCATGCAAAACTTGTTCCTGTATTGGTGCTTGGAGCAGCTGGCTAGATCTGCGCTGACTCACCCACGTGCTCCCTCCCACATAGAGTTGAGTGCAGTGGGTCTAGTAGAGGGGAGTCCTTACCGTGAATCTAGTGAAGGGGCTGACTACATCAGAAACTGCATCAATTTCTGTAACAGTGTGATTGTACTTCTCACATGTTGGCTCAGGGTTACAAGAGAGAATATCCCAAGAATAAGGAGGTAGAAGATGCTAACATTTTAGGGCTTGGGCTAGGAAACTGGCACAGCACTGATTCCACCATATTAGTAAAAGAGCCCACTCAGTTACAAAGGGAATGGATATAGATCTCACCTCCTAATGGGAGTGTGATGGCCATCTTTAGTCCACACAGTATGTACTGGGGAAAACTATGTTTTTCTAGAATTTGGCATAATATAAATTCATTTGGGATACTCAGTCTCTATCCCAATGTGAGTTTAGTGATAAGAATTATGAAAATGACTTTCATTTTCATATTGTAGTTTGTCTTACCCTTATGCCTATTTATTTATATCATGCCAACTACTATGAAGGATTTAAAGTGATTTCCTAGATAAGAGTATTGTTTGTGGACATGGCACTACTTACTTTGTGTAACTCTAAGAACGATGTTAAAATGAGGTTCTAGTATATTTTACTTCTATATTTTTAAAAAGATTTTTGTTTAATATCCATTTTATTTTCAGATGAGAGAGTGACATTATAACTGAGATGAGCCAGTATATTCTTGATAGATTGTTTATATGGCTTTAAGCTAACTGACTAAAATACATTGTTTCTGAAGCACTTTTCTCCTGATTAATACTATTTTTCTAATAATGAGCTCATTTTGGCTCCATGCTGAAGTTTATATTGACTGTTTACTTTGTGACAATATATTTTATATTTTTGCATAAAAAAATAGTGTATTTTTGCTTGAAAGAAATAGCGGGGTTTTTGCAAATTATTGTTTTCCAGCAATTAGCTTCCTAGGTAGTCAACCTTGTTAGATAATGACAGTAATAATAACTAAGGTTTATGAAGTGTTTCATGGATTTATTACTATATTATTTGATACTTATAACCCTGTATGATATTGATGACTTCACAAACCGGAAAATCTTCCTCTCCAGGAAAGTCTTTTTGCATTCTTCTCTTTCCCTTTATGTTCATATAATTTATTTCCCTGAGGCTTTTGTGTTTGTGTGTGTGTGTGTGTATGCAGTGTTAATACACTTAACTTTCTTGTCTAGTTGATAATGCTATTATCCTATGATTGGGGAAAATATGTATATATGTGTTCTTCTACTGTGCTTTTGCCAAAAAAGCATTTAAGTCAGTTAACCAGGAGTAAAAAAAGAGAAAGCAAGATTACTTAAATTATAAGGAGGTGAGAAACTAAAGGAAAAATAAGGGTAAGGGCATTCATGAGGCTTAGATAGAAAACACTGTCATAAAACTCTATTTTCTATGACTGGAATGTGAATTTGGCTCTAAAAATGAGGACACCAGCATATTAAATAGAATAATGACGCCTTCCCTAGCAACTTTCATTAGTTCTTTCTTGAAACTATTAAGTGGCAGGTATGGCTTTAACAGTGAAATGACATGTTGTATTTTATATTTTTGTAGCTGTTTGGTGAGAAATTAAAAACTTTAAAAATGAATTAGTAAATTGATGTTACTAATTATTAGTATATAGTTACTAATTATAATTGTTTTATTGAAAGATTCTTCCCCTTATCATTTTATACAAAGAGTTACAGGCTCTTTTTTGGATAATGCTTCTCTTCTATATAATTAATTGAATTAATCCCAAATATAGAACTTTGATAGAAAATATGCTTTTAACATTTTATGTTCCATCTAATAAAAAAAGTTTTTAGATTTTATTTTGAGGTTAGCCAGCTTTGCATAACAATTATTCTTGCATATTCTTTTTCCCTTTTTTTTTTTGAGATGGAGTCTTGCTCTGTGCCCCAGCTGGAGTGCAGTGGCGTGATCTTGGCTCACTGCAACCTCTGCCTCCCTGGTTCAAGCAATTCTTTGCCTTAGCCTCCCGAGTAGCTAGGATTACAGGTGCCTGCCACCATGCCCAGCTAATTTTTTTGTATTTTTGGTAGAGATGGGGTTTCACCATCTTGGCCAGGCTGGTCATGAACTACTGACCTTGTGATCCACCCGCCTTGGCCTCCCAAAGTGCTGGGGTTACTGGTGTGAGCCACCGCGCCCAGCCGCATATTCTTTTAGTCTTTAAAGTACTGTTTTGCTGCCTCATTGAGCTGCTATTGACATGAAGCTCCCCTTTGATTCAGTGAGGCATGAAGCAAGATGTGAAACTACCATTGTTGTACATTGTGTGTAATCTGGAGTTAATATTGATTTTTGTGAGTTCTTTCTCCCACTTCCTGTTTTCTTCACCTGCAAGTCATTACTGCACATACTTTCCTCAGTGTTTAGATCATATAACATGATGATTAAATAATTCTTAGTAATTTACTGTATTCATTAGTGCAATTAATTACAACAGATTGGTTTAGAATACCACTGCAGTTTGAATTTCTGGTTTTCATTTTTAAACTTATTTTTAGATTTTGTTATGTTTATTTTTCAGTCTTTATACAATGTTATAAATGTTAAAATACTTTAAATTTTTATGACTAATGAATTCATTAAATTTATTTTTATCCTCTTGAATCCTTATTAACTAAGTAAAAGAACGTATTTCTTTTTCTGTATATGTTCATGTGTGAGATTTTGTTTAAAAAACAATAGCATTTGTAAATATGTCTAGAAGCTTAATTCTTATAATTAATCTCTGGACCTAATTTACACAAGTACTACTTATTAGAATTTTTTTCCTCCTGTTTTTGGTTCTGGTCTTTGTGCCAAAAGTCACTTTTTAACCTTTTAAAAAGTATTTGCATTATATTATACTGTATGTGACGGGATTTTAATGTTATGGTCTTAATGTTTATGGCTTAGTATTTGCAGTAATGTTGGCTAAAAGGTCCATTTATTTAATCCTAACTGTAAATTCAATTTTAAAAAAGTTTGGAAAAAGATTTTTAAACAGGTCCTGGCTTATTAAATCTTTTTATATTCCTGTTTGAAAATTCGCTTCAGTTTATGTCTTAAATTTTGTATGGGCTAATATTGTTGTCAAACGCAGTAGGTGATTTTTATTAGAAATATTGTTTGCCAGATGGCTTGCTTAAAGTCAGTTAAAATAATCTTTTAAAAATGGTCATTATAAAGCTTTTAATGAGTATTACAGGCAGTTCTTACTAAAATTTCTTTAAATATTAAACAGTGTGCCTTCAGGCAATTAATACAGGTTAGGGAACCTTTTAAGGTAAAATGTAATGCAAAGAATGAAATAACTTGAAAGGCTAAATCTGCATGTTAGATATTCCCCAGAGCATGCATGTTTCACATAGTTTATTTTACTCCATTAATATTTTTTGTTGTTGGAACTCCTACTTAATTCTAGTTTAACACTTAGTAAGGCTTCCAGGCTTCAAAATTTGAGTGCTAAAATAGAATAAAGTAGGTTGGAACTAAATTCTGTGCTTCAATATCAAAAGTGTTTTAGATCCTTAGAATGTTTGTTTTTATTAGATTTCAGCTGTTTACCAAGACACTTTAACATTCAGTTCCTTTTATGTGAATGTGAAACCAGGATTAAAACAAGCTAAAGTCTTGACTAGCAACTTTTTTTTTGAAGTTAATACGTTGCTTTTATGTAAGAATTTTTGCTTTTTAAAGGAAATACCAGTTAAAGAAGAGCACTTGAATTGATTTAGAGTATAAATTGAAAAGCAATACTTTTAACTTTTTAGCTAAGGAAATTTATTTTTCTTTTGTTAGTTTCTACATGTGAAAAGATAGAATAGCTTTTAAAAGATATTTTTTTGATCACAGCCCATTAAAAATGTTCTTTAATTTTATATTTTATTATAAAATTCTTAATGTAAATCTAGAATAGCTGCAAGGAATCTTAGCAATACAGTTACTCATGCATTACTAATGCTTTGGTGTAGAATATAAAAGGTATTCTAGTATATTCTCCTCGTACTATATTTCATCACTTTTCCTTCATTATTGTTAAAGCCAGGTCTTAATGATTTTGCTCCTTAATAAGTTTACATCTTATAAATAAATAAAATTTGTGTTCTTCCATTTACTATTAAAAGTTTTAAACTTTGTAACATTGCTCTTGCAAAACACTTCTATTATAAAATCTTGATGTGCAACTTTATTCTAGGACAATTCTATTGAATTAAGTTGCTTATTTGAGTTATTTCTATACTGTAACCTTAAACCAATTCCTTTAAGTCTGTTAATTAACCACATTTGTGCCTAAAAAATTATTAAGTTGCTAGATTTGGAAAGAAAATTAAAATCTGTATGTTTGCTTTGTGCTGTGAAATGTTAACAATAGAGTTTCTTCAGGATCAAATTCTGTGTAGTCACTATTTTAACATCTATAGCCTCTTTGAACAATATGTTTTAGCACATTATCCTGGTATAGGAGATAAAAATGTATTTGACCTTCATCTCTGTTTATGATACAGAAAATTCTCAATCTCTCTCTCTGCTTGTGTGTTTGTGTGTGTGTGTTTGTTTGTGTGTGTAGGAAAGAGAGAGAGAGATCTCTTCTTCCTCCTGGTACGTCCTTCTGCATATGTTTTTGGATTCTTATTTAACTGAAAACTCAGAAAGGAAAATGTCTGGATATCATTTAGTTTAGACCTTAACTCCACAGCACTTTAAAGATGTAAGAGGACTTCTTGTTAAACAGAATAAATAACAGTCTACATATAAAAATTAGTAATTTGCTTATGGTATTAAAATGTGTCTGAGTGCTTATAATTAATATATTAAAATGTTTAACTGTCATTTTGTTACTTAAGTTAGAAAACATAGACTTAAATTTTAAAAGTAAGTTAGTAAAGGAGAAAATAAATATACTTTTGGTTGTACTTACAATAGTTTCATTGTGCAAAATAGAACAAGGATCATTTCCAAACGGTCTCAGGTGAAATCTAATGGGAAACAATTTCAAACTGGTCTAAATTTACTGGTAAAAAGAATGCGTCTTAGATAAACATCTGATCTAAGTTATAGTACTTTGTACTACTCTTTTTGTGATTAGCTTATTTTTTTCGTTTTAATAAATGTGGTTGGTTTGCTAGTTGAAATAGGAACTTTTAATGTGGATTTTATAAAAATACTTGTTTGCAGGTTATTTTGATTTATGAATCTACAACAGCCTTTTCTTATTATGGAATGTTAATATTTTTTGTAAAGTGTCCTCCATAATGTGAATATTTAGTTTGACATGAAATGCTTATGGAAAAGACATAATTTAAAATAAAAGTCTTGTTGTTTTTAGTTTTCCCTTTTTACATTTCTTATTGAACTTGAACTATTCTTACAGGAGAGTTCTGATCTCCCTGTTGCTCTGCTTTTGGCTCAGCATAAAGATAGATCTACCCAATTAGAAATGCAACTTGAGAAACCCAAACCTGTAAAACCAGTGACGTTTTCCACAGGCATCAAAATGGTAAGCCTTATTTTAATTGCTTGTTTGAAAGATATTTTTTCAAGGATTATGCTTTATAATTTTACACGATTTCTATAGTAAACCGAAATGTTCAGATGTTTAAGAACAGTGTCTGATCTAGTTTTAGGTGTCTGGAAATATGGATGGGTGCAGTATGAGGAAAGTGAAACAAATAATTTTCAGAGTATACAACACAATTTTTTTGTATGTGAATTGGGTTTGTATGACTTTCTTACTCTACTTACATTTTTAAGCTTGTAGTGTAGAAAAAAATTTATAAATATTGTTTGGAGAGTAGTTACCATCTGCAGATATGAAATGGGAAAGCAAATGTATCAATTAGTGTTTTCTTCTAAACAGTCTTCTTCACATATATATTTTTAAAAACTCTGAAAGCCATTTTTAGTTTCTAGACTGATGAATAGATTAATTTGGGTTTCAAAAAATTTATTTTATATTGTATTGTTATATTTTATTGTTTATTTTAGCATTCAAGGGAAAGATTTTATAAGCCAATGATGTTTTTGTATACTTTTACAGGTTTTTTTTTTTGTTTAGAAAATATATACTTTGGCATATTAACTTTAACATGTGTTTAATATTTAGATGTTTGAGATGTAGCCACTCTAAATATGTAGCATTCAAATTCCTAATTATCTTTTAAAATAGTCTCATTAGAGTAGTATAAAATGTGGTTAGAAAAGATAAATGTTTGAGGTGATGGATATCTCAATTACCCTGTTTTGGTTATTACATATTGTATGCATACAGGTATCAAAAGTACCACAAAATATATGCAACTACTCTGTATCAATTAAAAACTGGTTTTAAAAAAGTTGTGGCAGCACTACAAAGTCATGGTTACGGATTTGGACTTTGAATCCAAACAGACCTGAGTTCAACTCTCAACAACCCATTTATCCAGCTGCTTGACATGAACAAATTACTTTGCCTTTCCAATAAGCCTTTTTTTCCCATCTGTGGAACGGTGATGATAATACTGATCTCATAAACGTGTTGGGAAATAATGTGAACAAAGTACACAGTATAGTACTTGGCTTATTGTAAGCTCTCAATAATTGAGGTTAGTTTTTATTGATAATAACGAGTTGATAACACAAATGGCTATACTAATTCCCTAAATCTTTACCTAGTTTTTATATACATAAAATTCATTTTTATACATAGTTTTAAAATTCAAGATGATGGAGGTTGCAGAATCTTTGTTTGGCTTTTATCATTATATGCCTGCATTTCAAAGTCAGTGTTAATGACATGCAATATTGAAGTGGTGGGAGTTTACTGGTAAAAGACCAGTAAACTCAGTAATTTTCAAGAATAAAGTCTAGTATTCAGATGACACAATGTAGCTACAAGCCTCAGGAATGTATCCCCTATTGTAAATTGAGCATGATGAGTATGCAAGAACGAATGCCTCAAAACATTATCAAAGTATATTTTAAATTAGAGATAATACTCTAATTTTAAGAGGCAAAGGACCGTTTCTTTCCTTTGACCTCAATGGATAAAGTCATATTTAATTTTACTGTTGCTTCCACTTTAGCAAATGTGTAGCAGCTGCTCCTATTTTCTAGTTCTCTTCCTTTTATAGTATATATAATATTAAAATAAGATCTGGCTTACAGTCTAAGTAGAAGATACAAGAACTCATCTTAAGTCTTTTGCAACTTTTTTTTTTTTTTTCAGTTGCTGACTATAGAATTTGAAAATCTAGATACTTCGGTATTAAGTTGGCTCTACTTTTAAAATTTATCTTGAATTTACCCACTTCTCTCCACCTCTTATCATCCTAGGATAATTGCCATCATTTCTTTAGTGGACTATCACAGTAACATTCCACCTGGTGTCTCTATTCATCTGTGTACCCCATAATCTAGTCTATAAGCCTTTGGGTGGTTTCCTAAATAAATGAATGATGGTAAATAAACAATATTAAACAAATCAGCTCATCACCTCCTTGCTTACTATCTTCCTATGTCTTCCCAGTACACTTAGAATAAAATTCAGAATATTATCTACTTTCTCACCTCTGAGAAAGTGACATTTGTACTAAGAAGTCAATGGTAAAATGGAGTTAGCCATGCAAAAATACAGGCAGAGAAAAGAGCAGTAAAGAAGGCCTAAGGTAAGAAACAGCATTTTCTAGAAACAGACAAAAGATACTGTTAAGAGAATACTTTCCCTACTCTGCCTTGCTCCTTATGCTCAATTCACACTGACCGTTTGACTATTCTATCTAAAGTATCTTTCTCCTGCCCCCATCCACATTATGTTATGCTTTTTAAAATTTTAATATAGAGACAGGGTCTCACTATGTTGCCCAGGCTGGCCTCAAACTCCTGAGCTCAAGTGATCCTCCTGCCTTGGCCTCCAAAAGTGTTAGGATTACAGGCATGGGCTACCACGCCTGGCCCATGTTATGCTTTTTAACCCTTTATAACATATATCACTATCAGAAAGTGTCTTATGGGTACACTGTTTAATGTTTATCTTTACCACTGGAATATAAATTCTGTGTACCTAGAATGATGTTTGTCTCTAGTACCTATTTAATGAATGTTCACTGTGGACCTTCATTAAATATTTTTAAATGAATGACTGAATCTTACATATTAGGCTCACATTTAATAGAATGAAGATCCTGAAGTACTTTCAAGTTTCTGTGACTTTATGGTGTTTACTCTGTTTGGAATATACTTAACTGCTTATGAAAACTTTACTTATAATTTATGCATCGATCAAGTGTGATTTTCATGAACCCTCTTTTGTGTGGAATTTAATTGCATATTCTGATGCTTCCCCTAACATTTTATATGTACTTTTATTATATATTGTAGCTCCTGCCTTGTATTGCAATTGGCTATTTTCCATGCCGGTCTCATTTTAGATGAGCTTCCTTAAGGACACAATGTGTTCTGTGGCATAACTTTATGTGTTCTTGTGGGGACTAAATATTGTACTATGTAATTATTCAAAAAATTTTTTTGAATAAATTATTCTCATTTTTCTTAACTTCAGAGCATTTTGCTTTGCCATTGGGAGATTCACATTTGGGTCAAGAAGAATTTGATGCAATGTACAGCCAAAATAAAAAAATTGTTTTTATAGATATATCTAAATTTCCATCACTCTATCATATTTTTACATTCCATTACCAATGAGAATTACAAATTATGTATTTCTCTTCTTCTGTGTTCTTATCTTTTAATTTTTACCTGTGGTATGTTTTGAAATTTATATAACCTGGCTAGCCCTCTTAGATAGTCTTAGTGCTTTTCTTTGGCCTAAAGAGAGGCAGCATCAGATCTACAACCTTTTTTCACCTAGACAGAATAGTTGCTGGTGGTCTTTCTGTGTTTCGTAATGTTCTATTTATTTAAAAATGAAATGAATTGGAATGGCGAGATGTAAAAGTTTTTGAAGATCACTGATTAATAAATCTGCTAACCTGAACATGATATGAACAAAATACTCTGCAATGTATTTCCTTGAGGAGATTAGGAAATATATCCATTGTGGCAAAGTTGCTTCAGCAGCATACTTTTTAAATTATTTATTTATTTTAAATTTATTTTTAGAGACAGGATCTTGTTCTGTTACTTCAAGCTGGAGTGCAGTGGTGAGATCCTAGCTCACTGTAGCCTACTTCTGGGCTCAAGCCATCCTCCTATTGCAGCCTCCCAAGTAACTGGGTTTACAGGCTCACACCACCACTCTGGGCTAGTTTTTAAGAATTTTTTTTTTTTTTTTTGGAGAGGAGGCAGGGTATAGTTATGTTGGCCAGGCTGGTCTTGAATTCCTGGTCTCAAGCAATCTTGGAACGCCTCAGCCTTCGAAAGTGCTAGGATTACAGGTGTGAGCCAGTGTGCTCAGGCGGGAGCCTACTTTATTTTTTATTTTGTTTTTGAGATGGAGTCTTGGTCTGTCGACCAGGCTGGAGTGCAGTGACACAATCTGGACTCCCTGCAACCTCTGTCCCCTGGGCTCAAGCGATTCTCCCACCTCATCCTCCCCAGTAGCTGGGACTACAGGTGTGTGCCACCACACCCGGCTATTTTTTGTAATTTTGGTAGCAATGGGGTTTCACCATGTTGCCCAGGCCGGTCTGGAACTCCTGAGCTCAAGCCACCTGCCTGCCTTGGCCTCCCAGAGTGTTGGGATTACACTGTGCCCGGCTGAGGAGCACACTTTTAATGATGAAAGAAGTTTCAATCTCAGCTCATCTTGGAGCAAATTTAATAAACCTCCCTCTACTCTGCCTTTTAAAGTATTGGATGAAGAGGTGGGTCTTACACCCTGGCTTTAAGGTCAACAACCTTGAAGACTGACAAAGGGATCAAATTCTAAAACTGAAAACTCACTACTTGGAGTACTCTCCCTTTAGCTATCCCTGAATTCTGTGAGAGCTTGTTAGCAGCAGTGCTCTCTGTTTATCTGATTACTTTTGAGTGGGGATTGGGGAGGGGGAATGTGTTGCACAGATTTTCTTTTTGCCTGAAGGGGTATCTTACCCTGAGTTTGTTTGTAATAATGTTTAACATTCTGCTGCAAGGCATATAGATTTGGAGAGGAAAAAAAATTTCTATCTTTACATTGCCTTTATGTTCTTCTGAATGTCTTTCTCTGAGTGGTATTTAAGACTTCTATTACCTTTAATTTTCTTTCTTGCATCATTACCTTTTATATCTAAGAAATCACTGTACTTGTGGGCTGGGCATGGTGGCTCACGCCTATAATCCCAGCACTTTGGGAGGCTGAGGTGGGCGGATCACCTGAGGTCAGGAGTTTGAGACCAGCCTGGGCAACATGGCAAAACCCCATCTCTACTAAAAATACAAACATTAGCCAGGCTTGGTGGCAGGCGCTTGTAATCCCAGCTACTTGGGAGACTGAGGCAGGAGAATTGCTTGAACTAGGGCGGCAGAGGTTGCAGTGAGCTGAGATTGTGCCACTGCACCCTAGCCTG